>NW_011332690.1:0-365499 GCF_000001405.40 Homo sapiens | reverse complement strand
ACTCCTTTACCATCCCAACCCCTTTATGCAGGGTTCCCAGGGCTTTTATACACCCCACCAGGCCCCTGCCGACTGCCACGCGTCTCATGGCAGACACAACTGTTCCTAATTTGTCTCTCAAATTTCTCATCCCAGAGTCAATTCCTGAATCCCAAATAGCTCGAGTGTCTGAAAACAAGGTGGATGCTTCATGAAGGGAGGAAAGGGAGGTCCTGGCGGGACCACTCAGAAGGGAGCTTTTAGAGGAGAACAGCAAAAACACCTTCCCTCCCAACACACACCCCTCCACAAACCACAAACCAACATCACACCCTAGAAACCTCAAAGCACACAGGGACAGGTCCTGCACCGTCGACAGACAAGGTGAAAATCCACCCACACCCAAAGCAGAACAAATCTGGGCTCTGTAGTGCTTGCTTTGGGGGACTGGAGGGAAATTTTCCCGTGACAAAGCTCAGACTGTAGGAATTCACCACACACAAGCCTCTTCCACCTGCAGCTTTCTGTCTGGCCAGGTGAGAACCACAGAATGTTTCTAGCACATGAGTAAAGTCACACCACAAAGCCTATACCTTAAAAATTCCAGCCTTCCATTTCTAAGACATACAAGCCAAGAAGCAACCCTCTGGAGCATCTTACAAGGAAGCTCAATTCCTTCCGCTTAATTCCAAACCCTGACCTTGAACTCACCACCCAACAGCCTCCCAGTATGATGGCACACTGTCCCCTGGGGCTCTTACCTGCTGCCCTTCCTGCTCAGAACAGTTTCCAGCTGCTCCACGTGTATCAAAATTGAAGTGACCCAGCACAAACAAAAACTGGGTGTTAAAGTCAATGGGCAAGAGCCTACAGATTACGAAGTAGAGCAGGAACGCTGGAGCAGCAAATCAGTACCGTGCAATCAGCCACCAACCAAAAGAGGGGCAAAGGGACGGTGCTGGGGGCAGGATGAGGCACTCGGAAACACTCTGCTAAATATAGCTCCTGGGCTGCAGCGCTTGGAAAGGTGGCCGAGAATAAGCATCTGGCGCCCTGGGTCATTTCTGTCACTTCCTGTTACTCACATCCTGCTGTTCCGATGCTGCCCGAATCCTGGATTCCCCGTACACAATTCCCTACCTGGAAGCCCCCAGAGACAGACCATTCAAAGCAGCTGGGATGTGCGTAGACAACAGACTTCCTCACAGAGCACCACACAAAACACAAAAATAGACACCACCACACAAACAAGCTCTTGGAGTTCCCCATATAGAAAGAGCCTGAGTGCCCAGGTCCGGGTGAGCTCCGCACAGCACTGTGTCAGACCCCGCCCAGCCCACCAGCTCTGCACGCTGCCCTGTCTGCAACCTAAAAGGGAACGTGGGCCCAAACAGCTGTCATGCACTTCCTCTCCTGGGCTGCATCTCACCTGCAGCCTCAGAGCAGCTTTGGGGGGAAGGAGGGGGTCCCCAGCATGACAACTGACAGGTGCCACCCACAGCACAGTCAGAGCAAGGCATCCTCCATCTGACCCACTCCTGCCTCCCCAGGAACTCAGGAAGCCCAGGTATGGAGCAAAGCCAACTTGGCAAGAAGTTAAAGTCACATGTAACCTACCAGAAGATAGGTTGTTTTAATTTATTTATTTTTTTAGAAACCCATAAAGTAAAATGAAGCAAAAAGTGAAAGTTCTACTTAAAAATGAAACGTGACAGAAATATTGTGTTACTTACCTATTCACTATTTCAACAGTACTTCATTAAGCTTGAGTTATGTTCAACTGTGAGAAAACTAGAGATTGGGGACTGCCATGGTTGGCGGGGGGGCCTCTGGCAGGAAGGGAATATTATTACCCATGAAAGGCACCCCAGATGTAGAGCTGGTGCCCCAACATGGGCTGGCCATAGTCAACCAGCATGCAGAAGGCAAAATACAAACAAATGTGGTTTCAATAGCAAAACGCTGGCAGCACCTCAGTCTCCAGACAGGGGGCTGGTGAAGTAAGCTCCAACATGCTCACACAATGGTATGTCACAGGCCCATAGTCATGGACACAGAAAGATGTTCATGAAGTAATAAGTTTTAAAAGCAGGTCATAAACTAGTCTGTATAAATAATCCAAATTTTTGTAAAACTAAAGTGTATTTAATAATATTCACAGAAAAAGGCCCCATAACTATCTGTCCATATCAGGGTTTCTCAACCTCAGCACTATTGACATTTTGAGCCAAATAATTCTTTGTTGTGAGGCTGTCGCACAACACTGTTGTGCCTCTGGGGACACTGAGCAGCTTCCCTGGACTTTACCAACTAGGTGTCAGCAGCACGTACCCCTGCTCTCCATACCCACAACTGTGACAAACCAGTGTGGAGTCCCCAAATGTCCTCTTCAGGCCAATCTCACCTCCCCCACTGCCTTATCCCTACCCATGTTTGAGAATCGCAGGTCTATATAATAGTGTTTAATCTAGAATCTCAGTGATAAGACTTTTGAGTGGTTTTTGTTTGTTTGGGTTATCTGCACTTAATTATCTATAATGATACATGTTATTTGTATTAAAAGGGGAATTAAAAAGAATCTTAGCATCAGGAAAACCTTCCAGGTATTTTTGCCATAATGCAATTTTTGAGTTCCTAAAAACCCTCATACTCTACAAAAGGGCACAATAAAAGTAAAAAGAAGTCCCATGGGAATAGGTAAGCTGGGGCAGGCCACTGAGAACTTATGCAAATTTGTAACCAAGCATCAAGGGAACAACAGCAATATTAAATGTTTTTAAATGAACAAATTTTACCACATAAACACTACAGTAAATACAGAACTGCACCTTTTAAAAAATGCACAAGGGGGGCTAGGCGCAGGGGCTCATGACTGTAATCCCAGCCCTCTGGGAGGCTGAGGTGGGCAAATCACCTGAGATCAGGAGTTCAAGACCAGTCTGGCCAACATGGTGAAATCCCATCTCTACTAAAAATACAAAAATTAGCCAGGCGTGGTGGCGGGTGCCTCTAGTCCCAGCTACTCAGGAGGCTGAGGAGGGAGAATCAGTTGAACCCAGGAGGCAGAGGTTGCAATGAGCTGTGATCGCACAACTGCACTCCAGCCTGGATGACAGAGCAAGACTGTCTCAAAAAAATAAAAAATAAAAAAATGCACACAGGAACTAAGACACAGTAAGCAATTCCAAGGCAGAGCTTGCGGCTGCAATGCACACCGTAGCAGGAAGGTGGGAGAAGTAAGACCAGAAGCTTCATGTCCAGGGCTGTGCTCCTCCTGGGCTGACTGCATCCTGCGTTAGTGACCTTGGCTTTCAGTAGCTGGGCTGCTGGACTTCTCGCTAGAGAAACAAACCACAGCAGGAGGGCAGAGTACCTGCATCCTTCAGCTACTGAACAGAAGAAACAAGGAGCTGAAAGACCTCGGAGTCCTGGTGACAAGGAAAGGCAAACCAAAGGTCCCTGGTAGTAAGTCTGGAAGGGATGGGGTGGAGGGAGAGAAACGGGAATGCTTTGGCATTCTTAAGTCTGACAGCCACCACGCTGTCATAATTTATCCATTTTTCTCTGGGATTAACTAATGGTAAATCTGCATATACCCAAAGGCGTCTATAGTAACACTGTAGTTAACAAGTAAGTATCAAGAGGAAAGTAACAAGATGAGAAGGAAAAAGAGTTTCATAAGCTACCCGAAGCCCTTGACACTACCATCCACTTTTTTGGTCACTGAAGGTCAACCTGACTAAGCAATACAATTTCCCAGAGCAAGGTGGCCAAGGCAGAACAATCACATCTGCTGGCTGGGCCAGGTGTCACCCTTAGGACAAAGTCTTGTCCACACCTTTTCAAATGAATTGATTCAAGCCTGTTTGTGTGTTCAATACTTAGAGTGGTTAAGTAAACCACAGAATGGCTACCACACAGAAAACAAAGCCACACGAGGAGGGAAAAACAAGTAATTTATAAAAGGGCATATTTATACTGTACTCTTAAAAATGGTTAAGATGCTAAATTTTATGTTATGTGTATTCTACCACAATAAAACAGTATTCTACCACAATAAAACATAAATGAGGGAAAGGGGGACATACTGATGTCATCGTATTGTGTTTAAAAAAGGCAGGACACAAGCAGCCGGGAAAACTGGAGGTTCACACATCAAGTGGTAGGACTGAGAGATTCTTTTTTTTCTTTTCCCTCTGGTTTTCTCTATTTTCCAAATTGTCTACAGTAAAAGGTGTCTTTAAATTTATCTATGCCTGGTTGGGCGCAGCAGCTCATGCCTGCCAATCAGTGCTTTGGGAGGCCAAAGCAGGAGGATCCCTTGAGCCCAGGTGTTCAAGACCAGCCTGGGCAACACAGTGAGACCCTGTTTCTACAAAAAAAATTTATAAATTAGCTGGGAATGGTGGTGCCTGCCTGTGGTCCCAGCTACTCAGTAGGCTAAGGTGCGGGAATCACTTGAGCCCAGGAGGTCAAAGCTGCAATGAACCTTGATCACGCCATTGCACTTCAGACAGGGCGACAGAGTGAAACCTCATCTCTAATTAATTAATTAATGTATCTATGCCTTTTCAAATTTATCTATGCCTTAATCTACGCCTATTTCCTACAAAAATCAAGATCAGAGATAATTACTCCCATTTGCCTATACAACCTCCTTCATCCATTGACCTGCTATCCCAATGGCCTCTGGCAGGGCCTAGCTAAAATACTGGGTCTCCAACCACCCCTGCAGCTAGAGACAGCAATGGAGGTGAAGGAGCTGACATCACCGGGGAGAGTGGTTCCAGGAAAGCTCTTTGAGGGAGATGACTCAGCTGGCAGCCACCCTGATGGCACTTGCTGCAGGCATCTCATAACCAAGATGCCCTACCCTAACGTACCCTACTCCTATTTCACATGGAAAATTAAAATAGAGTTTCTTTTGTGGGCTAAGGAGTCCCATGTCCTCCAACTTTTCTGTGCTTTAGTCTGAAAGCTCAGCTGTCTGGGAAAACAGCCATGTCTCCTGACAAGGTCTAACTGTTACCTGTGTGAGGGTGCTCTCAAGTTTTGCTCTTGGCAAAGAACTAGGCCAGCAGGGACAGAGTCCAAAGTGTGGGTCCAGCATGTACCTGTAGTCTCAGCTACTCGGAAGGCCAAGGCAAGAGGATTGCTTGAACTCAGGATCTCCAGACCGGCCCAGGCAACACAGCAAGACCCCGTCTCTAAAAAATACCCACACACACAAAGAATGGGCCCTTCCAGCCCCTTACCAACTCCCTCAGACTGGAAGGTCAGGATGCCAAATCAGCCCCAGGTCAGTGTACAGACAAAAATGGTTCACTGCTCACTCTGAAAAGAGATGGCCTCATTCCCCAGCCAATCCACCTGCAGGATGGAAGGGCAGTCATCTTCTCTCCCCCAAAACTAACTCTAAGGAAAACATCTATAAACACACTACTATTGCACTTCTTGAAAAAACATACCTGAAACAACCTGAAGCTTTCAATTCTTCTAATTGTGAAGCAAAAGTACAGGACCGCAGAGACAAGGTCCTGTACCACAGGACCCAGGACCACGATACCTGAGACATTTCTCTTCCAAGTGTCACAGTCATCACATTGTAATGTCAGGAGCTGGGGCCACAAGACAGTTGGCCAAGTCACCTCATCCAAGGCATGCCGTGGTCTCCCCCTGGAGGGAGGGATGGAGTGCCTGCCTGGTGACCCTGTGGTCTGGCAGAGCTGTGTTTGCTATCACATGAACTCAGCACTCTGCTTAACAGGAGAGACTACAGGTCCATGAGCGGCACAGCTGTTGTTCTAAGTTTCCCAGCTTTGATAAGGGAGCCCCTGATTCCCAAGCCCAACCTCTACGGCTGCTGCTGGTGCACAAAGACCCAGTCCCCTTAGGATGCAAAGGATAAGTGGGCACAGACTCCTTCCAGATGCTGGGGACCTGAATGCAGTCTGTAGCCACAGCAGTCATGTCCTGAAAGAGAGAGGCCCAGTCCAAACTACCCTGTTCTTTTTTAACTCCCTGGCTGATTCATGTGTTTGCTCCAGGGGCTGTCATTTGTAATCTGTCCAGGAAAGGGCATCTCAGACCACATTCCCAGTCAGGGAATCATATACAAGGTCAAGAGCCTCCTGGAATTGTCCTCCCTCATCTAGAACCCCCGCTTCCTAATTTTATTTGGATGCTCAGAGGTGGTTTATCCCTTTCCACTAACCAAGCTTACAATGGCTTTCCTTATTCCTCTGATACTTCAAGTACATTGTAAAAATGAAAAGAAGTAATTCCAACTATAGGTTTTAATATTTTAAAAGACCAAAAAAGGTTGAAAATATTTTTTCCATTGGCAAGCCCTGACTCAGAGGGTCTGTGTACCAGTGCTGGGCACATAGCCAAGAATTTGAAGAGCCACCGTGGGAGGGCACGGCATGCAGGGCAGCCACAGCCTGCCAGCCTGACTCAGCCAGCTCCCGTCACAGCACAGTGACGACACGGTCCCATGTGGACGGGGGGAGACAAAAATGCTTCCCAGAGGTGCCAAGGAATAGAGATACAGCAACAACAAATCAATTAACCCCACAGGCATTTACAGTGTGGCTATTTGGTGCCAGGCATGGTTCGGGGGCGCTGGGATGAAAACAGATCAACAAGCCCCATGATATCCCTTCTCTCATAAAGTTTCTACTTCTCCATCCAACAGACATAAATCAGAGGGAAAAGGAAGAGAATGCAGAAAATGTCACTGCAGACACAAGAAACAAAAAATCTGAACATTAAAAAAAAAAAATCACAGGGTATTATCAAAAACTTTACCCCAAAAAAACTGCATACCTACATCATTTCACTGGTAAACTCTAGCAAATATTTCAGAAAGAACACCAAGCTTACACAAACTTTATCAGAAAACAGAGGCGGGGTAACACTGACTCACTACATATATATGTATTTTTAGTAGGGATGAGGTTTCACCATGTTGGCCAGGCCAGTCTTGAACTCCTAGCCTCAAGTGATCCACCTGCTTCGGCCTCCCAAAATGCAGGGATTACGGACGTGAGCCACCACATCTGGCCTGACTCTCTATTTTTTAAAGTACCAAAACCTGACAAAGGCAGAAAGGAAGAAATGAGGGAAGAAAGGGAGAGAAATAAATTACAGATCAATACCTTCATGAATATTGGTGCAACAATCCTTAACAAAATAATGGCAAATTGAATCCAACAATAAATAAAAAACATATTATGAGCAAATAGGGTTTAACCCAAGAATGAAAAGTTGTCTTAAATTTGAAAATCAACCAATTTAATTTGCCCTTTTAATAATATAAAGGAGAAAAAAACCATGTGTTCACTTCAATAAATGCAGAAAAGCATTTGACAAAATTCAACACCCATTAATAATTAAAACTGTCAGCGATCAAGTAAAGAACATCCTCAAACTGATAAAGGATACCTACAAAAAGCCTACAGCTAACATCACATTTAATGATGAAAACCGAACTGTTTCATGTTAAGACTGGAAAAGGTGGAAGGATTCCTGCCTTCGCTACTCCTATTCAACACTGTACTGGAATCTTAGCCTTTGCAATGAAGCAAGAAAAATAAATAAAAGGCATGTGAGTCAGAAAGGAAGAAGTAAAGCTGTCCCTATTTGCAAATGATACAACTTTATATAGAACTTTCTAGGGAATCTACACAATGACTACTAGAATTAAACAAGCAGTATTTTGCAAGGTCACAAAATCCACTGTATTCTTATATATTAGCAGCAAACAGATATAAAATGTTTATAAATTCCATTTAGTTAATAAAAATAAAAACATAAATTACATTGAAATGAATCTAACAAAAGACGTTAAAGACATCTACACTGAAAACTACAAAGCACTGCTGAGATAAATTTAAAGCACCTAAATAAAGAGAGAGAGATCGTGTTAATGTACTGGAAAACTCAACATCATTAAAGATTCAATGTTATTAAGATAGCAATTCTCCCCAAATTGATCTACAGATTTAACACAATCTCAAACAAAATTCTAGCAGGCCTCACTTATAGAAATTGACAAACTAATATTAAAATTTATATGAAAATGCTAAGTACTTAGAATAAAGCTATGTTAGAAAAGAACAAAGATGACTCTAATTTCAACACTTCCTATAAAACTACAGTAATCAACAAAGTGTAGAATTATTTCAGTAAAGGCAGACATAATATAGTTCAATAAAACAAAATAGAAAATCTGGAAAGAGACTCAAAAATAAAAGGTTAATTGACTTTTGAAAAAAGGCAGCAAAGGTAATTAAATGAGGAATGGAATGTATCTTCAATAAACGCTGCCTCAAAAACTGAATATCCATATGGGGGTCGGGGGAAGAACATCAATAATAATCCCAACTGTAAAACCTAAAACTACAAAACTTATAGAAGAAAATCTTTGCAAGCCGAGGTAGACAAGGGTTTTCTGGATAGAATACTAGAAGAATGAGCCATTTAAAAAACTGATAAGTTGAATTTCACCAAAAAGAAAGACTTCTGTTCTAAAAGTGTCATTAAAGAAAACACAAGCCACAGACTGAGAAAAACATTCACAACACATGTATCAGACAAAGGACTTACATCCAAAATACATAAAGAAGTCTTACAACTCAATAAGAACCCAATTAAAAAAATGGATAAATGTCCTAGCACACATTTCACAAAAGACATACAAATGACCAACAAACACATGAAAAGATGTTGACATCATTAGTCATCAGGGAAATGGAAATTAAAGCCACAATGGGGTAACACTACATAACTATTAGGACACATAAAATTAAAAAGACTGATCACACCAAGTGTTGGTGAGGATGTGGAGCAACTGGAACTCTCTATACACTGCTGGTGGGAATATAAAATTGGATCACCACTTCAGAAAACAGTTTAGCAGCCTCTTAAGAAGTTAAACATATACCTACTATATGATCCAGCGATTCCACTTCAAGGTGTTTACCCAAGAGAAATGAAAATATGTCCACACAAAAGACTTGTATACAAATGTTCATAGTTTTATTAGTAATAACCCAAAACTAGAAACTACCTAAATGCCCACCAATAGAATAGACAAATGCTGGAATATGCATACAATGGACTACTGATATTCGTAACATGAAAAATCTCAAAACCATTATGCTGAGTGAAAGAAGCCAGACATTAAAAAAAAAAGTAGTACATGCTGCATTACTCAATTTATATAGCATTCTTTTTAAAATGCAGAGTAATCTACAATGACAGAAAACAAATCCATCCATGTTTGCCTGTGAAGAGGCAGAGAAGGAAGGATTACAAGGAAATTCTCAGGGTGATGGAAATGTTATCCTGACTATGGTGACAGCTTCAGTGTAATTATGAGAGAGAGAGAGAGAAAGTGTGTGTGTATAAAAACTATCAAACTGTACACCTTAAATACTGCAGTTTATTGTACATCAATTATGTCTCAAGTCACAAAAAATGGTTTTCATGTATTAGAATAGTCATTAAAGAACACTATGAACCTTTCTCTGAATAAGCAGGGTGACCATATAGCTTATCATCCAAGCCAGGAAACTTATGCAAGTCAAAGTGAGTGCTAAAGATAAGAGGTTGTGTACTGCCCTGGAGAAATCAGCACTTAGGGATTTGGGAAAAACAAATACCCAATCTCTTCATTGGTGTGATTAGATATCACCCCAAGGTATCTAGTGATACCTTAAAGCAAACCATCAAGTTTTCACAGGAAGCAAACCATCAAGTTCCTCAGAAGGCAGCGCAGAGCTGGCAACAGCCTTGGCAAGTCAGCTGCGCCCATGACCTTGATTTACAGAAAAGGAAGCGATCCCGGTCAATGACGGGCACAGGACAAACCCCAAGGCTCCTGCCTCCAAGGTCAGTGTCCCTTGAGCCCCCCCTCTTTCTTCAAAGAGAAAAAAAATCAAAGAATGGGGTGGAAGCCAATCCCCCTCTTAACTATTTTCCAAACATCTAATTATCTTGACCCACCCTCTATAGCTTTGCAGCCAATGAACAATTCAGCTACAAAGAAAACAGCATTGGCCAGGCACAGTGGCTCACACCTGTAATCCCAGCACTTTGGGAGGCCAAGGCAGGAGGATTGGATCATGTTGACCAGCCTGGACAACATGGTGAGATCATATCTCTACCAAATTTAAAAAAAAGAAAAAGAAAAGAAAACAGCATCGACTTTTCTGTATGAAGTCCAGCACTGATTAACACACCCAGCCACAGGCCTGGAGGCAGCTCCCACAGGGCACATTCTACACCAGACCCAGTCTGCAGGGCCAACCCTTCTGCACAGATCTACTGATAACCACTCCCACAGTCCTCCTCCTGTCTTAAAAAAAAAAAAAAAAAAAAAAAAAAAAACGGTATGGGGGGATCACATGTTTTTTAGGTTTACACTTCAAACCAGGTTCTTCAATTGTGTGGTGAGGAGGAAGGACTGGGTCAATAAACAGCAGTCTCCCTACCACAGAGCAGGAAATTATCTTAATTTGATAACAAGTTGTTTCAAGGAAATAAAAAGATCCTACCACTATGTACTGTGAAACACCAGGTTATTCTGGGACGGGAACGTGGGATTTTTTTTTAACATGATTTCCTAGAGAATGATACCATTTTTGTAACTTTCAAGGAAAAAAAAAAACCAGACAGACGGAACTTGGCTCAATCACACCGTGACACATTTAAAAGCATACTGAGTAAAGATGGCTAAAAAGTATTCACTGCCTAGGCACCCTAGGAAAAAATTCAATCAAATCCATGTATCTTCCCCCCAGGTCTTTTCTCAAAGAACTCTTTCCCTTACTAAATTACTATAATCCAATGACAGTCTCTCAACTATCCACTTTGTTTTCTCTGCCATTTGTAAATAAAGACAATTAACAAGTACGCTACACTTGTTCATAAAAATTAACAAGTATAACAAGTGTTAACAACACAAATACTTTTTCAAACACATACAATCATAAGGTGAAAATGGCTTAGATTTCACAAATGCAAACCCCACTGATAATCTAAACAAACAGCCCAGACGAGTAACTGCGTCTTCTCCCACCCCAAACTCTAAAGAAGAGACACCACAATTGGTTCCACTGCTCACCAGCCAGGCTGCCAGAAGAGGACAGCATCTTCTCCCTGTGCCTGCTTGGAGTGACTGTTAAAACCGACCCCTAAGCCCTCACAAGGAGCAACCTGGCTTTTCAGACCAGCTGTGCTGCAGAAGCAGGTGCTGCCTTCAGTAAAACCCCACACTTAGCAAACAGCCACCAATTTGACTCAATGCCTGCTTCCTCCTGCTTCTTTAACCTGAGAACACAGTGTGGATTACCAGGTGTGGAATTCACTGGGTTAACTTCCTTCTGCACCTGATCCCGCAGGCCTGCACTGCTGTCCATGGCATGTGTTAATAATTACAGTATTTCATTCACTGAGCACCTACTCTGCCCGGTGCTCGACTGCCCCACCATTGCTGTGCTAGGTAGGACCACCCTCATTGGCAGATGGGAGAATGAAGCTACAGGTGGCCAAGAACCCACCACTGAGAGCTGGCAGAGCTGGGACATGCAGTCAGGTTCTCCTGGAACACTGCACTTGAGCAGAAATAGAGGCAGGCTTGCTTTGCAGAAGTGAGCCCAGGGGGCAGGAGCTGCTAACGAACGTGGGGCTTCCCAACAGGAAGAGCAAAGACACTTCACACTCAAGAGGACTTTTGGGACCCACAAATACAATTCTCCCTGTCCCAGACCTGGGCCAGCAGTTGCAGCAATTAGGAAGAGTCTTTTATGCAGAGACATTTGCCAATTATATACAGTTTCTCTGGATGGGCGCAGTGGCTCACGCCTGTAATCCCATGAGGCCGAGATGGGTGGATCACCTGAGGTCAGGAGTTCGAGACCAGCCTGGCCAACATGGTGAAACCCTGTCTCTACTAAAAATACAAAGTTTGCCAGGTGTAGTGGTACATGCCTGTAGTCCCAGCTACTTGGGAGGCTGAGGCAGGAGAACTGCGTGAACCCGGGAGGCGGAGGTTGCAGTGAGCTGAGAGCGCAGCACGGCACTCCAGCCTGGGCAACAGAGTGAGACTCATCTGAAAAAAAAAAAAAAAAACAGTTTTTCCTCTCTCCGAGCCAAAGTTAACTGGCTTAGGAATTTTGCCCAGAAAATATCTGAAATCCAAACATGCTAAAAAGGAAAACTGATGATGAAATCTGGATAAAGATCACGGTTCCTCACCCAAGAAGCAGTCCTAACCATCCTCTGGGCTGATGTCTGTTAGAAACAGCTGAGAAACTCAGCCACAGTTTCACGCTAGGTAGGCCTACTAGGGAACTTTCATTCACCCAACAAATATGAATGCCACATGGACAAGATTTATTTTATGTTTTGAGACACGATCTCTCTCTGTTGCCCAGGCTGGAGTGCAGTGGTGCAATCACAGCTCACTGCAACCTAGAACTCCTGGGCTCAAGTGATCCTCCCGCCTCAGCCTCCCAAGTAGCTGGGACTACAGGTGCATGCCTCCGTACCTGGATAATTTTTTTTATTTTTTGTAGAGACAGGATCTTGTTATGCTGCCCAGGCTGGTCTTAAACTCCTAGCCTCAAGTGATTCTCCTGCCTTGGTCTCCCAAAATGCTGGGATTACAGGCATGAGCCACCGTGCTCTGCCATGACAAGATTTAAACGCAATACTCTGATCCATTACATAGCTTCCTTTTTATTTAGCTACCAATTAAAGGCATCTTATATGTTAAATTATACTTGGTTTTCCCTTAACTTTTATTTTTCCTGTTTGTATTGATTATACCTTGAAAACTTTTAAGGATAACTTTTTCCGGATATCTACTCTTCTGCTACAAAAGCTATTTTTAATATATCTGTAAAGTTGGCCTCGTTTGAAATCCTTTGAAACTCCTATAAATCAGAATAACTGTTACATGTTAGCAAGTTAAACCCTATTACTTTCCTACTAGTAGAGATGACTGGTGGTGGAGATTAGAAACTAGGAAACATTCAGAACGCACTTCTGTGCCAATCCAATGACCTTTGAGATACAGTCCAGTATTATCCCATTTCACAGATGAGAAAATTGAGTCTCAGAAAGATGAAGTATCTGCCCTAGGTCACACAGCTAACAAGGAAGACCTTCTTTATGATATACTTCATCAAACTTCTTGATACCATAAACTATTCAAAAATATTACTTGGGGAAAAGGAAGTCATAAATACAGACATGAAAAATCACCCTTCTCTCTGCATAACATGGTTATTCTGATATGATTATTTCAGGGCAAGCATCCTGAGAGCTATACGGTATGAGCACATAACTAAAGATCAACCGGGAGGATGTCCGCAGAAGTGCCATGTCACACTTTGGAGAAGTCATACAAGAGCTCCTCGTCTGTTCTGTGCCATGGACCCCTTCTGGCAGTCTGGTGAGGCCTATGAACTCCTTCTCAGAATTTCTCTAAGTGCCAAAAATAAAATACTTATGATTACAGTGGAAACCAATTTTAATACAATATAGTCATATCCACAGACCGCTTTGAGGGGGCCATGAATCCTGGTTATGAACTCCTACCAGGCAACACACTTTCTCCTCTCCTCGTCTCCCCGTCCAACAACAGGAGACACAGTGGTGACTAGCACCTCATAGCCTCTTAGACTAGAAGACTCACATTCTGGAAGGGCTCGGTCGACCTTGCAGAATGACCATACTCACCAAGGACTACTTTCTTTGGTGTGAAAGAATAAAACCTTGCCTGTTCACACCATTCTTATTTGTAGCTATAGGGCATCGAATGATGGCCTCCAAAAGGTATGTCCATGTTCTAATCTCTGGAACCTGTGAATGTGACCTTATTTAGAAAAACAGTCTTTGCAGATGTAATCAAGTTAAGGATCTTGAGATGAGATCATCCTGGATTATCTGAGTGGGCCCTAAATCCAAGGACAGGTGTCTGTTTAAGAAAACAGAGGAGAAGACACAGAAGAAGGAAGAAAAGGCCATGTGGAGACAGAGGCAGATCTTGAAGCGATGCAGCCACAAGCCAGGGAATGCCTGGAATTACCAGGAGCTGGGAAAAGCAAGTCACAGAGTCTCTCCTAGGACCCCAGCCCTGCCAACACCATGATTTCAGATGTCTGGCCTCCAGGAATGTGATAGAATTACATTTCTTCTGTTTCATGTTATCTGATAATTTGCTATGGAAGCCATGAGAAACTAATACAGTAGCTAAACCTAACTCTAACATACACTACCTTCATGATATTCTACCAGCATTAAATATAAACTGCCCTTTATATATGCAGTATTATATAGCTATTACACATAAGCAGCCCTCTAGACATGTGTCTTAGTCTGTTTTGCGCTGCTGTAACAGAATACCACAGACTAGATAATTTTAAATGAACAGAAGTTTATTTGCCTCATAGTTCGAAAGTCTAAGAGCATGGTGCGGCATCTGGTGAGGGGCTTCATGCTGCGTCAAAGGTGACAGTGAGAACAAGGGGGAGGAGATGAACTCATCCCTTTATTAGGAACTGACCCCTACAATAACAGCATTAATCCATCCCCAGAGCAGAGCCCTCCTGGCCTGATCACCTCTTTTTTTTTCTTTCTTTTTTTTTTTTTTAGACAGAGTTTCACTCTTGTTGCCCAGGCTGGAGTGCAATGGCACAATCTCGGCTCACTGCAACCTCCGCCTCCTGGGTTCAAGTGATTCTCCTGCCTCAGCCTCCTGAGTAGCTGGGATTACAGGCATGTGCCAACACACCCAGCTAATTTTGTATTTTTAGTAGAGACAGGGTTTCTCCATGTTGATCAGGCTGATCTCAAACTCCCGACCTCAGGTGATCTGCCCGCCTTGGCCTCCCAAAGTGCTGGGATTACAGGCGTGAGCCACTGCACCCAGCACTGATCACCTCTTAAAGTTTCTACCTCTCAATACTGTTGCACTGGCGCTTCAGTTTCCAACACATGAACTTTGGAGGACACAATCAAACCATAACAACATACATATCTTAAATTTAATTTTCACTTGGCTCATAATAAAAACACCCTTTATTTTTGATCCCCATTATTTGGCCAATCCATTTTCCTGAAATTTAAAAATAAACCAAGGGCCGGCCTGTCCTTTTTCTTCACTCTGTTCTTACATGATACCAACAAGTATTCACTTCTCACCTTCTGTCTTCTTTCCAAGCTGGTTCCATTCCTGTAAACCAGCCCCATCCCTCATGCAAGTGTGTACTCAACTCTTCTTCTACCACCTTCCATACCTGGGGCAGCTCTCTACCTACCCTCCACCCAACCTCATTCCAGGATGTGCCACTGGAACAGCAGACGTTCACCCAATGTCTGCTCACATGTCTTCCTCCACCAGCTTAGCCATATAAGCCAGAGTCCCCTGATCTGTCCACTTCCCTTCAACAAACCCAACTTCTTCTTGATATTGCTTTTTTAAAGTTATGTGACATGCCAATCCTCTAGAGATTCTGGAGGCTTAGGATATCTGAAAGTTCAAATGATGATCTATCTAAAATGGTGTAAAGTAAATAGAAGCTGAAATACAGAAATACTCAAAAATAAAGCTGTAAACCAGAACCAAACTAGAATCACCCAAAGCAGGAGGAAGTTTTGTCTTCTCAACTCTCAGGGCAGGTAACAAAAAGGAACCCAAGACCAAACCAAAGCAGCTCCTGAAGGGCAAACTGCACCCTCTCCTGGGCAAACAGGGCTCAGCATGGAAGCTGCTCTGCAGGGGAGAACAAACTCACCTCCCTAAATGTCCCTCCTGTGATCTGAAATGCACATTCTAGCATTATCTCCAACAGGAAAAACTGAAACATTCTCAGTTCCTAATGCTGCAAGAGTGAGCAAATAAAGTTTAACTGATCAGTGATGACACATCTACACAATGAAATATCTGCCACCATAAAAAACGATCATTACAGAGACTCATGATATGGGGAATCTTATGATAAAACAGCAAATAAAGCCAAAATACAAAATTATACATGTATATAACACATGTAAATTATACATGTATATAACACATGTAAACACAAAATTATACATGTATATAACACATGTAAAATGTAATTTTGTAACACAAAACACAAAATTTAACTTTGTAACACAAAACACAAAATTATACATGTATATAACACATGTAAAATTTAATGTGTGCCTATTAAAAAGTCTGAAGGGAGGAAGGGCGCAGTGGCTCACGCCTGTAATCCCAGCACTTTGGGAATCCAAGGTGGGCGGATCACGAGGTCAGGAGTTCGAGACCGGCCTGGCCAGCATGGTGAAACCCCGTCTCTACTAAAAATACAAAAAAATTAGCTGGGTGTGGTGGCACACGCCTATAATCCCAGCTACTCAGGAGGCTGAGGCAGGAGAATTGCTTGAACCCGGGAGGCAGAGGTTGCAATGAGCCTAAATCGCGCCACTACACTCCGGCCTGGGCAACAGAGCGAGACTCCATCTAAAAAAAAAAAAGTCTGAAGAGAAACATGAAAAAAGAAAACAACTGCAGAGCTACTGTGGGAACATTTTCTCCCTATTTTACTTTTATTTTTATTTTTGAGATGGAGTCTTGTTCTGTCGCCCAGGCTGGAGTGCAACGGTGCGATCTTGGCTCACTGCAACCTCCACCTCCTGGGTTGAAGCAATTCTCCCTGCCTCAGCCTCCTGAGTAGCTGGGATTACAGGCGCCCACCACCACATCCAGCTAATTTTTGTATTTTTAGTAGAGACAGGGTTTCACCATGTTGGCTAGGCTGGTCTTGAACTCCTGACCTCAGGTGATCCGCCTGCCTCGGCCTCCCAAAGTGCTGGGATTACGGGTGTGAGCCATCACACCCAGCCCATTTTCTCCCTATTTTAAATTTCCTTTAAAATCATTACTAAGATTCAAACACTTTAAGAACTAAGTTAACAAATGAATCCATACAGGAGGACTTGTACCTGGAAAGCAGGCACTGCTAGTGTGTCACATGAACAGACACTCCTACCACCTATTTCCTGGATGTCCCCGACTCCCTGACTCTTCCCCAGTCCTCTCTGCAAAAGGGACCCGTCCCCACATCCAGCTCTCATGCCGCTCCTCAGAGAAGCTTACCTCCCCTCCCAAGGCTAACCACCACCACTCTAACTGTACTTTGTACCTTCTTCCACTCTACTTATGACAGGGCACTAGAACTACTTCTTTATATACTGTTAGAAGTCTCCCAGAGTAGGGAACACACTTACCTACCCCGTACACCCTCAGGCACTCAGTAGACAGTTTGCCGTGATACAGGATAGTTCAAATAAGGAATAACAAGTTCTAAAACTTGCATCTTTTCCAACTGATTTGAAATTAGGTGGCCAGGGTAATGCCTTACTTGTCAAATGACTCCTCCATTCTCTGGGATAAACAAGTTTTCCAGCTGGCAAACTCGCTAAAAGCGCACACACAGAGCACAGGGGCTAACCTTGTCCCCAAGCTGCCGGCCGGACATGAGCTGGGAAATTGTAAAAGGGGGAGCCTGGCCCACAGAGGGGTCCACAATAGTGAGCACCTCTTCAGCGGGGCTTGCCAAGGAAGGGGTGAGTCAACATTCTCTCTGTTGTGCTAACAAAAAGAAGCAACAGAACCTGCTTCTTCCAGCTCATATTCATACACATAGTCACCCCAAAGGGCAGAGCACTGGGGACCCTAAGCTGCCAAGACACTCCATGGCCTTGAGCTCAAGGTGTGGCCAAGTACACATTACTAGGGAGCTTGTGCTAATGTAGCATCACATGAGTGACACAAAGTACCCTCAAGAAGGGGGTCCCAAAGTGGTTGTACCCTAAGATTTTGGAAAGCTTTGAAAAAGCACCCACTTGCAAACTTCTGGGGAAAGTTCCAAAAGGTGCTCGGGCATGGCCAAGTTTGAGAACCACAGTCCCACAGAAGCATATGGCAGTTTCCTGAGCACCATGTAAACAGGAAGGCTTCCCTGAGGAGGAAACGGACAGGGTCGGTGGGGAGAATTTGGGGAAACAGACCCCCAGAGACCAGGGCCAGCAGGTGACCCGTACACACAGGGAGCTCCCTAAGAAGCACTGGGCTTGGCTGGGGAGAGGCCAGGCTGGGAGGGCACATGAGGACCAGACCCTGAACTTCATTAGGTAAGAAACGAGGGGCCCCTCGATGGTTTATAGTGCTTGCTTTTTTTTTTTTTTTTTTTTTTTTTTTTGAGACAGAGTCTCACTCTGTCGCCCAGGCTGGAATGAAATGATGCGATCTCAGCTCACTGCAACCTCTGCCTCCCGGGTTCAAGTGATTCTTGTGCCTCAGCCTCCTGAGTAGCTGGGATTACAGGCGCCCGCCACCATGTCTGTCTAATTTTTATATTTTTAGTAGAGACGGGGTTTCATCATGTTGGTCAGGCTGGTCTTGAATTCCTGTCCTCAGTTGAACCACCGCCTCAGCTTCCCAAAGCACTGGGATTACAGGTGTTAGCCACCATGCCCAGCCTTAGTTCACAGCGCTTTTAACAATGGGCAGAATATGACCCTTCTAAATGGCTCTGTATTTCAGGCATATTCCAGTAAAACTTGTCTTTCCTCTCTAAGGTTCACCTCAGCTACAGTTGCCATGACCCAGGGAGTAGTAATAATACAGCCAGACTAACTGAAGCCCAGTGAAATCTGGACTAATTAGTAGTGATTTTGTTCAATTAAAGTTATTATTCAGTAAACAGAGAAAGTATGAAACGTTAAGTACACCAAACTAGAAGAAAATTTTCCACATACCAAATGATATAATAAATGAATTTGGTTTATTGCTTTCAGTTCATTCACTGAATAATCAGTAAGTGCCTATAATCACAGTGTTAATAGGCACAAACACATATATCATGCCTACATTCATTAACTCATTTAGTCCTTACAACCAAACCACCCCACAAGGCAGGTTACTAGCCCCATTTCTCAGATGAGAAAATGGAGGCTTCGAGCTGTCCTGTGACTCGCCCCCAGTCATCTGCTTGGAAGAAGCTGAGCTAGGATTCACACTCTGGCTTGCCTTAAAGAATGAAGTTACCTTGCAGAGTCCCGTACTTTCAGAGATCAAAAGAAGAGAAGGAGCCCAGTCCTGCTGCCTTGGGTCTTCTATCTGGTAGAGGATACACAGACCCTGGACATTCAAAGACAGAGTCCCTGATTCCTCTGGGGAGCTCACACTTTGGAAATACCGCGTAGCATAAAACTTCCCTCATAAAGGAAGTAAAAGGCAACTGAACATGTAGCATCAGGAGGCCACACACACTCAGCTGCAACAACTGAGGAAGGATCAGCCTTTCCACGGGCCTCCTGGGCAGTCCAGGCCTGTCGAGCTCTAGCTCTCCGGGAACAGCAGCTCAGGCCTTGCCCTCCAGCTGTGCAAGCAGCCCTGCCCATGAGAGGTGACCAGGGCTACCCGAGAGAGCTCAGGGAGCTCAGGTCTGCACACTCCACCACCCACTGAGGGAGTCAAATGTGTGCTTCATAAAACCAGCACCCGAGATGGACTCAAACTATATCCCACCCACATCCTGCCCAAGGTAGGGGGCACGGAAGGAGAGCCGTGAGAGGAGAGGCAGTTAGGAAGTGGCACCCCCACAAATGGGAGAGGCCATGCCAGCAGGTGGCCAGGGAGGCCCAGGCCAGGACAGCATGAGGCGTCTCAGACAGGGCAGTGGGCACTGGGTGTGAAGGGCAAAGGGCCCTGTGGGAGTGGAAATGGCCACCCTGCATCACCACTCTCTCCTAGCTCCAGGCTCCCTGCCCTCCGAGGGACCTGGCCAGGGCTCAGGCCTTGACTGCCTCCCGCTGTCCTGTAGACAAAGCCTGGCTATGGGGAGCACCCACGCCCACTTCGGGTGATGAGCCCTCTTCCTACTTAGTCTAGAAAATCTTTGCTAAATTGAATTTAGCTCTGATTCTGCCTCCTTCACAAGGGACACAGACTCTGACACCAGCCACCATGAAGTCAGTCTCAAAGGGGACATTTCTAGAACTGGAAAGGCCAGCAATACCAAAACACTCTCAGTGAGGAGAAGAAACTGTGCATCTGGAGTCCTGCAGGGGTGCTGTGATCATGTCACTGTGTACAGCGCTGCTTTCTAGGAGGCATGCATCATGGCCAATGATACAGTATGTTCCTTCAACACTGTTATTAATATTTAATTCTCAGAGTCACCCAAAACAAATAAAAGTACCAACAACAGCAGAAGCATGGACCCTGCCCGCCTGCAGTGCATGGCTCTCCTCAGGCCCCATCTCTCACCTCCATAAGCACATCCAGGCTGTCCACATCCTCATGTTGGGGGAAAGGCCCCTCTGCACCCCTTCTCATCCACCTAGCCAACTCTTCCCTGCAGATCTCGCCTCCAGCAGCAGACAGACTCTTCTAACAAAAACCCAACTTTACCACCCTGCTTTAAAATCTTAATGGCTTCCCACAGCTCTGACAAAAAAGCCCAAACCCACCCCAGCCTGGAAAGCACTTCCTGCCTCAGAGGCTGCTCACCCAGCGCACCTCCCACGCCCACTCCCTCTGGCAAGAAACATCCCTTCCACCCCACAGCCACGTACCCCCTTCCCCCACCACAGGCAGGGAACCCCCATGCCCTGCCCAGAGAAGCAACCCACATCAGTTCCTCCCCAGCCCTGCCGTGGCTGCTGGGATGCACATGGACTGTGCCCTGCAGGAAGGAAGACCTGATCTTGCAGCCAGGCCCAGCATCTGGTCCCAGGAAGCTTCCTGCAGAGCCGAACAATGAGGGGCAGGGCCCAAATCATTCTGGAACTGGAGGTGACCAAGCCACTCTTCAACAAAGAGTTATGTGCACCTACTGTGTGCTGGGAACTTGGTGTAAAGCCATGAACAAAACAGACAAAAATCCTTGCTCTCATGTAGCATATATTATAAATAAATAAGACCAAATGGAATACAGGTAGGAATGACTCTCCAGGAGGGTCAGGGAGGGTGAGAATAAAGCCCACTGCTTTCATTCCTTTTTGCTGCATTTTGAAATTTCAAAAACTAAATGAGGCAATAAAAATTAATCCTTCATCAAAAGAGAACATGGGTTTAAAAATGATGAAAAACACTGACTTGGAGAAATAAGTAAATAAAAGCATAAAACTCGAATGGACCCTACAGTCTTGTAGTGTTCCACAGCTCTAGGCTGCTAAGGGAAGATGATAAAACTGGGCATGGTGGCTCACACCTGTAATCCTAGCACTTTGGGAGGCTGAAGCGGGCAGATCACTTGAGCTCAGGAGTTCAAGACCAGCCTGGCCAACATGGTGAAACCCATCTCTACTAAAAATACAAAAATTAGCCGGGTGTGGTGGCGGGAGCCTGTAATCCCAGCTACTCGGAAGGCTGAGGCACAAGAATCACTTGAACCCAGAAGGTGGAAGTTGCAGTGAGCTGAGATCGCATCACTGCACTCCAGCCTGGGCGACACAGTGAGACTGTCTCAAAAAAAGCAAACAAGCGTAGGACTTGAAGACAACAACTAAAATTACTATAACACAAAGTTTAATAAATCAGGGGAGAAATCCTAAGTCAATGAAAACATGTGAAAACCCAAGAGAAAATGGAGAAGATCAAAGGAAAATCTTTCCCTGGAGGGAATGACTTTGTTAAACAGAAAACTTTTAAAAAATATTTTACCTATTGGCCGGGCGCGGTGGCTCACACCTTTAATCCCAGCACTTTGGGAGGCTGAGGCCGGCGGATCACGAGGTCAGGAGATCGAGACCATCCTGGCTAACGCTGTGAAACCCCGTCTCTACTAAAAATACAAAAAAAAAATTAGTCGGGCGTGGTGGCGGCACCTGTACTCCCAGCCACTCAGGAGGCTGAGGCAGGAGAATGGCGTGAACCCGGGAGGCGGAGCTTGCAGTAAGCCAAGATCGCACCACTGCACTCCAGCCTGGGCAACAGAGCGAGACTCCATCTCAAAAAAAAAAAAATTTTACCTTTCAAACAAGAATAAGCCAGGATAAATACAAAGTATGCCAAAATCGGGGGTGGGGGGTGGGAGCTGGGAGGGGAGGTTGCAAGTAAATGTAGTAACAAACAATATAAAAACTTTGATAACTAGAACTAGGAAAAAAACCAACAAATTAAATAAAATAAGGCTAAAGAATGTGACAGACATGGAAGATAAAGAAGCCTCCCCCACCACCCCACAGCCCCTCTTCTGGACTCCTGAGCTCACTTAACCAGCCTGCTGCTGTACTCAGCAGAAGCCCTGACACCTTCATCTACTCCACCCCCTTCTGACCTGATCACTAGCCTGCCCACTGCCCCCTAGACACCTCCGCACTCTCCACTCCACTCTCTCCTAACAATCCTACAAACCTCCCTCCCCTTCCAGTTCACCCTCCACCCTACAGCCAGAGTAGAACTTTCTGACACCTGCAAATCTGAGAATTTCACCAAATAAAACTATTCAACAGCAGCCCAAGTCCTGAGGAGTAAGTCCCAAGCTCTGCCCTGGTCCCCTCTGGAGTCCTCTCACTCTGGCCTCTGCCAGCCACTCTGGTCCCCTCTGGTGTCCTCTCACTCTGCCCCCCCCCCCCAGCCACCCTGGTCCCCTCTGGTGTCCTCTCGCCTCGCTCTGGCCCCCCGCCAGCCACCCTGCTCCCCTCTGGTGTCCTCTCACTCTGGCCTCTGCCAGCCACCCTGGTCCCCTCTGGAGTCCTCTCACTCTGGCCTCTGCCAGCCACCCTGGTCCCCTCTGGAGTCCTCTCACTCTGCTGCCCCCCTCAGCCACCCTGGTCCCCTCTGGTGTCCTCTCGCTCTGGCCCCCCCCCCAGCCACCCTGGTCCCCTCTGGAGTCCTCTCACTCTGGCCTCTGCCAGCCACCCTGGTCCCCTCTGGAGTCCTCTCACTCTGGCACCCCCCCCCCCCCAGCCACCCTGGTCCCCTCTGGAGTCCTCTCACTCTGGCCCCCCCCGCAGCCACCCTGGTCCCCTCTGGTGTCCTCTCACTCTGGCCTCTGCCAGCCACCCTGCTCCCCTCTGGTGTCCTCTCACTCTGGCCTCTGCCAGCCACCCTGGTCCCCTCTGGAGTCCTCTCACTCTGGCGCCCCCCCCCCCAGCCACCCTGGTCCCCTCTGGAGTCCTCTCGCTCTGCCCCCCCCAGCCACCCTGGTCCCCTCTGGTGTCCTCTCGCTCTGGCCCCCCCCAGCCACGCTGGTCCCCTCTGGTGTCCTCTTGCTCTGGCCTCCATCAGCCACCCTGGCCCTTCCACCACTTTGCACACTCCACGTGGTGTCCCCATCCCAAGGTCTTCGCACTGCTGGTCCCTCCACCTGCCCCATCCCCGAGGTGCCTATTTGCACAAGAAACACACAGACACACACAAAGAAACACACAGACACACACCAACACACAGACACACATACCCTCTCAGGCTCATGCTTCCCTCAGTGGATTTACCACTATCATTCTTCATGTCTCAGCTATGAGACCTCACTTCCTCTGAGAAGACTGCCCAGCCCCTCCCCAAGGCCAGGTGGGGTCTTCCACATATCAGGCACCATGTACTGCTCTTCCATCGGAGCTTGTCTCAGCCTGTAACTAAGGTTCTATGTATGTGCTTATCTGATCTCCCACGAGAATATAAGCTTGATGCAGAGTGGCTCCTCTCCATTTCTACCCACCGCACTCAGCATGGTGTGTGGCCCACGGTAGACCCCAAAAAAAATGCTTGCCAAAACAATGACTAAATAAACGAGCCAAATTCCCAAAGAACAAGACAAAGCACATGAACCAGAATTCGTTTTTTCAAGTGTAAGAGAAAAGAAGGAAAAAACAGTTTTTCAAAGCTGGAAAGCCCAAACTGGAGTGAGGAAGAAATCAGGCTTGCTCTATCCCAGACCAACCAGTTAGCAAACCCGCATTGCACAAGAGAGAAGGCAACTCTGAGTCTCCGAGCAGAAATGCCTTCAAAGACAGCAACAGCATCGAGCCTGCTCTCGACAACCCCCTGCAACACCAACATTGGGAAATACTATGTTCTCGGAGCTCACTAATAAAATATCGTATTTGATTCCTTTCTGGAAAACAGACCATTTTGCATTATTTTTCTTCCATGTTCTTCAGTCCTTTTTCATTTTCATGGTTTGGTATGAATCGAATAAGAGCTAGTGAAACAAAGCATTGAGTAGCATGTTCTCTGTGACTAAACCCTCAGTAATACACAAAGCTTGACCAAAAAAAGGATGTCACCATATGGGCTGGCTACAAACAGGTCTAGCATAATAAAATTTGTGAACTTGGCCAGGCATGGTGGCTCATGCCTGTAATCTGAACATTTTGGGAGGCTGAGGCCGGTGGATCGCTTGAGCCTGATATTTCAAGGCTGCGGTAAATGGTGATCATGCCACTGCACTCCAGCCCGGGCGACAGAGTAAGACCTGTCTCTTAAATTTAAATTAAAAAAAAAAAAGGAAAAAGGAAAGAAAGGAAGATAGAAAAAGAGAGAAGCGGGGAGGGGAGGGGAAAGGAGAGGAGGGGAGGGGAGGAGAAAAAAGAAAAGAAAAGAAAGGAAAAAGAAAATCTGTGAACTATAAATGTTTAAGAGACAACACAGAAGGGAAGTAGAAGAGAGGTACCAAGAGACCATTAAAATAAGAAAGCATGGCTGGGTGTGGTGGCTCATGCCTGTAACCTCAGCACTTCAGAAGGCCAAGGTGGGTGGACTACTTGCACCCCAAAGTTCAAGAATAGCCTAGGTGACATGGTGAAACTCCTTCTCTACAAAAAAACAAAAATTATCTGGGTATGGTCACATGTGCCTGGAGTCCCAGCTACCCAGAAGGCTGAAGTGGGAAGATTACTTGAGCCTAGGAGGTCGAAGCTGCAGTGAGCCATGACTGCACCACTGTACTCCAGCCTGGGTGACAGAGCAAGACCTTGTCTCAAAAATAAATAAATAAACAAACAAACAAACAAGAAAGCACAATACATTCAGCCACAAAACACAGGCATCAGATATGCAAGAATCCTGACAGCAGAAAATGGCTGAAGCACAATATTTACAAGGCAAAGGGTTTCTGACTAAAATAAGACAGATTCTAACAACATACTGTTTACAAGAATTAAATCTAGGCAAGGCACATCGGCTCATGCCTGTAATACCAACACTTTAGGACACCAAGACAGATCACTTGGGGCCAGAAGTTAGAGACCAGCCAAGGCAACATAGTTAGACCCCATCTCTACAAAAAATAAAAAATTAGCTGGGTGTGGTGACAATGCCTGTGGTTCCAGCTACTGGGGAGGGTGAGGCAGGAAGATCTCTTGAGACCAGGAGTTTGAGGCTGCAGTGAGCTAACACTGTACCACCGCATTCCAGCCTGAGCAACACAGCAAGAGCCTATCTCTAAAAAAAAAAAAAAAAAAAAAAAAAAAAAAAAAGGGAATTAAATTCAAAATAATAAGGAAAACTAAAGATAAAAGTTAGGATGGAAAAGGGTGGGGGGTATGTATATCAAGTAAATTCTGAACAAAGAAAAGAAGACTTAGAAATACTAATATACATGAGAGAACAGTTAATGACACAAACTACTCATTGCGAAAAAGATCTTCTTTAATCCCAGCACTTTGGGAGGCCAAGGCAGGAGGATCACTTGATGCCAGGAGTTTGAGACCAGCCTGAGCAACATAGCGAGACCTTGCTTCTACAAAAAAATGTAAAAATTAGCCAGGCATGGTATCAAGCACCTGTAGTCCCAGCTAACTGGGAGGCTGAGGCAGGAGGATCACTGGAGCCCAGGAGTTTAAGGCTGCAGTGAGTCATAATTGTGCCACTTCACTCCAACCCAGGTGATAGAGCAAGACCTTGTCTAGGAAAGAAGAAAAAAAAAGCTACTACTTTATTAATCTTTATTAACAAATGATTACTCAATATTGAAGGTATTATCTTTTTAAATATTTACACGCTTAACAAAGCTTCAAAATGGAGAAGGTGAAAACTGTTAGAAATACATGAACAAAGTGTTAAACGTAACTGGCCTGAAAGAGATTCTAACTCCTCATTAACAGCCTATGGAAGCTCAAGCGATAAAAAACAAGATCATAAGAGGACTTGAACAACATATTTCGTAAGTTACAACAGATAAAAACTAATACACAGCCGGGCAAGGTGGCTCACACCTGTAATCCCAGCATTTTGGGTGGCCAAGGTGGGCACTGAGGTCAGGAGTTCGAGACCAGCCTAGCCAACACGGTGAAACCCTGTCTCCACTAAAAATAAAAAAATTAGCTGGGCATGGTGGCATGTGTCTGTAATCCCAGCTACCCAAGGCTGAGGCAGGAGAATCACTGGAACCCAGGAGGCGGAGGCTGCAGAGAGCCGAGACCACACCACTACACTCCCCCCTGGGCAACGGAGCAAGACTCCATCTAAAAAAAAAAAAAAAAAAACCAATACACATAAATACAGACACTGAATTAGAAAACAGGAAAGTAGGGCCCAGCATGGTGCCTTACACCTGTAATCCCAGCACTTTGGAAGGCTGAGGCAGGAGGATCACTTGAGGTCAGGAGGTCAAGACCAGCCTAGACAACATGGCGAAAACCCATCTCTAACTAAAAATACAAAAATCAGCCAGGCGTGGTGGGACACACCTGTAATCCCAGCTACTCAGGAGGCTGAAGCAGGAGAATCACTTTAACCCAGGAAGAAGAGGTTGCCATGAGCCGAGATCACAGCACTATACTGCAGCCTGGGCAACAGAGCAAGACCCTGTCTCAAAAAAAAAAAAAAAAAAAAGGAAACAGGCCAGGCGTGGTGGCTCACACCTGTAATCCCAGCACTTTGGGAAGCTGAGGCAGGCAGATCACTCAAGGTCAGGAGTTTGAGAACAGCCTGGCCAACATGGCGAAACCCCGTCTCTAACTGAAAATATAAAAACATTAGCTGGGCGTGGTGGCAGGTGCCTGCAATCCCAGCTACTCAGGAGGCTGAGGCAGAAGAATCGCTTGAACACAGGAGGTGGAGGTTGCAGTGAGCCAAGATCACGTCATTGCACTCCAGCCTTCCAGCCTGGGCAACAGAGCAAGATTCCGTCTCAAAAAAATAAAAAAGGAAACAGAAAAGGAGAATTGTTCAATAATCTAAGAACTAGTTCTCTTTAAAAACAAAGAAAACAAAAATGCTAGAGTTTACGAAATCTGACAAGAAAAGCAAACTAAACTAATAAAATTAGAAATGCAAAGGAGATTCAACCAGAGACACAGGTGTTTAAACTACACAACAGTACACGCTACTAACTTTGAAGGTGTGAAATTTGTGGGAAAGTAAATTACAGATGTGGACTCAAAAAGTGAAAAGGTTCAAAAAATGATCAAAATGCAAGAAATAAATATTTTAGGATTTATTTCTATTACAGCCTTATCTCCCTAAAAAGTCTTCTTGACAAATAATTTAAAATAAATTCTCTCGAACTTAAGAAACAACCAATCCCAAAGCTACATAAAATGTTGCAGAAAACATAAACTCATAGAAAGTTACTAAATGAATTTTATGGGGTTGGTTTAACTCTGAAATCAAAACACAGTATGTCCAACTATTATGTATCCATTAAAATTAAAAACAGAAAAAACAATTGTTTAAAACTGCAATAAGGCTACATTCTCACCCAAAACAAATGCATACATACCAGTGGGAAAATTCTAAATTGCAAGATAAAGGAGTAAAATTCAACATTACCAAGAATAATTTTTTTATTAGGAAATATGCAAATAACTGAAACCAAAATGAACATCTAAATTAATGCCCAGGGCCAGGCACAGTGGCTCATGCCTGTAATCCCAGTACTTTGGAAGGTTCAGGCGGGTAGATCACTCCAGGCCAGGAGTTTGAGACCAGCCTGGCCAATATGGTGAAACCCCATCTCTACTAAAATTACGAAGATTATCTGGGCATAACGGTGCACGACTATAATCCCAGCTACTAGGGAGGCTGAGGCATGAGGATCCCTTGAACCTGGGAGACGGAGGTTGCAGTGAGCCGAGATCACACCACCGCACTTCAGCCTGGGTGACAAAGGGAGACAACATCTCAAAAAAATTCATTAATTAATCAACTGATGCTCAGAACACTCCAAAGAAATTCAACACCTACTCCTATTAAAGACTCTAAAAACCACGAATCAAAGAAAAATCTATTTATGTGGTTAAAAATGTCTCTTCCCAGCTGGTAAAAATAAATTAATAGAGAAAACTACAAATACTCCAAGTAAAATAAGAGCAGTTAATCAACACAAAATAAGCAGAGGTTTAGACAGAGAAAGGAAAATCCCATTTGTATTGGCAACATCAACAATGAATCCATCAATAAATAAAATAAAACAAAACTTGAAAGCACCTGAAACTAGCACTAACCCAAAATATCAGATCCTAAACTTGAGGAAAATTACTCACCTTGACTGAATTATAAAAGAATAATTTTTTTAATTAGGGTACACACTTTTTGTCTACATGGGATGGCCTAATAACATAAAGAAAAACAGCTTTAAAAGTTCTAGTGCTGTTATTAGAGTCAAACCTTACACAGGCAGGCGCTAAAGTCAGCCCGTAAAGCCTAAATTATAAAATCCTACAAGAAAATGCTACTATAGCCATTAAATAATATCATGAACATTTAGATCAGCTGACATGAGCAACTCTCTACTATAAATTGTCCTGGGGGGGGAAAAAAACACAGGTGTAAACCAAAAGGTTCAGCATGATCTCATGGGTACATGTAGGTAAAGACATAAATATACAGAAATAAAGATAAACACTGTAGAGTAAGCAGCTGGCCACTTCCAAGTGGTGAGATCACATGATTCTGTGCATTTAGAACTTTTGCAGAAAGTCCTACATAACTTTTATAAATTTGGAAGGAAGAAAGTTTAAACATAAAAAAGGAAAAAAAAAAGAAATACACCAAAATATTAACATTCAATGTTTTTTGAGGTGGCTGTTATGGCTGCTTTTTAATTGCTTTAACATACTTGTCTGCATTTTCCAAATTTTCTACATTAATCACAAAAAACAAAACTCTGTACAGAGGTAGTAAGATGTGAACCAGCAAAGCGTGGTGGCTCACACCTGTAATCCCAGGATTTTGGGAGGCCAAGGAGGGTGGATCACCTGAGGTTGGGAGTTCGAGACCACCCTGACCAACACGGAGAAACCCTGTCTCTACTAAAAATACAAAATTAGCCAGGTGTGGTGGCACATGCCTGTAATCCCAGCTACTCGGGAGGCTGAGGCAGGAGAATCGCTTGAACTCGGGAGGCGGAAGTTGCTGTGAGCTGGAGATCACGCCATTGCACTCCAGCCTGGGCAACAAGAGCCAAACTCCGTCTCAAAAAAAACAAAACAGACGTGAACCAAAACACATATAAAAATTTTTCATTTGGTCCCTATTGTCCTTTTGTGCTTATGCATGCCAAATTCTTGGTTATTCTCCAACCACAGTATTACTTTCAGCATTAAATTCAAATTTTACCAGCAATCATTCCAATCAGTAAGAAAAGAATGAAAACGTTTGAACTGCTTGGACACATGTTCAGATCAAAAAGGAAAGCCAACTTCAGTGAAGAATCAAGAAAGGCATGACTGAGGAATCTTACCGTAAAACTGTTGTTGACGTTTTTGGTACTGGATTCAGCTACGCTGGCATCTGTCAGATCCACCTCATCAAATATGATTGACTAGAAAGAGACAAACACAGGGACTAAGGCACATAAAGACAGGTACATCCCTAAGCACTAGCCAGCGCTGCCCACCACACCCCAATGATCCCTAACAAGCACCCACAGAAGCCCCAGTACCTTGAAACTGTAGCATCCAATCAATAAGCCAATCCAAATTAACCCACCCACCTGCTTCTAACCAAAAGCTCGGGCTCACAGGTATAGTGCCATGATTTTTTTAAAAAAATCTACAAACATTGTCATTGCATTAGTGAAGGAAGAAAGAGAGAGAACCAAAGCAAACAACCCAATGCTGGTATTTCTGTATTTACTACTGTCAATACCAGTATTCACTTTTACATGTGAAGTATGTTCTCACACAGTGTTTTAGCTGAGGGAAGGCCGGGGTCTGGACTGAGGATTCCGTGTCCTCCTGGCTTGTTCCTCCAGCGAGCACATGGAGGGGGAAGGTCCTGGCTAAAACAAATTCTTCTGGAGAAGAGAGACAGGTCCAAATGGAAAGGGTCTGGCCGTGAAAGGAAACAAGGGAGTAGAGCAGAAGGATCCTGGTCCTGGAGAGAAAGATGCTCCAGGGCAGGGCTGGGAGTCAGGCCTGGGGACCTCCCCCGTCTCCCTCTCCACTCCCTACAGGGTCCCCCGGCACAGCCCCTGCCTCCTGTTTCCCTTATACCATCCCCTCTATTCTACGATGGCTCTATGAGGAACCCTGGAGAAAATCAAACTAATAACTCAGAAAAGAAACTCAATCTTTTAAGTAACCTTTCCCCTCCCCGCACCACCAGAACTAACTGTAAAAGGTTATTTTGTCGTGTTTTTTTTTTTTTTTAATTGAGGGAAGTGGTCAGAACCCTTTCTAAACAAGCTGCTTTGTTCCATTTCAAATTTTAATGCAGTAACTTTCTAGGGATATGTCTCAAAATGTAAATTATTCAGACTCCAGATTTCTTAAATACCAAAATATTAGTACTGACACCAATCCTGATAAAAAACACAGGTATTCAGAATCCCAGCCAACACACTGGTGTCTGAATGTCTAACACCACATCCGCTTAAACATGGCAGTAATCTGTGACTTTCACTGGCTGCTCCTCCTCCAGCAGCACCCACCTGGTGCTTCTAGCTTTAAATCTACCTACAATAGGGCACACAGAAACAAGGTTAATTGCTAGAAAGCCTAAAAATAAAGAATTTCCCATTTCTGTTCACACATCAAGAAGCTCAGCTCCTTCTACTTTGGCTGGGCACAGTGGCTCATGCCTGTAATCCCAGCACCTTGGGAGGCCAAGGCGGGCAGATTACTTGAGGTCAGGAGTTCAAGACCAGCCTGGGCAATGTGGTGAAACCCCATCTCTAGGCCGGGCACGGTGGCTCATGCCTGTAATCCCAGCACTTTGGGAGGCAGAGGCAGGCAGATCATTTGAGGTCAGGAGTTCGAGACCAGCTTGACCTACATAGTGAAACCCCATCTCTACTCAAATATAAAAATTTTAGCCAGGCGTGGTTGCAGGCACCTGTAATCCCAGCTACTTGGGAGGCTGAGGCAGGAGAATTGCTTGAACCCAGGAGGCGGAGGTTGTAATGAGCCGAGATCTCGCCACTGCACTCCAGCCTGGACGACAAAGCAAGACTCCCTCTCAAAAAAAAAAAAAAAAAAAAAAAGAACTTCAATATACTTAAAGAATAAAAATTATTTAATAATAAGAAGATGAAATTCATAGCCCCGTGATTCCCTCCGCCTTTCTGAGAGAGAGATATCCAGCTGTAACGCGGCTGTCTCTGTGACCCTTTTTTCCTTTTCCCCATTACCGATGACATTAAAGAAAAGGAAAATGAACAGAAATTAATTTTGATAAGAAATAAAACATGCCTTGAGACAAGTAAAACCTGACAGCGTGGAGTGTTACAAAACTCACTGGCAATAACAGATCTGAGAATTGAAGCTTTTCCCACACAAGGACTCAGCACCCCCAGTTCCTCCCCTGGGACGGCTCCTGTGATGTCCTCGCGTGTGCTTTCCTGCATGGGGCCTCACCTTTGCCGTTTTGGCATAGTAAAGCGTTCGCCCTCGAAGCTTAAAGTATCTCCTTTTTGATCGCTGGAATGAATTGTTCTGTTTGGTCAGCATCCCCTCTTTGATGATGGTCTGAAAGTACAGAAACATATTCATAAACTTGCGTTTTCAAGGTGCCCTTTCACTCTTCCGGCTGAAACGCAGCCTGTTGCGGCTGAAACATATTCGTGTCTCTAACAGAAAATATTTCTCACACTCTCAACAGACCTTGACCTATGCACAGGCCCAGCACGCTGCCGGGGGCATGGGGGGTTGCACCAATCCTGTCCTCTAAGGGGCAATGTGTGCCTGTGTGGGTGGGGGTGTCAAGAGGCCCAGGGTGTGCCCTGGACGCACTGGCAGACATGAAGAAGGGACACTGAGGCTCACAGGGCCACAGTACACAGCAGCTGGGAGGACACTGGGACGCGGGGCCAGTGCATTCTCCAACTTCAGCATTTGGTATTTTTCAGCTATTCTTGGCCCTGTCTCTGTGTTCTCTGGCCCCCTGCCATTTCTCAGGATGCTGCTGCCAAAGCTGTCTACGTCAGCGGCTCTGGGGCTCAGAAGCTCCAGGCCCGCGCCCTCAGCCCAACCCACCACTCACAGGCCTGGCGTGTGCATCTGCACACACCATGAGAGGAAAGTGCCTCGGCCACAGACACTAAAACTCCTCTCAACCCGAAAAGCTGATGAGTTCACCCCAACACAAGACGTTCTCTTACGAGAATCCAGAAATGGATTATACGGTCCACTCATCTTGGCTCAATTAAAGCCAAGAATGAAGGGGGCTCTACTTCTCCCGGAGCTGCTCTCCCGCCTTACGCAGCCCATGCCACCAAAACATCAAATGCGTAACTAACTACTTGGTCATGAGATGTTTTGACGTACTCGGAGCCATTAACACAATCAAAAAGAATAAACGACAAGCATGAAGACAAGAACCTGGCTCTCGGCGTTCGCACACTATGTTACATCCCACCTCACGGAAATGCCCAGTCCACAAGGAGCCTCAGCATGGAAATGGAGGGAGGCTTCCTAAAAATTCTGTTCAAAGACAAGCACATTGGTTCAGAGAAGCTTTTGCTTAACTACCTAATCTCATATAGCTCTGCACTTTACGTAAATGTTTCAAACAGTGCATGTACAAAGTTCTTAAGTATCCACAAACACTTAAAACTCCCTAAGATAAAACCAGCAAAAGCAAGACACAGGAGGCTCATGTCCCCCACCTATGCCAGAATGCAAGCGCAGAACACTGCGCTGCCTGTTCCATCCACCGGCATTCACAACAGGAGAGACAGTGGAACAGGGAAGGCTGCAGAAAGCCCCCAGCCCGACACGCCATCAACATGTGGACGGACACCAGGACCACACCCGGACAGCACAGGCCAATGCAAACTGCCTAGGGGTCTCTTCTCCTTATCCCGCAACCAGCCATCCTCACTGTGCCCTTCCTGGGTTGGGGGGAACTGGCTGCACTCACGACCACTTCCAAGAGCTTCTTGCTCACCAGCATGTGCCAATCATGGTGAACTCTGCTTTTGGCACTGACCCAGTGGCACAACAGCAGCCCTTTCCAACTCTAGAGGATCAGCGCAGGGCAGAGCTGCTGAAGAATCTACTGACTCATTCTTGGCTTATACATTCACCTCACACTTCTGAAGAAGGCACCCACCCTCTCCCCAGTAATTAAAGAGTGCCAGGAAGGAAAAAGAGAGGAGCCCAACATTATCCAACGATCAAGCATTCTGATGACGCTTGTTTGCCAGAAGTGACCTCCCCACCCCCACCCCCTCCCCTAGAGACAGCGGGGATCCCCAGCATACAGTTAGCATCTGAGGTCCCGTCCAAAACAGACCAAGGGTGATCCAAGGCAGACAGAAAGTCCCACCCCGATTCTGGTAGCGAGGATATAAACCAGTCTTCAGTGTGAAGGACTGGGAAATGGTATTTGTTTCCAAACATCCTTTTCACATCCAAGTACACATGGATGAAACTCATTTCAAATACATCTGCACAGAACAATGCCATCCATGGAAGCCTGAAACATATACCACGAGACCCTTTCTCTGTTGACCTCAAAGGCCTCACTGTGAAGACGTCTCTCCTGGCCCCCCATTCATCTTCCTTACCTTTGTGGGGAAAGCAATCACTTCCATCTCTTCCCTAAATGGGAAAAAAAAAAAAGACAAAACCAACAACCCAAAACCCAGAAAAGTTATAAGTTATCTTTAAAGGACAGATGCTGGAGTATTTTTTCTTGCATCTCCTGCTACACATCTCATACATAAAAGAAAAGCAAAATTAAAACACAACTCACTGCACCACATACTTACACACACGCACACACACGCACACGCACAATCTTTCTGAGGGCGGATGAGAGTCTGCGATCTTGGGCTGCCCAAGGAGAGCTGCTGCTTTATTTATAACAAGAGTGCTCAGAAAAAGACTGGTGGGTTTCAGCGGAAAAGGCTGGGGAAAAGATAAAGACCATTATTTCTTTGAAGCCTTCTCAGAAACTGCATTTCTTCTCCTGATTCGCTGCTTGTGAGTACTATAGATATGCTGCAGAATATTTTTAAACATTTAGTCAAAAGCAATGAACCAAAAGTGGTCAAGAAAATAACACCCCAAAATAATGTGCTGTATTTTGCACGTGGCAGCTGTGAAAGGCACCCACAGGAAATGCTGCTAGGCTGACGAGGCCTCTCCTTGCCCCCTAGAGCAGAGTCAGGAGTGAAAGGGCCAGGCCCCTGCACAGTTCGCTCGGGCCATGCCGGGCCACCGGGCTCTTAGAGTCACTTTGTTGGGTTCTATGCACAAACAAAAGGGCCAACTGTCGTTCAAGCCATCTAAGATACCCTTATTCCAATCAGAGACAAATTTGCAACACACACAGCACCGAGAAAACTCTTAAGCTCCAGTCAGAGAGCAGCAGGTGGAAAGTGAACACGCGCCCACCAGCAAACACAGGCAAGACACCAATCCCAGTGCTGGGCTCCCCAGAGGAAGTTGGCGAGAGCACTGGGCCTGAGCTGGAGTGTGGTCCACGGCCACCCACTGACCCGACAGACATATGCCCAGCCCACAGGTCCAAGACTACCACGTGCAGCTGCTTGGGGGGAAGCGCAAGTCTCCAGTGGTCCTTGCTTAACAGTAAGACAGCTCTGAGAATGTCCTTGAAAAGGGCTTCAAACCAGGAGGCAGGGAAAGTCCAGAATGGACTCTGTCTGAAAGGCACTAGCAGGCCCAAGCACAGGGTGAGGTTGCCCCCTCTCTGACACGTGGCTGCATCACCAGATGCTGGTCACTACACTGGGCTCTGAGGGCTGCATGGCCAGGAGCTCAGACCAGAGGAAGGCGGATGTGTACACACCAGAGTGCTCTGGGATGTGGGGCACAGGGCAGTGAGCAATGCCCCATAAGGGAGCTGCCTGAGACAACAGGTACCTGAGCAGGCCAGGGAGGAGGGGCTGGGCAAGCAGAGGCCGGCAGCTGCTCCCTGGGGCTACAGACAGAGCCCGGTGGTGGCTCAGAAATACACTCTGGAAAGCTGACTGTGGCCACAGTGTGGGAAAGAAGAGGGGTGAAATGTGGAGGCTGGCAGAACACTCCAGAAACTCGCATAAGGGGGGAGCTGATGACAAGAGTCTGGGGTGGCAGGGGAGAGATGGACACAGGCATGGGAATGTTCAGAAAGATGTGAGAATCGACCGAGGCGAAGGGGAGGAGACAGGACAGAAATCCTGGATGCCTCCAAAGAGTGTGGCTCAGTGGGGGGATGTGGGTTTCATTCTGGATGTGCTGACTCTGCGGGCCTCGAGGACGTCAGGGGAGTTCAGTGTAAGGCGACGGCCAGCTCTGCAGGTCTGTGATGTAGAAGTTTTAACACAGGAGATGCCTTGCCAAGGGCCCCAAAGGAGAAAGCATGGAGTACACGGAGGCCCAGGGAAATGGGAACCCAGGGACACCAATACCAAGGAAGGAAAGCCAGAAAGGAGAACAAGAAGAAAGTGGGCAGAAGCGGAGGAGAGCAGAGAGCACGTCGAGAAGATCGCATCAGTGATGTCCAATGCAGCAGCGAGGTCATAAATGAGAACTGAGCTGAGGATAAAGGAAGCAGCCACCAGGGGGTCACCGAGGACCTGCCAGAGCGGACATGGTGGCCTGATGGGGTCGAAGCCAGATCAAATCACCCTGAGTGTGACCAGGACAGGAGAAAGCAAGATAACAGGTTTTTTTCAACTTACAACTTTCTTTTTATGAACGTGGAATCCATACTGTACATACTGTTATGTGACCTTGCTATTTTTTTGTCATGTATATTATCACCATATAGCCACATCAGCAAATGCATTTTTACCGGCTACAGAGTATCTCACGGCACCTACACACCCTCCCCTCCATCATTCACCTGCTTCCCACTGCCGGAACATTTAGAATGCTTCCCGTTCCCTCAATGCTATCATCAGAACTTCAGTGGATATTCCCGTAAGTAAATATCTGCTTATGTCCTCAACTATCCTTAAAGCAAATTAAGAGAAGCGGAATTTGGGGACCAAAGATAGCCCAGAAACAGACCCTTGCAGATTTGGAAGCTTGATGTGTAACAGGCAGCACTGCAAACCAGGGTTTGGGAGGGAGGGGGACTTCAGCAAAGGGGCTGAGATGGCAGGTTAGCCAAGGACACCACACGCGTGAGCTCCTGGCAGACTCTGGGTGCGCTACAGCAAAAGGCAGAAGAACTTCAAAACGTCCAGCAGACGACAGAGAATTTCCAATGACTTTGGAATTGGGAAGAGTTTCTTAAATGTAATAGAAAAAAATATTAGATATAAGCTATGACTGCTAAACTCAACTATATTGCAATTGAGAATTTCTGCTCATCAAAGACACCTCAGAAAGAGATAAAAGAAAAGCCAAGGTGGGAAAAAAAGGTACACTACTGCTGACAGCCAGTCAGTAACCAGTAACCAGAATATAGCAGAAACTCCCATGGAACGGGCTGGGCGCGGTGGCTCATGCCTGTAATTCCAGCACTTTGGAAGGCCGAAGCAGGTGGATCACCTGAGGTCAGGAGTTCGAGACCAGCCTGGGCAACACAGCGAAACCCTGTCTCTACTAAAAATACAAAAATTAGCTGGGCATGGTGGCGGATACCTGTAATCCCAGCTACTTCGGTGGCTGGGACATAAGAATCGCTTGAACCCAGCAGACGGAGGTTGCAGTGGGCCGAGATCATGCCACTGCACTCCCGCCTGGGTGACAAGAGTGAAACTCCCTCTCAAAAAAAAAAAAAGAAAGAAAGAAAGAAAAAAAGAAACTCCCACGGAATGATAAAAAAGAAAAACCACCAAAGAGAAAATAGGTAAAAAGTGTGAACCGGCATTTACCAGAAGAGTAAGTCAAATGGAGACTAAGCCCCAAAGGATGCTTAACCCTGGAGGATGCCACAGAAGAGCACCCTGGCACTCAGCCGCGCAGGTGGGTCCACGTGTGCACAGTCCGTGACTGTGCTTCACAACTTATGTGTATACTCCATGTATTATTCTGCATGTAAAATGGTAAAGGGAAAAATATAGTTAATCAATATAAGGATAGAAGTAAAATCTCAGACTATTAGTGTTAATGTCTTGAGCATGTAAGGAGTGAGGATTTCCACATTTACGCAGTAAAAGACAAACAAATGAAAAACAGCTGCCACGTGGGGGTGAAGAAAATGGAGGGGACTGACCAAGAGTCGTGTCCAGAGGCTGAGGGCAGCAAGCCACAGCCTGCCCAAGGTGACCTGGACAGAGGGGCTGCAGGCAGACAGCTGGGAAACTGGGGAGGGAAACAAAAAAAAAGTAGCAGAAAGGAAAGAAAATTAGCCAAATGTCCACTTCAGCCACCTATCTGTCCTTTAGACTTCCCCGGTCCTTCAACAACAACAAAAAAGCAGGTAAAACAGAAACCTGACTATGGTTAATTAAGCAACATCACCCAAATTCACAAAGCCCCCCAAAAGTGGAAATACTGGAATAAAAAATTAACATACAAATGTTTCAGTGGAAAGAAGCTGGTAAACTTATTTCTATCAATTTGCATATCTCTTTGTTTGTTTGTTTTCTGAGACAGAGTCTTGCTCTGTCGCCCAGGCTGGAGTGCAGTGCCACAATCTTGGCTCACTGCAACCTCCGCCTCCCAGGTTCAAGCAATTCTCCTGCCTCACCCTCCCGAGTAGCTGGGATTACAGGCGCGCACTACATGCCTGGTTAATTTTTTGTATTTTTAGTAGAGACAGGGTTTCACTATGTTGGCCAGGCTGGTCTCGAACTCCTGACTTTGGGTGATCCACCCACCTCGGCCTCCCAAAGTGCTGGGATCACAGGCGTGAGCCACCGCACCTGGCCCAATTTGCATATCACTTTAAATTTTCATGAGTATTTTTATATTTACTTGTCTTCTTAACAGAACAAACACTTCTGGTCTATGAGACAGAAACTAGTATTCCAGTTAACAAATAAGAAAACTGGTAAACAGAGAGACTGAGTAACTTGCCCGGTTGAACAACTAATGACAGGTCACAAAAGAAATCCCAGGCCTCTCCAATTCTATCTCTAAAGCTTCATCTGTGGTTTGCAGTTTACAAGCACCATGATTCACATATAGGAAGCAATCAGAAAATAATTTGTTCACAAAACGTAAGGCATGCAAAACATATTCAAAGACCTCCAGGTTATCTCCAACACTTCTTCACACATACCACAGCCACTACCCAAGTAGGAGCCATTTTCATCTTTTAATCTTCACACCAATTTTGAAAGTGGTGGTAATATTCCCACTTTACACATTACGAAACTGAGGGCCAGAGGATTAAGTAATTCACCCAAGGCCACTTGGCTAATGAATGACACACCAGAGCCCAGACAATAATACTTGTTGGCAAAATAAAACTTCAGCATAAAAGTCTGCTGATAACGGATTTAAATCAATTAAGCAAAGGTAAATTCCTGTATCTACTCAAAACACTACCCACAGATTCATCCTCATTCAGGAACTACCTGCAACTTACCCACCACCTGTCTACCTATAAGCTGATCTTACCGCATCCTGGCAGAAGCTGAGGGAGTGTGCACGCCCAAGGTGGCAACGGAGTGTGTGCCACATCAGCGTCTTCATGACACCAACGGCCAGCAGGAGAGAGCGCACCGGGCAACTGCCGCACTGCAGAATCCCGCTCAGCTCTGCAGAGCCAGGCCCTGAGTCTGGTGCTAACTCTGACAGAAAGGAACCCAACATAGGTTTTCTGAAGACTCCAAAACACCAACTCATGGAAAAAGGACAGTCATCCTTCCCTTACCCATCAAGAGAATCCAATTTCCCCATTGCCACTACCCTGGTTTTCAATGCACTGCCACCAGGATTATTAAAAACGACCATGTCCCAAAGCTCCTATGCCAAAGCCTCCACCGACAGGAGGAGAGACACCTCATTCCTGCCCCCACTAATGTGAGGAAGGACCAAACCCAAAAAAGCCAAAAAGTGGCAACGATGTGTATGCCCAAACCCCCAGGAGAGCGGCTCCAGGTCTGCCCCTCATTTGGAGTTCACACCCACTTTCCTAAAGCCAGGACGCTTCTCTTACTGCGGTATGCTGCGGTATGTGGTGTTAACACCCCCCCACACACACACACACACATCCTCACTGCTCACAGGACCTTGTTTCTGAACTGGGGGTGGTGGTCGCGGGGGACCTTTCATCATAGGGCTAATCCCCACTGCCCCAGTACTGGTCAAGGAGACCTAAGCAGTTCTGTTGGGGGTGGGGAGGTAGGCAAGTGCTTGGCTGGTATATGGGAACACGTGTAGTCTCAGTGCCACCTTTGCTTTAAATGAACATACAACATTTAGTGCTGCAGCAGCCATGCTGAGGCCACAAGGTAGCCAGTGTGGGTCCTGATGACATCAACCTACAGCCAAATGCATTCCTGTCTGATAACGATGGGTTGGCTGAGTTCACTCCCGCTCTGTCAGCATCACTGCTAATCCAACCTAGTCTTGCAGGCTGGCGTCCCCAGGGGCCAGGCCTCCACACTGAAATGTACCTCATCTCACTGTTCACTGACCCCCACGTTTCCTCTTTAGTTAATATTAATAGCATCATCAAATCTAAAAGAAGTAGCAGGTGCTCAACTCTTTTCCTCCTTCACTCCCCATTTCTAATTGCCTACCTAGGATCATTGATTGTATTTGTTAAAATAATGGAAGATTCTGCCCCTCCTCTTCAGCTCCGCCTACCTCAGGCTTAAGTTGTTCTGCCTCTTGTCTCTGCCTCAGTGCCTCTCAACGTGTGACCCAGACCACCACATCAGAACCCCTGGAACGTTTGTTAAAAATGCAGGTTACCGCTGGCCTGAAGGCAGTGAGCTATCTCAAACGATGGTTCACAATCAGTTACAGACTGAACTCCTTGCTCTATTCTCTACCCCATTCTCACTACTTCACTGGACTACTCTAAAAACAAAATACAGGTTATTAAAATAATAATATAGAAATAAAATAAAATAAAAAAGTAAAGAAAAAGCAAGTTACTGCTCCACTCCCAACCTCCTGAGCCTTGGAAATATGAATTTTTGCCAAGAGCCCAGGTGGTTCCTAAGCACACCAAGTTTGTTCTCTGTCCATCCTTCCTCCAACCTGCTGCCACAATTCTCTCAACGGGAGGATTTCATCCCAACTGCCACTACAATTACCTGACAAGCTTTGAGAAACAGTGACCACTGGCCCCACCCCACCAGTGATGAGCATCAGTGTGGGAGGGGGCAGGGAGCCACAGTGTTAAAAACTCCCAGGTGACTGGAAGAAGCATACAGTCTCAGAGCCAGGGCCCACTCCCAAACCTCTCCTTGCTTTCCTTGTCATCTAGGAAGGCTTCACGTGGCCCACCGGGCTCCTCCCAATCTGAGAGGCTCCTCTCTCACCCCTCCCAGAACCACCTGACCCAAACACAACCAACTCCTTTTATTTCCCCACTTTTTTGAATATACTCTTTCCTCCGCCTGGAAATCCTCAGCTCCTCTTCTCTTGGCTGGGAAATGACTAAGCTTTGAGACCCAAGTCAAATACCACCACCTTCGGGAAGTCTTCCCAGACTCCCCCAAGGCAGAACTAGCTATCACCTCCCCCCAGGCAGAACTAGCTATCACCGCTTTGCAAGTACATGAACATCCATTATGAGGCTGTCTCCCTCCCCAGACCAACAGTCCCTCAGGTTCAGTGGGTTTATTTATCTTAATCACGCCAGTGCCTCAGGAAGTTTTGTTTTTGTTTTGAAACAGGTTCTCACACTGCCAACCAGGCTGGGCTACAGTGGCTCAATCACAGCTCACCGCAGCCTTGACCTCTTGGGCTCAAGAGATCCTCCCATCTCAGCCTCCCAAGTAGCTAGGACTACAGGTGCGCTTGTTTTGTTTTGTTTTGCTTTGCTTTGTAGAGGCGGGGTCTCACTATGTTGCTCAGGCAATCCTCAGGCCTTGGCCTCCCTTATTGCAGGCATAAGCCACTACACCTCGCCAGGAAGTTTTACAAAATACTACAAAGGGCTAATATCCCTAATCTTTAAAGAAATTATAAAAATTGAGAACAGACTAAAAATCTGGTAGAAAAAGGGGCAAAAAATATGAAAACATTTGACAGAAAAAAATGCAAAAGGCGCTTAAACAAAGGAAAAGATGCTCAACCTAGCTCAGAAGAGAAAAACAAAACTAAGTGAAAATACTATTTGCACCATCAGACTGACAAAAAACAAACAAGGCTGAGCACAGTGGATCACGCCTGTAATCCCAGAACTTCGGGAGGCTGAGGCGGGAGGATAGCTTGAGCCCAGGAGTTTGAGACCAGCCTAGGCAACACAGTGAGGCCCCATCTCTACAAGTTTTTTTTTTTTTTTTGAGATGGAGTCTCACTCTATCGCCCAGGCTGGAGTGCAGTGGCACAATCTCGGCTCACTGCAACCTCTGCCTCCCCAGTTCAAGCAATTCTCCCGTCTCAGCCTCCTGAGTAGCTGGGACTACAGGCGCCCGCCACCACATCCAGCTAATTTTTGTATTTTAGTAAAGACGGGTTTCACCATGTTGCCCAGGCTAGTCTCGACCTCCTGAGCTCAGGCAATCCACCCGCCTTGGCCTCCCAAAGTGCTAGGATTACAGGCGTGAGCCACCACACCCGGCCTCAAATTTAGAAAAAAAAAAAAAATAGCTGGGCGTGGTGGTGCACACCTGTGGTCCAAGCTACTTGGGAGGCTGAGGTGAGAGGATCACTTGAGACCAGTAGTTCAAGGCCAGCCTGAGCAACACAGACCCTGTCTCTACAAAAAATAATAATAATTATTTAAAAATTAGTGCACCTATAGCTCCAGCTACTTGAGAGGCTGAGGTGGGAGGATCACCTGAGCCCAAGAGGTCGAGGCTGCTGCGGTGAGCTGTGATCGCACCACTGTACTCCAACTTGGGTGACAGAGCAAGACTCTATCTCAAAACAAACAAACAAACAAAAAAACCAAAGAGGCAACACATTCTGCTTCTATGGCAACGGGGAGACAGGCACTCAACACGACTGCAAAACGGGATGGCCCTGAAGACAAACATTTGGCAAAATCCAGAGCAGTTATTCATGCATTTACTCTTCTGATCTAGCAAGCCCACTCCTAGGAATCTATCCCAAAAGACACTTTGGCAAAATAGAAAAAAAAGTTTGTACAAGGCTATGTGCTACAAACTATTATAGCAGAACACTGAAAATAACCCAAATACCCACCAACAGGCTAGTGGTCGAATAAATTACGGTACATTCAAAATATGGAGTACCATATAACTATACAAGGATTGTGGAAGATATTTTTATACACTACGGAACCTCTCCAAATCAGAGCAAGTAAAAAGATAACTGTGCAGAACATGCATAGAACATGCTATTAAGGGGCCAGGCGCAGTGGCTCACGCCTGTAATCCCAGCACTTTGGGAGGCCGAAGCGGGTGGATCACCTGAGGTTAGGAGTTCAAGACCAGCCTGGCCAACATGGTGAAACTCCGTCTCTACTAAAAATACAAAAAATTAGCTGGGAGTGGTGGCACACACCTGTAATCACAGCTACTCGGGAGGCTGAAGCAAGAGAATCGTTTGAACCCAGGAGGTGGAGGTTGAAGTGAGCCGAGATCGTGCCATTGCTCTCCTGCCTGGGTGACAAGAGTGAAACTCCGTCTCCAAAAAAAAAAAAAAAAAAAAGGAACATGCTACGCTATTAATATCTTTTTGTAAAAAGGAGGACATTGTTTGTGTGTGAAGAAGATAAACTTAGTTTTTTTTTTCCAAAAAGAAACAATGGAAGGATTAACCAAAATAATAATAAAAATGGTTAAGTGGTTACCTCTAGGGAAAGGGAACAGGGTAGATGAGACAGGGAAGGCACACACATGATTTTAAAAGGACTCCCAGGACAGGGGCAGCACCCGCAGCAGCACCCAGGAGGCTGAGCTCTGACTTGCTCCAGGCTCAGGTGTAAGCACTTTCCAAAGATTACTCATTTAATCCATACAACGTTCCCCTTCCTGTGTCCAAGTGTTCTCATTGTTCAATTCCCACCTATGAGTGAGAACATGCGGTGTTTGGTTTTTCTGTCCTTGTGATAGTTTGCTGAGAATGATGGTTTCCAGCTTCATCCATGTCCCTACAAAGGACCCTAGAACTTAAAGTATAATAAAAAACATATATATTAAAAAAAAATCCATACAATGACCTCCTAAGGGAGGCCCAGGAAACATTCCCATTTCACAGAACCATGGGCAAGGAGAAGAAATAATCAGTATTTATGGAGTGCCTACTATGTGCCAGGAGCTTATGTAGAATCTGTATTTAATCTGCCCCATACAATAGTTATAGCCCCATTTTACTAATGAAGAAATTGGGGTCCAGAGAGGACATAGACATCTACAGTGAAGTGACAGATGTGGACTTCAGACCCAGATCTGTCTGATTTCAACTCTCTCCATGCTTAGACAGCAAATGAAAAACATTTTTTATGTCTGGGGAAGATTTACTTTTCATTATTTTTGTCTGTACAAGTTCAGACTAAATTATAGCCATAACCAGTCACCCTACTTTTTCTGAAAGTGAATTTATGCACAAACCCATCTCCACTACACACCAAAGGCGAAACAAACCTTAACCCCCAGCAGCAGGTGCGACATCCCAAAATACACACATGCGCTCTGTGGTTCATTAAGGTAGGAAAGATTCAGCTTCTGCGAAACCTACAGAACAAAATCCATCTCCCTATCGAGCTGTGGAATGAAATCACTCTGTTTCAATAAATGTTTATTGAACACTTGAGTGCTGAGTGTGGCTTGCAATACTACAGTGAAAGGGACTCGACCCTTGACCTTTCAGGAAACTGCTCCATCAGAGGGATACTTGACAGTAGGAAGAACCAGAAGTATTTGCTTTAAAATGCTCAGGAGAAAAGTAGGGGTGTGGGTAGGGGGTGGAGACAGATGAAACAAGAAAGACACAGGCTGATGTGATTAATTCAACGGTCTCTACTTCCGTGTCTGCTTGGAAATTTCCATAAATTGTTTTCAAGTGTCATAAGAGGGGTGCAGACAGGGCGCTTTGGAAACTTGGAAGTCAGTGAAACACACCAGAGGCCTGAAGCTGGTGCTGCCTGGACTAGAGGCAGCCTCCCCAGCTTCCTGACCTATGGATCCCACCTCAGAGGGCAAGGCACCAAACAGAAAAGCACCTGAGAACAATGCGGCAGTGCTGCCACTATCAGCATTCAACCTCCTCTCCCCTGGCATGTGCTCAACCAGCTGCTTCCTCACCTGTTTTCTGACATTTGGAGAATAAAGTCCTGTGTTAAATGGCCCAACTCATGGCAGACTTGTTTGCTGGAGGTTACTTTTTATTTACTTAAGACCACCAAGAGCCCAGCCACGCTAACACCTACTATTCACATGCCGAGATAACATCCTTCCCATCTGTTTTCTTTCTTTTTTTTCTTTTTTTTCCTTTTTTGAGACAGAGTCTCATTCTGTCGCCCAGGCTGGAGCGCGGTGGCACGATCTCGGCTCACTGCAACCTCCACCTCCCAGGTTCAAACGATTCTCCTGCCTCAGCCTCCCAAGTGGCTGGGACTACGGGCGTGTGCCATCACGCCTGGCCAATTTTTGTTATTTTTAGTAGAGACAGGATTTTACCATGTTGGCCAGGCTGGTCTCGAACTCCTGACATCGGGTGATCCACCGGACTTGGGCGCCCAAAGTGCTGGGATTACAGGCATGAGCCACCACGCCCGGCTCCATCTGTTTTCAAGTGTGTAAATAAAACAGAAAAGTGGGGCTGGGCATGGTATGTCACACCTGTAATCTCAGCACTTTGGGAGGACGAGGCAGGCAGATCACTTGAGCCCAGGAATTCAAGACCAGCCTGGGCAACATAGCATAGTAAAGTATCCCTCTGCTTTTATAGAGACTCTATCTCTATAAAAACTTTTAAAATTGGCTGGGTATGGTGGCATACGCCTGCAGTCCTAGCTACTAAGGAAACTGGGGCAGAAAAGTTGCTTGAACCCAGGAATTTAGGCTCCAGTGAGCTATGACTGAACCACTGCACTGCAGCCTGGATGACAGAACAAGACCGTGCCTCTAAAAAGAAAAATGTAAAAATAAAATTGTCAGGTGCTATGGCTCACACCTGTAATCTCAGCACTTTGGGAGAAAGAGGTGGGCAAATCACTTGTGCCCAGGAGTTCAAGACCAGCCTGGGCAACACGGTGAGATGCCATCTCTACAAAAAATCTAAAAATTAGCTGGGCATGGTGGCCCATACCTGTAGTCCTAGCCTCTGGGGAGGCCAAGACAGGAAAATCACCTGAGCCCAAGAGTCCAAGGCTGCAGTGAGTGATGATGGCACCACTGCACTCCAGCCTGGGTGACAGGGCGAGACCCCGTGTCAAGGCCAGGCGCAGTGGCTCACGCCTGTAATCCCAGCACTTTGGGAGTCTGAGGCAGAAGGCACACTTGAGGTCAGGAGTTCGTAATCAGCCTGGCCAACATGGTGAAACCCTGTCTCTGCTGAAAATACAAAAACTAGCCAGGCATCGTAGCAGGCACCTGTAATCCCAGCTACTCAGGAGGCTGAGGCAGGAGAATCACTTGAACCCGGGAGGTGGAGGTTGCAGTGAGCCGAGATCACACCACTGCACTCCAGCCTGGGTGAGAGCGAGACTTCATCTCAAAAACAAACAAACAAACAAAAACAAAAAAAACCCTGTGTAAAAAAAAAAAATTAAACTAAAAGACATAAAGGGGAGTTACATGATGTACAAATTATTCAATAACTTGCTTTTCCAAACAACAATATACTGCAACTAGATCTGCTTTTACTTTGTGTATTATTATTCTATATGTTATTTCTTTTTCATTTATTCAAATGTTTAGGGATGCTAATGTCATTATGAACATTATCTAAAGAACTGATAACATTGCACGCATCAAACAGTTTACATCTCAAGCTAAAATACATCCTATTCATATCAAGACCTTGAGCTCACTTCTTAGGTAAGTGTAGATTTAATTTCAACACAGGAGTTGAAAGTTCAAACAAGGGGGAACATAATTAAGTCGTTCCATATAATGTACCCATTTATTAGGATATTATGAAACTTAAATCCTGTATTTTCACAAGCATGCCCTTTTGTATATTTGACTCCTGAAATTCAATCTGTTTTGATCCAACAGTATCGTTTCAGCTGTTTTAGGACATTCCAGATAAGGCTGAGGGCAGCTGCTTCTCCAATCTGAATCATCTCCACGTCACAACACAGCCCCTCTTACCATTAGGAGTCTTCCATTGACGGGAAGCATGTTATGCCTTTTTGTTTCCTTTGGTATAAAATAATACATGCTCATTTTAGAAAATGCAGGCAAGCAGATGTAAACATAAAAATAATACAAATCTCACCACCTAACCCGACCCACAATATCATAAGAAACTTCCTCCGTGTTATTTCCTATTCCATCTTATTTCCAGTGTTTTACACACTGCTGAAACGCATTCTGTAAACACAGCTTCGCCTCTTTATTTCTCCAACATCACATAGTACCGTCCCTGTTGCTGACCTCCTCAATTACCTGGCTGGCAGCTTCAGGCATTGAGAGCCATGCACATTGCCACTTTCCAGCTTTGTGACCTGGTGCAGCCACCATGAAGTTGTGAAGGTGAAGTGGGACAGCACGCGCACAGAGCACAGCACGGGACCCGCCCGCAGTACCCATTTTATCAGCTATTATCATTAACTCACTGAGTCATTACACTGGAGTGTTCTGGTGGGGTTTGTCCTAAGCTGGACTTGGACACTGGGGTGGCTTGCAACTTTTTATATTTAATGGTACAATAAACATGTTGTTCATGAGCTTTATATTTAAGATTATTTTCTCAGGATAGAGTCCCAGTGTTAGAATTCTGGACCAAGAGTCTCTTGGAGTTATTCAGACACTCACTAAGTCACTTTCCCAAATGGTTATACCCATTTCTGCTGCCAGAGGACAAAGAAGCTGCAGTTAACTACCAAGGAGTTTCTACAAACAGCAAATAATACAAAACACTAGTTAGATATAAAAACACAGACAATTGTGACTAATGGACAATAAAAATACACATTGGCCAGATCTCCCTTAAATGTAAGAAAAAAAATAAAAATTAAAAAAAAAAGACTTATGTCTTAATTCTTGACAAACCTGGTTCTACTTGCCCTCTTGAAGCACACAAAAATGTTCAGCAACCACAGAGAGAAAGGAGATAGAGAACAACTTCTCAGACTTCCCTTCTGCCCAGCTTCTGAGTACTAGTCCATTTTTATCAGAGTTCAAATACTGAGAATGTCAAATGAGACTGGATTTAATGAGATGAGTGTTATTTCAAGTTTACCAAACTATAAAAAGAACTGAATCAAGTCCATATTCTCAAACATAAAATGTAGAAGAGGCTGGGCTCAGTAGCTCACGCCTGTAATCCTAGCCACTTTGGGAGACTGAGGCGGGCGGATTGCTTGAGCCCAGGAATTCGAGGACAGCCTAGGCAACATAGCAAGAACCCGTCTCTACAAAAAATACAAAAATTACCCAGGTGTGGTGGTGCATGCTTGTGGTCCCAGCTACTCAGGAGGCTGACTGGGAGGATCACTTGAGCTCGGGAGGTAGAGGCTGCAGTGAACGGAGATCATACCACTGCACTCCAGCCTGGGTGACAGTGAGATCCTGTCTGAAAAAAATAAAATAAAACAAAATAAAATGTAGATGAGTTCCATGGCAGTAAAAATTCTGAAATGCAGATACTTCCTTTTAAACTCTTTAAATATGTAAATGTCTCATAACCATACATAAGAATGATTCTATTAAGAATCACTTTATGAACTCCATTGAGATTTCCAAGCACTCCTGAGGAGCTCTGTGGCTGTTTTTCAATACTGCAGGGCTGTCTGCACAGCTGGGGAGGCAGACTCCAACTGGAGAGCGCTCCTCTTCAACAGCTGGTGCTGGAGCAACTGCACATCCACACAGGAAGAATGAAGTTGGAACCTGACCTCACACCACATACAAAAAATAACTCAAAATGGATCAAAGACTAAATATATTAATAATAGCTGAAACTACAAAACTCGTGGAAGAACATAGGTATAAATCTTGTCTTTGGATTAGGCAATGGTTTCTTAAGCATAACACCAAAAGCACGAGCAACAAAAGAAAAAAATTGGACTTCATCAAAATTCAAAACTTTTGTGCCTCAAAGGACACTATCAAGAGAGTGAAAACACAACTCACAGAATGAGAGGAAATATTTGCAAATCATGTATCTGATAAAGTTCTAGTACCCAAAATATATAAAAAACTCTTACAATTCAACAACAAGAAGACAACCCGATTGGAAAATGGGCAATGGACCTGAATAGGTATTTCTTCAAAAAATATATACAAATGGTCAATAAACATATGAAATGATGCTCAACATTGTTAGTCATTGAGGAACTGAATAATATAATATTCTTAAATTATTAAATATTATAACATTTATATTATAATAAGTGGAAAGTAACAAGAGTTGGCAAGTGTGGAAACATCAGAACTCTCATGCACTGCTGGAGGGAACATACAATGGTGCAGCCTTTGTGGTTTAGCAGCTCCTCAATAAGATAAACACAGAATTATCCAGCAATTTAACTCACATGTACGTACCCAAAAGAAATGAAAACAGGTCAGCTGGGCACAGTGGCTCACACCTGTAATCCCAGCACTCTGGGAGGCCAAGGCAAGAAGATCACTTGAGCCCGAGTGTTCGAGACCAACCTGGATAACACAGCAAGACCTCATCTCTACAAAAAATTAAAAAATTAGCCAGGCATGGTGGCACACATCTGTAGTCACAGCTGCTTGGGAAGCTGAGGTGGGAGGACTGCTTGAGCCCAAGATGTGGAGGCTGCAGTGAGCCATGACTGCACCACTGCACTCCAGCCTGGGTGACAGAGACCCTGTCTCAAAAATTTAAAAAAAAATACAAAATAAATGAAAATAGGTATTTAAATAATAATTTGTACATGAATGTTCACAGCAGTTCTATTCACAATAGTCAAAAGGTAGAAGCAACCCAAATATCTGTCAACCGATGAATGAGCAAACAAAATGTGGTACATTGACAGAACAGAGTATTATTCACTCAAACAAAAAAAAAAAAAAAAAAAGAAGAAGTTCTGAAACGTACAACGTAAATAAGCCTTGAAAACACAGTGCTCAGTGGCCGGGTGCGGTGGCTCACGCATGTAATCCCAGGACTTTGGGAGGCCAGGGCGGTCAGATCACTTGAGGTCAGGAATTGGGAGACCAGCCTGGCCACAACATGGTGAAACCCCCTCTGTACTAAAAATACAAAAATTAGCCAGGCATGGTGGAGTGCACCTGTAATGCCAGCTACTGGGGGGGCTGAGGTGAGAGGATCGCTTGAACCTGGGAGGCAGAGATTGCAGTGAGCTGAGATTGAGCCACTGCACTCCACCCTGAGAGAAAGAGCAAGACTGTATCTAAAAAATAAATAAATAATAAATGAAATATCCAGAATAGGCAAATCCATAGAGATGGAAAGCAGATTAGTGGTTGTCAGCAGCTGGGAGGAGGGGGAAATGAGGAGTGACTCACGATGGGGAAGGGATTTCCATGTAGGGGATACAGAAGTTCCCAAACTAGATAGAGGTGATGGTTACACAATACCATTAATGTACTTAATGGCACTTAACTGTGCACTTTAAAATGGTTAAAATAGCAGGTTTAAAAGAAAAAGAGTGTCCCTCTTCCATCATTCTATAAGGACAAAGCACCATTCATCAGGGGATGAGAGTCCAGCCCTTCCTGCAGGGGAAAGGGAGGCAGACACCCTTTACCCTCAGACACAGAAGAGCAGAGCCAGCAGAGTGGGCAGCAGGTGATCAGCAAACACCCACTACTCAGGAACACACATGGACACGGAAAATGGGGCCATTGCACATGAATTCAAGGTGAGGGGAGAGCCCGCCCAGAGCAGCAGAGACACAGCCTGGGCCCGTGGCCGATCACCCCACGGCCAGCCCCAGATTGTGCCCAGCCAAGTCCCCAGGAAACAGCAATTCAAACCCGCAGCCTGGCAAACGCCATTCAAGGAACATCACATCAGAACAGAAAGGGGGAGGGGAGAGGCTGATGGAAAAACATGCCATAAAGTACATGCACAAACCTGAAATGAATGATTGCAGAAAATGGAAGACCATTTTAGAAAAGATGTGATTCTTGTCCTAAGATGCAGGAAGACGTGGCCTTTATTTAAAAAGTTAAAATTAAAATGTTTTTAAAAGACAGGGAGCACCAAAATGAGAATAGGTTGAAATTAAAAGACAACAAGCTAAGATGCTGACCAAGATTAGAAAACAAAAACAATCACACTACGGAAAAATTAAAATCCAACTGGAAGGAGTCAAAGGGAAAAATGTACATTACAGAAAATGTCACTGGTGGCAAAAAGACAAAACTGAGGCCCCCAGAATGCTGATGGATACAGTGGACAGGGAAAAATACTGAGATGGACAGAGTGGTAAGGAGACAGATGGTCTAACCTACAGATGAGAACCTCCCCCCAAAAAATAAAATAAATGGAGATGCAATATGAGAGGCAGAGACAAAAGCCTTCCTCACAGAAAGCTACCCAACTCACTTTATGAGGCTGAGACAACCCTAAACCTAAGCCAATCCAAAAAAGGAAAACAAAGACCTGCCAGCCTGAAATCTTGAAACTCCTAGGCACTCTCGTCCCAGGACTGGCAGGAAATGGGCAGCAATGCACGCTGTGGGCTGGCAGCCTCGGCCACAGGACGCACACTGTCCCTTCTACCTGAAACTCCAGCTCCAGGACTCTATCCAGAAGATGAAAACAGATCGCAACATAGCAAGCAAGCCTTTAAAGACCAAAGAGCCAGATGAAGGTGTGTTTCCAGGAAAATCAGGATAATTTTAGCATCAAAAAGAATGACTGTAACTGATTGTAAAACACTGAATAAAAATTGCCATGAATCCATATAGTGATACTCAGGGTGGGTGTGGGGGTTTAGGGTTGGGGGGAGAGAAACATTTGCCTCTACTGGGGATGACTATTTACCAAATCCTTACCTCGAACATTGGTAATTAAACAAAGAATCCAGCAATTGACCTGCCTTTTTAGGAGGAACTGTGGTCCTTAACTCGGTTGAAGTGAGCAAATATCCTTTTATTTTCACTTTTTTGATGGAGTCTCGCTCTGTCGCCCAGCCTGGAGTGCAGTGGTGTGATCTTGGCTCACTGCAACCTCCTCCTCCTGGGTTCATGCGATTCTCCTGCCTCGGCCTCTGGAGTAGCTGGGATTACAGGTGTCCACCACGATGCCCAGCTAATTTTTTTGTATTTTTAGTAGAGATGGGGTTTTACCATATCGGCCAGGCTGGTCTCGAACTCCTGACCTCAAGTGATCGCCTGAGCCTTGGCCTCCCAAAGTGCTGAGATTACAGGCATGAGCCACCGCGCCTGGCCCCAAGAAAATATCTTTACAGAATAACACCAACAGATAAATGTGGAATAAATGACACAATGGGGGTGGCAGGAATCTCCATTTTAAAAACTCTTATAATAAAATTGCTTCAGGCAAGTCCTGTATTGTGTATGAATATGGAAACCATTTGGGGTAAAGGATATTTGCACAGTGCCCAGGAATCACCTATTACTTCCTAACTGTAAAGGGGAAATCACATCTCCAATGAAAAGATCTGGTCAGGCAAGGTGGCTCATGCCTGTAATCCCAGAACTTTGGGAGGCCAAGGCAGGAGGATCACTTTAGGTCAGGAGTTCAAGACCAGACTGGCTTAACGTAGGGAGATCCCACTTCTATTAAAAAAAAAAAAAAAAAAAGAAAAAAAAAAGAGGAAGAAAAGACCTAGAAATCTGTAAACCAAGCGATGACACAGCAGAGGGGGACAGCCTGACAGGACACACCCACCTCCAAGTGGGATGCGGTAGAGCACAGAGCATTCCATATTTAGGGATATGCCCAAAATGTCAACCAAAATATAGAAGTGAGAGTCTTTGAAACTGCTTACTTCTACTTTATAGGAAATATAGGAGATAAAACAACAATGTAAAAGAATGATGGGAAAACAATCAGAAAAATCCAGAAAGATTATTAGGTTGGTACAAAAGTAATGGAGGTTTTTGCCATTAAAAGTCATTAATACAGCTGGGTGCGGTGGCTCATGCCTGTCATCCCAACACTTTGGGAGGCCGAGGTGGGCGGATCACTTGAGGTCATGGGTTCGAGACCAGCCTGGCCAACATGGTGAAACCCCGTCTCTACTAAAAATAAAAAAATCAGCCGGGCATGGTGGCGGGCGCCTGTAGTCCCAGCTGCTTGGGAAGCTGAGGCAGGAGAATCATTTGAACCTGGGAGGCGGAGGTTGCAGTGAGCCGAGATCGCACCACTGCACTCCAGTCTGGGCGACAGAGTGAGATTCTGTCTGAACAAAAAAAAAAAAAAGTCATTAATACCAGACAACTGCCCTTGTCTCTTGAAAAAGTTGATGTTATAGGCAGGTAGGGAACGGGAAGAGAGAACAGTGGAAGCTGTTCTAATTTAACAAACTAAAGAGATAACAACAACCAAAGATGATGCGTAAAACTTGATGGGTACCTGGTTCCCAAAAGGAAGGTCATAAATGGCATTTCTGGTTCAACTGGGGAAATTTGAAAATGATCTGGATATTAAATGTTAAAAAGTTTTTTCAGGTATAATGGTATTGTTATATAAGAAAATATCCTCATGTTGTGGAGACATACACTGAGGTATTTAGAGGTAAACTGTGCTGGTTCTGGGGCTTCTCTGCAGCCCCCTTTCTTTCTCCTCCCCTGCCAGTCCTTCCTTCTTTGACTAGTCCTCCTCTTCCTCTTCTGCCCACCTCCTAAAAGCCAACGGCCCCAGCATCCAATCGGGCCCTGACCCCGTCACACTGTCCTCACTCTCGGGCTCAGATGAACCATCCTCACTGCTGCTGCATGACTGGGGGCTGGGGAGGAAGGGACAAAGGAGGCCCTATCTGGGTTCAGTGAGACCTACATGGCTTCATGGCACACTAGCAAGCCACCTAACTGCTGAATCTATGTCGTTCATTGGCAAAACTGGGGTAGTGGAGAATAAGAGGTTCCAGGATAGCATGCAGCAGAGCCAGGTAACAGCAAAATCCCCAAAGCTGTCCTCAACCACAGCTCCTTATATCAGAGAAGAGTTCCATTATCCAGCTCATCACAGGAATCACAAACCTCCTCTCCCCCAACACCCACACCAAACCATCACTGAGTTCTCACAATGTCACCTCCTCAGCATCTCTCAAATCCAGCTACTTCCCCCATCGCCACAGCCACAGCACAGGCCCAGGCTGCCAGCATCTTTCACTGCATTGGGTCAGCCAGCATCCACTCAGGCAACCGCAGCGCAGCTAGAGCCATCTTTTCAACCACGATCCAATTAGGTCATGGTCCTTCCTAAAATCTTAAAGCAATAGTATCCCACTAATCTGGGGGAAAATAGGCAGAGCTCCCTAACACAGCCTCCAACCCTCTCCAGTGTCAGATCCCAACCAAAGGCTCCCGATGCTTACCAGCCCTAACCACCACAGCCTTCTTTCAGCCCCAAGATTTCCCCAAGCTCCCTCTTGCCACAGGGCCTTTGCATACCTCTTTGATCAGCAACCTCCTCCTCCTCATTCTTCTATAAATCCTTTAAAAAAATACTCTATTTCCTTTGAGTTTAATGTGTTGCTATTCTTCTAACTACCTGATTTTCAGCATGTCTTCTTTTCTAATATACGTATTTTAAGCTATAAATTTCCCTCTAAACATGACTTCAGCTGTACCCCATTTTATATATACATATTTGCTATTGTTCAACTCAAAATATTTAAGCTTTCTGTGACTCATAAATTACTTAGAAATAGACATCTAAAATTTCCAAATACATTGAGATTTTCTTTTTATTGATCCTGGCTTAATTCTGTTGTCAGAACATACTCTATAATTTCAACTCTTTTGAAAGCTGTTGAGACTTGTGTTATGGCCAGCATATAGTGAATTTCGACAAATGTGCCTGTGCATTGGAAAAAAACTTAGATTCTACAATTGTTAGGTACAGTGTTCCATACATTTCCATTAGGTCAAGTTTAGTACTTGTGGCAGGTGCAGTGGCTCACGCCTGTAATCCCAGCACTTCAGGAGGCCGAGGCAGGTGGATCACCTGAGGTCAGGAGTTCAAGACCAGCCTAACCAAGACGGTGAGACCCCCCCTCCATCTCTATTAAAAATACAAAAATTAGCCAAGCATGGTGGCATGGTGATGGACACCTGTAGTCGCAGCTACTCTGGAGGCTGAGGCAGGAGAATCACTTGAACCTGGGAGGTGGAGGTTGCAGTGAGCAGAGATTGCACCATTACACTCCAGTCTGGGCAACAGAGCGAAACTCCGTCTCCCAAAAAAAAAAAAAAGTTCCGTTCTTGTGTTGTTCAATTCTACACTTTTACAAATTTCTTTGTCTACTTGATGTATACAGCATGTAAGACAGGTGTGTTAAAACATCTCACTATGATTATGAATTTGTTTCCCTTACAATTGTGTTAATTTTTCTTCTATATATTTTGAAGTCATTACTTCCAAATTTTAAATTATTATATCCAAAATGAACTTTTTCTCATTTATCAGCATATCTTTATTAATAATTTTGCCCTTAAAATCTACTTTGATACTAAAATAGCTACACCAAGTTTCTTTTGGTTAGTGTTTGCATAGTATCTTTTCCTATTCTTTTACTTTCAATCTTTTAATATCCTTATGTTTTAAACGTATCTCTTTCAAATAGCCTAGTCAGGATTTGCTTTTGTATCCCATCTCACAATCTCTGTATTTTAACTGGAGCATTTAAGTCCACCTAGATTTAATGTGATTACTGACATACTGGGATTTCAGTCTACTAACTTACTGTTTGCTTTCTCTTTGTCCCAATTGTTCAGTGTTTTCTCTCCTTTCTTGCCTTCTTTCAGATTTAGAATCTCTGATTCTATTTTTCTTGTTTAGCTTAGCTATCACACACTATCACAATTTTGGTGGCCACCACACAGATTACACACAACATGCATCCCTGACTTGTCTAATATAATTGGATCTTTGTTCTTCTTCCTGGAAATGGAAAGACTTTAGAAAAGTTCTACTCTATTTGCCTCCTTTCTAACCTACAGGACATTGTTGTCATGTATTTTAATTCTATATAATTTAAACCCAAAGGCATAATTTTTATAGTTAATAATCATTTGGTCTTTCCCACGTAGAAACCCTTAAGTCTCTATTCCTTCCTGTAACTCTAACGCTTAACTTGAGCATTTTCCTTTAGCCAAAACAAACAAAAAACACTTAATGTTTCCTTTAGTGTGGGTCTGCTGGCAAAAACATTGTTTTTGTTTATATGAAAGTATCTTTATTTCAACTGTATTTTCTGAAGGACATTTTTGCTGCATACAGAATTCTGGGTTCACAGTAACTTTCTTTGAGGACTTAAATTTCAATAGACTTTTGGTTTCCATTATTTCTGTTAAGAACACAGCTGTCATTCTTTTTTTGTTTGGTTTTTGTTTTTAGAAGCAAAGTCTCGCTCTGTTGCCCAGGCTGGAGTGCAGTGGTGTGATCTCGACTCACTGCAACCTCCGCCTTTCTCTCTTTCTCTTCATCTATGGTTTTCAACGGTGCTACAGTTATCAGTTGCTTAACAATGAGCATATATTCTGAGAAATGTGTTATGAGGTGATTTCATCCTATGTGAACATCACAGAGTGTACTTTCACAAATCTAGATGGCACACACCTCATCTGTATGGCATGACCTATTGCTCTTGGACTACAAACCCATAGAGCACATCACTGTGCTGACACTGTAGGCAACTATAACTCAACGGCAAGTATTTGCGTATCTAAATATAACTAAACATAGAAACAGTACAGTAAAAATATGTCATAAAAGATTTTTAAAATGGTACACCTGTATAGGGTACTTACCGTAACTGGAGCTTGCAGGGCTGGAAGTTGCTCTGGATGAGTGAGTGAATGACTGGTGAGTGAATGTGATGGCCTAGGACACTACTGACCAGTACTCTATGCTTTGTAAACACTGTACACTTAGGCTATACTACATTTATTTTTTGAAAGACTTTCTTTCTTCAATAACAAATTAACCTTAGCTTACTGTAATATTTTTACTTTATAAACTTTTAATTTAATTTTTTACTCTTTTGTAGTAACATTTAGCTTGAAACACACACTGTACACTTGTACAAAAGTATTTTCTTTATATCCTTATTCTATAACCTTTTTTCTATTTTTAATTTTTTTAATTATTTTACTTCTTAAATATTTTTGTTAAAAACTAAGAAACAAACACACACATTAGCCTAGACCTACACAGAGTCAGGATCATCAGTATCATTATCTTCCGCCTCCACATCCTATCCCACTGGAAGGTCTTCAGGGACAATGACGTGCATGGAGCTGTCACCTCCTATGATAACAATGCCTTCTTCTGGATACCTCCTGAAGGACCTGCTTGAGGCTGTTTTACAATTTGTTTTTCTTTTTTCTATAAGTAGGAAGAATATACTCTAAAATAATAAAAAGTATAGATAGTAAATACATAAACCAGTAACATAGTTGTTTATTATCATCATCAACTATTATGTACTGTATATACTTGTATGTGCTATACTTTTCTACCACTTGCAGTGCAGTAGGTCTGTTTACACCAGCATCACCACAAACACATAGGTAATTCATTGCCCTACAACATTATAACAGCTACCACGTCACTAGACAATTGGAATTTTTCAGCTTCATTATAATCTTATGGGACCACCTTTGTCCATGTGGATCATCATCCGGAAACATCATTATGCAGAGCACAAGGGTGTACCAGGAATTGATTAGATATGGTTCTTTCAGTTCATACGGCTATCGAATCTGTTCATGGTACCTGTTATTTGTTGTAGAAAATTCTCAGGTATTACTTTTCTTTCTTTTTTTTCTATTTAATACAGAGTTTCGCTCTTGTCGCCCAGGCTGTAGTGTAATGGTGTGGTCTCAGCTCACTGCAACTTCCACTTCCCAGGTTCAAGCGATGCTCCTGCCTCAGCCTCCCGAGTAGCTGGGATTACAGGCATCTGCCACCACACCCAGCTAATTTTTGTACTTTTAGTAGACACAGGGTTTCACCATGTTGGCCAAGCTGGTCTTGAACTCCTAACCTCAGGTGATCCGCCCACCTCAGCATCCAAAACTGCTGGGATTACAGTCGTGAGTCACTGCACCTGGCCACATTATCTTTTCAAATATTGTGTCTCCTCAATTTTCTCTCACTTCTCCTCTCTTGTGACAATTAAACACAAGTAAGACCTTCTTACTATATCTGTCTCCCACCCTCTCCAAATTTTTCCATTTTTTATGTCTCCAGGCTTCCTTGTGGGTATTTTCTTCTGAGCTATCTTCTGGTTCACACAATTTTTTCAGCCTGGGTCTAATCTGCTCTTTTTTTGGTTAGTTAATTTTGATCACTATGCTTTTTCAATTTTATAATTTTCTTTTATTGGCTGGGTGAGGTGGCTCACGCATGTAATCCCAGCACTTTGGGAGGCCGAGGCGGGCAGATCACCTGAGATTGGGAGTTCGAGACCAGCTTAGCTAACATGGTAAGACTCCGTCTCTATTAAAAATACCAAAAAATTAGCTGGGCGTGGTGATGGGCACCTGTAATCCTAGCTACTCGGGGGGCTGAGGCAGGAGAATTGCTTGAACCCAGGAGGCAAAGGTTGTAGTGAGCTGAGATCATGCCACTGCACTACAGCCTGGGTGACAAGAGTGAGACTCCGTCTTAAAAGAAAAAAAAAATGTCTAGTATCTTTAGTAGAGGCGGGATCTTGCCATGTTGGCCAGGCTGGTCTCAAACTCGTGACCTCCAATGATCCACCTGCCTCAGTCCAAAAGTGCTGAGATTATAGGCGTGAGCCATCTGGCCAGTGTGGACTAGAATTTTCATCTGGTTCTTTTCCATAGTTTCTAGTTCTCTGCCAAAACTCTCCATCTGATCTCGTGTCTCCTCCAACACAACGAGCACAGTTGTTATAAAGTCTGGGTCTGGAGTCTGGAAGCCCTGTGGGTCTGTCTACAGCCTGTAGTTTCGACTGGTTTTAGCTCAAGTGCCTCGCCTCCCTTGATGTCTATTTTTTTACTGTATGCACAATCATGAACGTACAAACAGACTCGTGAAAGTCATTAGAGGCCTCCATTGATAACTGGGAGGATTAGAGGGAGATATCTCCCTCTAGAGAGGATTAAAGTTTGCTTCTGTTGGGAATCTAGAGACACTAGTACACTGGGATTACTTTAATTTCAGAGGACTGAGGTGATTTGAAGCAGGGCTGCAGTCCTTCCAATACTTCTGGCTCCTGCGCATTCCTTGGAAGTGGCTTCTTTGGATCCCAATCCAAATTGTGAGGGGAGGGTGTCACCCAGGACTGTTGCCCTTTGGCAGAACCTGGCACCTCAGCCCTGCTAAGGCACTCAGACAGTCTCACAGGGCTCAGCCTCTTGGCTCCCATGTTTTGTTCAGGGCCCAGTGTTCTTTCCCCAGGGCTGCCCTAGGGCTGCCATAAAACTTCAAGGCTTAAAACAAAACTTGGAAAAAAAAAAAAAAAAAAAAAACTTGACTGTCTCACTGCTCTGGGGGCTGGAAGTCGGAGATCAAGGGATCAGAAGGCCGCACTCCCTCTAAAGGCTCTAGGGGAGATTCCATCTGTTATCTCTTCCAGCTTCTGGTGGCCCCAGGCATTCCTTGGTTTGCATCAACGAACTCTAATCTCCGGCTCTATTTTCCCATAACCTTTTTCCCAACATGTCTTTCTGTCCAAATCTCCCTCCCCTTCCTCTTATAAAGAAACCAACACTGGATTTAGAGTTTCTCCTAAGTTCACGATGATTTACTCTCAAAATCTTTAATTAGCCAGGCACAGTGGCTTGAGCCTACGCTCCCAGCTACTCAGAAGCCTGAAGCAGGAGGATCACTTGAGCCCAGGAGTTTGAGACCAGCCTGGGGAATATAGCAAGACCCTATCTCAAAATAAAAAATTTTGGCCAGGCACAGTAGCTCATGTCTGTAATTCTAGCACTTTGGGAAGCCAAAGGGGGAGGATCGCTTGAGCCCAGGAGTTTGAGACCCCAAGCATGGGCAACATAGTGAGACCCTCGTCTCCATAAAAATGTGTTTTTAAATTAGCCAGGCATCATGGAATGCATCTGGAGTCCCAGCTACTCAGGTGGCTGAGGCAGGAGGATTGCCTGAGCCCAGCCAGAGACTGCAGTATGCCACTGCACTCCAGCCTGGACGACCGAGCAAGACCCTGTCTCAGAAAAAAAGAAAAAAAATTTTTTTAAAGATATTTAACTAATATCTTATTATGTGGGCATCCTGAAGTTCTAGGTGGACCAAATTTGGTAGAGATGCCAAATCCACTACAGACGCCACTACAGATTCCAAGGTCAAAAGCAGCCCCAAATACCACACTCACTTCCACAGATCTTCAGCCACCCCAGATCCTAGTCCAGAAATTCAGCATCATCTTATTAGCAGACTGTGCTTGGAAGAGTGGCGCTGCAGTCACTCAGCTCACCACTGCCAGAAGCAGAAGGCACTGCTCCCTACTCACCTTCCAGACCCAGCCAGTCACTGCCTCAAGAAGCCCTCCTAGACCTCCCTGATATCAGGTCAAATTCACCTATGATGTCCTCTCAAAGTATTCTGGCCCTCTCCTCATCAGCACCCGTCCCCATCACAACTTCATATTAACTGTGTGATTGTTTTATTAATGTCTTCTAGACTATCATCTCTAAAAATTTTTGTTGTTACTCAATAAGATACCCCTGGTGCCTCGCACAACAGTTAACAATGTTAAGATCTCAAATATTTGCTGTTAAACTGAACCAGTGAAATACAAAATGTAATACCTAGCCCATGGTATTCCCACTAGTACTCAATAAATTAACGATTTCTTTAAAAAATGGTCTTTGTTAATTTTCAGCCAGATTTGTTTGTATTTGCTCTTCTGGAGCCGAGAGATGGAGACTCAGACCAGCCTGAGCTGGAGAAAAATGGAATCAGGGAAATGATTCCTATCTGGGATAAAAAAAAAAAAAAATCAGAAAGACAAAAAATAACCAAAAGCAACCATTTAGTGATCATTTACTATACATCAGCCACTATGTTAGGTGTTCTACACAAATTATCCCATTTAATTCTATGAGTTAACATCCCCATTCCTATTTTATGGATATAACAACTGTTATTTCTATTTTACAGACATGGAAACTGAGACTCAGGAACACAGAGTTAACATTTACTTTCACTACAACCAACCCAAGAACTAATATTTTCCATGTTTACAGATGAGGAAACCACGTCTTAAGGGAGGTTTAGACACCCTGTCCACAATCGCATGCTTCATAACTAGAAGCGCAGGGTCTGAAGTGACTTCATCTGACACCAAAGTTTAGACTTTGAAATCCGACAATAAAATGGCATTAAAAACCTTTTACATTACTTCATCCCTACTAGGATGGCTAGTATCAAAAGAGAGATAATAACAGTTACTGACAAGGATGTGGAAAAATTGGAACCCTCCTCATACACAGCTGGTGGGAATGTAAAATGTTACGGCAGCTTTTTAGCTGGAAAATAGTCCGGTAGTATTACCATATGGCCCAGCACTTCCACTCCTAGGTGTATAGCCAAGATAAATGAAAACCTATGTCCACACAAAAACATGTGCATGAATGTTCACAGCAGCATTATCCAGAATAGCCAAAAAGTAGAAATAACCCAAATGTCCATCAACTGATAAATGGATAAATAAAATACAGTGTGCCTGTAGAATGGAATATTACCCAGCAACAGAAAGAAATGAAGTACCGATACATGCCATGACATGGATGAACCTTAAAAATATTATGCTAAGTTAAAGAAGCCAGACCACATATTGTATGATTCCATTTATGTAAAATGACCAGAATCAGCAAACACAGAGACAGAAAGTAGATTCTTGTTGCCTATGGTTGAGGGAGTTGAGAGGAAACGGGGTGATGAAAATGTTCTAAAATTGACTGTGGTGATGGTTGCAAAACAGCGAATATACTAACAACCACTGAACTGTATCCCATGTGAATTATATCTCATAAAACTGCGGTGCATTTTTTTAAGTTTTTTACAACTTAAACCCTTTACCTAATTTTTACTAGTCTTCATTTCACAATGGAAAAAATGCTTTGTTTAAATTTAAAATCAGGAATCCAAGCACTTTCATGCTCATATCCAAAAAATGTTAACTTTCTAGAAACTTTTAAATAAATTAAACTCTTTTAACTGATAGCTTTGCAGAATTACACGGTTCTTCACTGAAATTTCAAAATACCTTATAATGTGCTGGTGAATGTGCTGGTCGGAGTGTTAGCTCCATTTTCTTTCTTTCCATTCTAGCTATGCAGTTCTACAGAGTCATTACTGTGTACTGTAGTCAGGAAATACAAATGAAGTAATGTCTTTGCTGTGGACAGCTTCAACTCTAAAGAGCTCGAACATATTAAAAAATCAGACATGCATGAAATGCTAAACTGATAAATGGCCATCACAAATCTGCACACATCAAATTTTCAATATGCTAAAGATCTATAACCTGAAGAATTATTTGAAGTTTGGAGAGGCTTCTCTTTACATGTGTGCCATAAGGTCTTGTTTTTCAAAGTCTGGTCCATGGACCAGCAGCATCAGCATCTTCTGGGAGCTTGTTAGAAATGCATATTCTGCCAGGTGCATTGGCTCAAGCTTATAATCCCAGCACTTTGGGAGGCTGAGGTGGGTGTATTACTTGAGCTCAGGAGTTTGAGACCAGCCTGGGGAACATGGGGAAACTCCATCTCTACAACAAAATACAAAAATTAGCCAGCATGGTGGCATTTGCCTGTAGTCCCAGCTACTTGGGAGGCTGAGGCAGGAAAATCACTTAAGCCCAGGAGGCAAAGGTTGCCGTAGCTGAGATCGCACCACTGCACTCCAGCCTGGGTGACAAAGTGAGACCTTGTCTCAAAAAAAAAAAAAAAAAAGAAAGAAAGAAAGAAAAAGAAATGCACATTCTAAGGCCCCACCCACCCTAGACCTACTCAACCATAATCATCATTTTAACAGGATCCCTAGGAGATGTGTCTGCACATTAAAATTTGAGGAGCACTGCCCTAAGACATTCTCTTTTGTTTTTCTCTTCATTAAGACAGCTCTGACTTGCACTAGACTAATATTTTAAAAGCCTGACATACATACAGTTCTGGTCCTGGGCCAGCTTGTCCTCAGATCCATTCTTTGTCCTTCTGCTCCAGTCCAAGTTGTGGAGGAGGTGACCCCAGCAAGGCCAGGGTTCCCAGGCAGGAGGGGAACAGTACATCCGCAGCAGCAGCTGTGCCCTTGCAAGGCTCCAGCCACTGCCAGATGGACCCCTTGTGACCCCAGTTTTTGGTGGGTGACAGCTGTCCCTGGAGTCTGAAATGCCATCTCCTTCCTTCACCCTCCAACTTAGGGGTGGCAGCAGTTTCCTGCTTGTTGCCTCATCTCCGGCTTGCCTCATTGCAGCCTGCATTCTCAGTTCTCACATCACCTGTGTGACCACTCCCCTAGATTACATTCCTTCTGTTCCAAATACTTAAGGTGAGTTCTGTTTTTCTTTTTAGACTCAGACTGCTACCCCATACCATTTTTGATGTTTCTATTATGTACCATAGATACCAGAGGAATTTTGTGAATGGCTTATCTGCTGGAAAAAAAAAAAATGGAGCTATTACATACAGTCAACCTCGCATTCCCACATTCTGACAATCTCTTAACAACTCAGAAGAAAAATCAGCCTTAAGCTATCTGTACAGCAGATGTGACTGTATTCAGAAACTCTAAGTCCTCGGGGTGTATTTTTAACAGTCTACCCATCACTCCTCCTCAACCAGAACAGCTGGTATAGCAGCTATTGTTTTAGGAGAAAAAAGAAGGAAAGCAAAAACACCTCCTAACCAACAAAATTCTAAACACTGGAATCTCCCAGGAATCAAATCTCTCTCAACACAATCTTGATCTTAATCAACCTTGTAAATCACATGATCTACCCCACACTGGTCAGTACCTTGCCTGGGCAACAGGAGAAAGCAACTCCTATCAGTATCATTTAGGGCTATGTGGAGATCTTCCCAAAAGCACATCTGATCCATCACCCCCATACTTTGAACAATCCTCTGTGGCCACCTCTTGCCCAAGGCCAAAAAGCAAACCCCTCAAAGGACCACCCCTTCGAAATTCAGCCCTAACCAACCCTTCCAACTAATAAGTCTAATCAACGTGATCCACCTCTGGCCCAACTTCTGATCATTTCGCAGTTGTGCCTAAAGCTCTAGACGCAAGGTTCAAATATGTAGAAGGCCATTTCTTACCCACTTAGCCTGGTGAATTCTTTATCCCTCAAGATCTCACCTTAAAGGAAACCACTCCTGCCTCCCCAGGGCAGGTCTCTGCCCCGAGTTTCCGCGGCACTTACAATGTTGTCATGTCAGGTGCACAGGCGTCCATCTCCCAACTAGACTGAGAATCCCTAGGTGTAGAAACTGCCTTCCATCTTACGGTCCTGACCATGGTTCCAACACACATCCACATTTACGACCTGTGACACCCTGGGCAAGTCATTTAACCTTGATTCTATTTCTATTCCAATTCCAAAAGACGGAGATGATAGCATCCAACTTATTGGGTTCTCACCAGTACTAATAAACTAACCATGTCAAGTGCTGTAAAGCTAACCCAAGAAAGTGCCTGGCACATAGAAGGCTTATTAAAGAATTGTTATTTGCTATTGCTATCATTATCATCACTACTGCTACTGTTATACCCGGAACAAAGCAGGTGTTCGGTACCTATTTGCTGAATAACTGGAGCACTTCACAACAAACCTGTTTGTAACATGTTAGGACCTCAGGTTCCCCCATCGCAGGTATCAAAGGCTGACAGAAGAGAAGGCTCCCACGGTGAAGGGAACGGCTGAACCTAATCCGCCCCGGAGGAAAAGCGCACTGCAGCAGGAGGAGAAAGTCCGTGCCAACCGGATCTGCCAGAGCTGCCCCAGGGACCCAGCCTGCTCGCAGCCACCTGTCCAGCCACCTGCCTGAGGAAGCAGTGTTCTAACCGGGCGGGCTCACCTGGAGCAAAAACCGTAAGCTGTTTTCAATAGGAAGCACAATGGGAAAACAAACGGTGCAACTTTCCTCCTGCAAAAAGGACGTGCGTCTTTATCTAACATTTAGCGTCAGGAGTTCTCCGTGGAGAGTTGGGTGCCAAGCGGGTGCGCGGTCCCGGCTTTGCTGAGAGAGACGGTCACTGAACGCGCATCCCTTCCTTCCCTTTTGGGATGAAGGGGTGAAGGGGTGATCCCTCGCACCCGGGTCCGAGCGGACTTCTGAGGGCACCACAGGGAAGTCTGCAGGGCACTCGCGGGACACCACCCGACCGCTCCTGAGAAACGTGCAGAACCGGGGTTTGGGGACCGCGGACGCCCGCGGGGCGCAGCCGGGAGCCCCCGCGTGGGACCCGCTCGGTGGCACGAGCGCAGTCCCCTGCATCTAGGCCTCAGTTTCCTCCGGGTCCTCGCGGCCCAACTCGGCGCGCGCCCCCCGCCCAGCGCGCGGCGCCCGGGGCGCCCACCTGCGCGCCCCCCGCCCGGCCCCACAGCCGCCCGCCGTCCGTCGGGGGCCGCGCGCTCCGCCCGGGGCGCCGGCCCGTTACAGCGGCGGGGCACGCTCGACAGGGGCGGTGACGCCCGCGGGACCCCGGGCCGGGCCGAGCCGGGCCTGGGCGGCCGCTCGGGCAGGGCCACGGGCCTCGGCCGGGGCTGCCGCGGCGTGAGGGGCGCGCGCCCGGGCCGCCGCGCCGCGGGCTCACCTTCTGTCGGATCTGACCCGACGTGGACACCTTGCGGATGAGCTTCTGTGGGGAGCCGGGCTCCGCCTCGGGCTCGCTGTCGGACGACTCCTCGGGCGGCGGCGGCGGAGGCGGTTGCGGGGGACCCGGCGGAGGGGCGCCCGCCGCCGCCGCCATGCTGCCGGGCCAGCGCGCGCACCGCGGGCGGGGGCGGGGCGGGGCCGGCGGGAGGGGCGGGGCCGAGGGCGGGCCGGGCCGGGGGCGGTGGGGGCGGCCTCCCGCCTCTCCCCGCCGCGCCCCCTGCCGGCCATGCGCGCAGCTGCAGACGGCGCCGCGCGGCCCCTCCCCGCCCCCACCTGAAGCGTCCCGGGCCCCCCGCCCACCTCTCCGGGCCGTGGCTTCTGTGTGTTATTTCTGGAACGCCGTTTGTGTTCTTGTTTCTATATTCACTTCTTAAAACATCTCTACTCTTCCGCATCAGAATGTAGGTAACCTCAGGCAGGCTGGGGCTGTGTCTGTCCTGCCCAGCCTTGTGTGGCCGAGTTTGGGGCGAGCTCGAATGCGCGCGCGCGTGCTGGAAAGAGACCCCGGTACTGGGACGGGCCTCGGGACGCCAGAGCTGGGATGCACCGCTCCATCTGGGAAGGCTTCCTGGAGAAAACGGTTCTTAAGGAGAGATGGAAAATGTGAGCAGGAGTTGTGACTAGAGAGGGAACCATGTTCTAGGCAGAGACCAGATTTGTGCAAAGGCCTGGAGGCAAGAAAGAACGAGTGTTGGGCGAAGACGGGGGAAGAAAGGGAAGCTGGTGCTTAGAGCAAGGAAAATGGCATTAAGATATGAGCCTCGGGGCGGGCAGGTCGAAGCGGGCTTTGGAAACCAGATAAGGGGATGGAAGGCAGCAGGAAGCCCTTGAGGGATTTAACCCTGGGCGGGGCTGGGTCACCACGCTGGGGCCTGTGATCCGGGCTTTGAAGTTATCAGGGCAGGTGGACGCCCTGGATTACCGAGGGGCTGAGAGATAGAGACGTGGACTGAGATCCAGGTGGGGAGTGACCAGCGACTGGAGGGAGACAGAGGTGACCAGAACGAGTCCCATGTTTCCCAGGGGGGCTGCTGGATGGTGGGCGGGTGGGGTCCAGCGCTGCTCTGGGCAGAAGAGGAGGAAGCGAAGCTGGAGATGAGATCAGCTAAGTTTTTGGTGCCATCCAGGTGGAGCAGGGCTTGGTGCCACCCAGAGGAAATGCTGTCCATCTGTCTGCCCTGCTCTGAGGGGCAAATCAGTAAGGGACTGCCCAGGTGTGCCCTCTCCCTGTCAAAGGGCTGCCGCTAGAGACCTCGCCTGCCAATAGGCATTCGCTGGCCGCGCCGCCCTGGGCAGTGACCTGGGGCTGCAGAGTGGCATCTGGCATGGGGACACGGCCAGGGGCATGGGCTCACGGCCAGGACAGAGGAGGACAAGGCCTAAGGCAGGAACAGTCCGGGACAGGCCGAAGGCCCCATGGTGCCCCAGGGTACTATAGCCACTAGCCACATGTGGCTACTTAAATTTCAATTAGTTAGAATTCAGCATTCCGTTCCTCAGCCACAGGAGCCACATTTCAGGGACTCAGTAGCCGCATGTGGCTTAGCAGCTGCCACGCTGGATAGCACAAATATAAAACACTTCCCCCGTCCCCCCAGAAAGTTCTGCAGCACAGTCGCATGCTGAACTGTGTCCTCCCGTAATTCATATGTTGAAGTCCTAACCCCCAGTACCTCAGCATGTGACTGCATTTGGAGTTAAGGTTTTTAAAAAGGTAATGAAGTTAAAATGAGGTCACAGGGGTGATCCCTAATCCGGTATGACTGGCGTCCTCATAAAAAGAGGAGATGAGGACACAGACACACACAGAGGGCAGCCCATGTGAAGACACAGGGAGAAGATGGCATCTACAAGCCAAGGAGAAAGGCCTCCGATGGAACTCCCCCTGCCGACACCGTGATCTCGCACTTCCAGCCACCAGAACCGAGAGCGTCAATTCCTGTGGTGGAAGCCGCCCGGCCTATGGTGCAGTGCTCTGGCAGCCCTAGGGAACTCATGCAGGCACAAAGGGCTCCAGCCTCCCCACAGGGTTGGGACTTTTCTATCAATTAACTACATGTGGAGTGATACACAGAGGCAAAACCCTGGAGGAGTGTGCAAGGCGGAGGAGGGGCGGGGACGCACAGGGGAAGAAACAGTTCATTCCTTCATTCCGCGGGGGAGCCGGGTGACCTGAGCAGGGTTTGGGATTGGAATGGAGAGGTCAGATATGAAGGGAGTTTCCCAGGAAAACGCAAAAACGGGGAGACTACCCCTACCAGGTGAGCAGAGCGGGTGACGAGGGATTTTGGTGAAGCCGGTAGCAAGGCGGGTGCGGGAGGCAGGGAGGTGAGCAGCGGCGCCAGGATGCAGAGTAGCCTCCCGGCCCTGCTCTGAGGCAAGGACTTCAGTCCCGTGGGCACTGGAGCTGGCAAGGGGGTTTGGGAAAGCAGAGGAACTCATGTGTCTGGGCAGAGAATGATCCATAGGAGAGAAGACTAGAAATAGGGAGGCCATTAAAATGCTGTTGCCGGCCGGGCGCGGTGGCTCACGCCTGTAATCCCAGCACTTTGGGAGGCTGAGGCAGGCGGATCACGAGGTCAGGAGATCGAGACCATCCTGGCTAACACGGTGAAACCACGTCTCTACTAAAAATACAAAAAATTAGCCTGGCGTGGTGGCGGGCGCTTGTAGTTCCAGCTACTCGGGAGGCTGAGGCAGGAGAATCACTTGAACCCCGGAGACAGAGGTTGCAGTGAGCCGAGATTGTGTCACTGCACTCCAGCCTGGGCAACAGAGCGAGACTCCGTCTCAAAAATAATAATAATAATAATAATAATAATAAATGCTGTTGCCTACACCTGTTAGGAGCTCAGGGGACATCCAGGCCCCAGAACTCATCATTTTAGAGTCAAGGAGGCAAGGGCATGAACGTGACGGTTAAGAAGCAGAAACCGTGGCTGGAGAGGAGGAAATCTGCAATTACCAGAAAGTACTGAGATTGTCACAGACAAGAGGAGCCAAGGAGACATGATGACTAAACGTCACGTGGGTTCCTAGATGGGATCCCAGAACAGAAAAAGGACATTAGGTAAAAGCTGAGGACATCAGAATTAAGTATGGGGCTTTAGTTTAATAATAATGCATCAATATTGATTCCCGGGTAGGAGGAGGGTGAGGATTGAAGAACTACCTATCGGGGATTATTGTGCTGATTACTTGGGTGACAAAAGTATCTATCTGTACACCAAACCGCCATGACATGCAATTTACCCATGTAAAAAACCTGCACATGTACCCCCTGGACCTAAAATAAAAGTTGGAAAGAAATAAGTATATTTTACTGGAAACAACATTTGAGTCACTCAGTGTGGCAAATGTACCCTACTCATGTAAGGGTTAATAATAGGGGGTTTTGGGTGTGGGGGACCTCAGTATAACATCTTTGCAACTTTTCTGTAGATCTAAAACTACTCAAAATAAAAAGTGTATTTTAAAAAAAGAGGATTAGGCTTGGTAAGAATTATATTCTTAAAGCAAAGAAAACTGGCATAAATGTTCTTTGATGATGAAGCAGCTTTTTTGTTCTCCTGGTGAGCGCACAGCGCTGTTCCCCTGGAGATCTCAGGAAGGGCTGAGACATCAACTCCCCCAAAGCGGTGGCCTGGAAGAGCACATTCCCTCCGGTGCCTCTTTATTGAATGAGTCACACTATGAATCATCTCTAACGACAGCCTGCTCCCTGAGTCTACCCCACCTTGAGGGCATATCAAGATGGCAGTAATAACACACTTCACGTCCAACCTAATTCTTCTTTGTGACACGTCAGTGAAGAGGCGCAACTCCTGTCAGAAAGAACCACTTCACATTGGAGAATATAAAAGGGAAACTTGAAAACATGGGAATCATCCAATTTTTACCCTGAACTAGGGTCATGATTGTCATTTGGAGCAGCACATTTCTCCACTGCATGTGACATAGAGCTTCTGGTCCCCAAGCATGTGAAAACCAAAAACCACCATACACATTTCCAAATGTCCCCAACTCCCACCCCGCACCTGCCCTACTCCTCAAAGATCAGTAAATGCGACTCAGTCCTGTGAAATGAAACTGGAAGGAAGAAAGGTTTTTTAAATGTTAAAGGAGTAGGAAAACAGACACCCTAAAAAGGAATTAACCACACATGTGACAAAATTGCAGAGAACTGAATACACACACTAGTACAAATCCAGTTGTGGAGATCTCAGTCAGATGAGCAGACTGGACCCACGTCGATACCCCGCTGGGATATTGTACTGTAGCTTTACATGATGTTGCCACTGGAGGAAGTTGGGTAAAGCGTTCCTGGGGTCTCTCCGTATTACCCCTTACAACTGCATGTGAATGTGCAAGTCTCTCAATGAAAATTTCTTTTTTTTTTTCTTTTTGAGATGGAGTCTCGCTCTGTTGCCCAGGCTGGAATGCAATGGCACAGTCTGGGCTCACTACAACCTCCACCTCTTGGGTTCCAGCGATTCTCCTGCCTCAGCCTCCTGAGTAGCTGCGATTACAGGCACCTGTCACTATGCCCAGCTAATTTTTTGTATTTTTAGTAGAAACGGGGTTTCTCCATGTTGGCCAGGCTGGTCTTGAACTCCTGACCTCATGATCCGCCCGCCTCGGCCTCCCAAAGTCCTGGGATTACAGGCATGAGCCACCTCGCCCAGCCTGAAAATTTCAATGGAAAAAAAAAATAGCAAGGGCCAAGGGCAGTTGTTGTTGAATCCTAAATGCTAATCTCCCTCCCCCCACTCCACCAAACTCTCCTACTTCCATTCAGCACCATACAGTGGGCAAAGGTCTAGTTATAGACTCAGGGACACCAGCATTCAAGCCTTGACTCTCACTAGCTGTGTGACCTATGTGTAAGGTACATAACCTTTCTGAACCGCAATTTCCTCATCTAAGAAATATGAATGATGCTACTGATTTATAAGTACTACTGAAATGGTTACATGTCAGATGTGAAGTACTTGGCACAAGGTAGGCACTCCATCAATAGCAGGGATCCATCCCCCTTCTCCAGCCCTTCATTGCTGGTTGCAGAACTTTCTCCATGCAGCACCTTCAACTGCTCTGTACCCCGTTTCTTGCACTGCATCTGTCCCAAAAACTCTGGGCCACACATTCAACCTGCACGTAGACTTCCTGCCTCCTGATACCAAGGGACACTACATGCCAGTAGACAGCCCCACACATGTGCAGGCTGAGCTGAGCCAAGCTTCCACTTTCTGCTCAGGGCAGCTGGCTGCTCGCTTCCTCCCCCAACTCCCTCCCCAGCGTGGCCAGCTGCAGGCCATAAACAAGCCAGCACCTGGAGGGCGTATCGAGACATTTTGGCACCAAAATAACTAGGAGGGTAAGGGCTGTGCTGACCTCTGCTCTCCAGGGATTGGTCTTCCAGCCCTTCCCTCCAGCTCTCTCACCCACGTAGTTCCAAAGGTCGGGCTTATTAACGTCCACCCTGACTTAGGATGTCCTGGGGTCAAGCAATGCAGGAACCAACGGGCTGGTCCTCTCACCAGGCACCACAGGGCAGAATCCCAGGCCCTGGGCTAGCCCAAGAGCTCTAGCAGGAGCTAAACACAGCAGCCTGTGTGCTGTGGCAGAGGACAGGGGAAGGGCTCAGTGCAATGGGGAACAGCTTTGGGAATCCTCAGAGGAGTGTGCCACCCTGGCCATCCCTTGTCTGCGTGCCCTGAGGGGAGCATGGGTTGAAATGGTCGTGCACCATTACCTTAGCATAGAGAGAAAAAGAACGAGGGACTGTGTCTGATCCTGCTAACTCGCAGCCTGAAGGACCAATCTTCCACCTGTAGTCTAGTGTATTATAAATCCTCCTCCCAATGCCAGGATGCGTGAGCCAGCACACGGGTCCACACCTCGCTTTGTCTGGGATCCCATCCAAGCTTCCCAAGTGGAGCCTCCTCATCTAAATCCCAATCTCCAGGACCCGAACAGCTGGAATCCTTCTGAACAACCCCAGATGCTGGGAACCTTCATGTGTATGGAACCCATACCCTGGCCAGCCCTCTGTCGCCATGTTCCATCCCAGAAGCCTGATCCACGTGTACTCCCCATCTAGAACCCCTCCCACTCACCCTCTGCCTTCTGTGAGTGGGTTGAACTGTGGAGGAATCTCCAACCCCCCTTTACCCTGCTCCCTTAAAGCATGGACCAGAGATGGACCAGAGCCTATGCATCTCCATCCTCTCCTTGGCCGCCATGAGCCTGTTCAGTATCTGTGCCATCAGCAGCAGGCCCGGTGGGTACCTCAGGGCAGGAAGGGACCCCACAAAGGAAAGGCCCTGGTATCACCTCTATTATCCCTCCTCCACCTGCAGTTCACCTTCCTCCCTGACACTCAGAGTGCTCTCCCCTATGCCTCTCACGCCCAGTCTCAGTGAAGCACGCTCTAAGTAAGCCCATGTGACTCACAATCAACCCCCTTTTCTGGGACTCTCCATCTCCAGGGCTGGGCTCTGCCATCGCTGACCACGGGGTGTTGATCCTCCCAGCCAAAGCTGAGCCAGTTGGATTCTCCTTCCCAATAACTGCCCACTGGGACCAAGAGACGCAGAGCTGGGAACGTATGGTGCTGAGCTGCATGAAGAGCCGCCCTGGAGAGTGGGTCCCTGACCCCTGAAGCTTCTCTGATTCCTGCTTACCCCAGGTGTGGCAGCTCAGGTTTGTCCTTCAGTTCTCTGATCACACCGGGGTCCTCCCACTACATTCCTTCTCCCCACCTTAATTTAACCAAATCTGATTTTGCTTCTTGCATTGAATAGAACTTTACCAACAACCCAAAGCTCAAACAGACACCTGGACCCAAAAGTTGAATCATTAACCAAGAGTATTTTTGTCCACAGATGTTCTCTGCCCTATTTAACTTAGGAGGCTCTTTAGGGGCCTGGAAGTTGGGACTGGTCAGGTAATTAGAAACATACACTGGTGGCCAGGCGCAGTGGCTCACGCCTGTAATCCCAGCACTTTGGGAGGCTAAGGTGGGTGGATCACCTGAGGTCAGCAGTTTGAGACCAGCCTGGCTAACATGGTGAAACCCTGTCTCTAATAAAAATACAAAAAATTAGGCGGGCATGGTGGCACACGCCTGTAATCCCAGCTACTCAGGAGGCCGAGGCAGGAGAATGGCGTGAACCCGGGAGGCGGAGCTTGCAGTGAGCTGAGATCACGCCACAGCACTCCAGCCTGGGCAACAAGAGCGAAACGAAGGAAGGAAGGGAGGGAGGGAGGAATAAAGGAAGGAAGGAAGGAAGGACAGACGGACAGACGGGAAGGCACTGTTTCCAGAGAAACAGCTCAGACTGGGACTCCTAGGAAAGCCCCTGGACACACCGAGGGCCCCACCTGGTGAGCACATTGATTTCCAGACGCCTTCTCTCCCTCATGGGAGTGGTGAGCCCTTCCGTGGGAGGCTGGCCTCCCTCTCCCCAACCCTCCCACTCCAGGGACCCTAATGGTGGCAGCTTGTGTCATGTCATCAACTCAGCCTCCCCAACAAATCAACCAACTCATGACCCAGGGGAGAACAAACAAGCTTTATTTCTCGGAAGAAGACTCATCCTTTCATACGCAGCATAACTCCAAAGGACTAAACTGTGGGGCTTTGCTCGTTGCACTGGTAACTACAGGTCATTTTCCGGCATCCTGAGCCGACATCTTCACTCATCAACGTCATTCTTGTCTCTCTTCCCCTCCTCAGCTTCTCCTGCATCTTTCAGATTATGGCGAGCAAACTCCTCAAAAACTAAATTTGCATCCTGATAACTAAAATAAAACAAACAACATTTTGATCATTGCACGCCCTTTGAAGCTGAAACTGAAACAAGATCCTTGATCTTTTTGCAACGAAGGAACTGATCAAGGTTTTCCCCATGATAGAACATGGGGGCACGCCATTTTCCTCAAGGCTTCGTTTAAAATTCCTTTAACTAGCACCAATGGGAGAAAACAAAGGCACGCGCAGAGTGAGCAAGCACACCCAGTGTAATGGTGCGTGCGTGCCGTAAGCACTAGGGAGCAGACGGGAAGTAGCGGATGTGCCTCCTGAGCCGGCAGGAGAGCTTGGGATATGTGCAAAGACTCAAAGAGGGTTTTGTGCTGGAGGAGAAGGTCCCAGAGCATAGGACAAATCAGGGCCACATTCAAGAGGCTCACTCACCTTTCCTTAGCTGTAAGCATGGAATAAAAGGGAGGCAGGGAAGAGGGAGAGAGAGACATTTGTTAGTCTAAATTCTATATCATAGCTGTACCTAGAAAATGTCTACCTTTTAGGTGACTTTACAATTTGAGAGATAAGGCCTAGATACATGCAGTTCATGATCACTGCGTGTAATTCCTGCCTCCCTGCCTTTCCCACTGGAACAGCTTTTCTCCTTGCATTTTATTTATTTTATATTTTATTTTATTATTTTATTTTATTTGAGACTGTCTCTCTCTGTCACCCAGGCTGGAATGCAGTGCCACAATCTCTGCTCACTGCAACCTTTGCCTCCTGGTTTCAAGAGTTTCTCGTGTCTCAGGCTCCCAAGTAGCTGGGATTACAGGCATGCGCCATTATGCCTGGCTAATTTTTGTATCTGTAGTAGAGAAGGGGTTTCAACTATGTTGGCCAGGCTGGTCTCAAACTCCTGACCTCAAGTGATCTGCCAGCCTCAGCCTCCCAAGTGCTGGGATTACAGGCGTGAGCCACTGCGCCCGGCCTCTCCTTGCATTTTAAATCACTGCTTCCTTTACAATGTGCCACAGCCTTCACCTCCTCACATGAAACCCCCCCAGTCTCAACTCTAGGATGCTTTCCCTGATCAGCCTTGCCCCCTCTGATGTCGCTTCTCCTTTCTTATTTATTTATTTGAGATGGCATCTTGCTCTGTTGCCCAGGCTGGAGTGAAGTGGCACAATCTCGGCTCACTGCAACCTCCGTCTCCCAGGTTCAAGTGATTCTCCTGGCTTAACCTCCCAAGTAGCTGGGATTACAGGCACCCACCACCATGCCTGGCTAATTTTTGTATTTTTAGTAGAGACGGGGTGTCACCGTGTTGGCCAGGCTGGTCTCGAACTCCTGACCTCAAGTGTTCCGCCCGCCTTGGCCTCCCTGCCCAGCCAGTTGCTTCGCCTTTCAAAGTATTTCTCCTTCCATGTCCTCGGGACCCCATTGAGGTCAGGGTCGCCAGGGTGCCGTGAGCATGTGCACCCTGGCACCTCCATCTGTCAGGCTTCAGAGGCCTGAGACCTGGGACTTGACGTTCACCAGCACCCCAGGGTTAGAGTGTGCATTAAAGCTTGAGGACCAACCCCCAGCCGCAAAGTTTTCAATTTCTGTTAACATATTGATTTTGTTGTTGTTGAGTTATGTTTTCACATGTGTTGTATCCCCAGACTAACTGCTATTAATTTGAATGGTTTTTGTACTTTTTTAGCTTTCTGCCCACCTAGTTTTGGGGAGCACAGCGGCGATTTGATGGTGAGCCCCTACTCTCGCCTCTGGTGCCCACCTGGAAGCCAGCACTGGGAGGGAGTGTCTATGAGGGTCGCTACGTACAGGGGCCCTAGAGAGGCTAGCTTGTCAAAACATCCCCTGAGCAAGAAATACCCTGCGGCCCACAGTGCTCAGCGAAGAAATTACACTAAGCGGGACCATCAGCCTTGCAGAGGTAGACAACAAGGAAGAATCAAATCAGCATCTTCGGATTCAGTAAAGATGCCCTTGACAGGGGACAATAAAAACTTGGTAGCATGTCACAGCACTTATTACACACAAATTACTTGGTCCCCAGGCTCCAGCAGGGCTTAACTACATATAGCTTATGCTTTCTCTGCTTAGAATCCTACCAGCCTAGACTCAGGGAGCCGAGAACTAGGCAGAGAAGACAGGAGAGATGACATTTATCTCTAGAAATCTCATCTATCTCATATCTATCTCATATCTCTAGAAATCAGAATTTTGTAACCATGGGGTGATTTGTCTTAACCTTTGCTCCCAGAAATCTCACAGTACAAAAGATCATTGTTTCATCCTGACATTGTGATATGTTCACTGTTAAGGCCATAATGACTGGAACGTGAAAGTTGTATATGGAAAAGAATTTAAAAAAATTAAGTCAGGCCGGGCACGGTGGCTCACGCCTGTAATCCCAGCACTTTGGAGGGCTGAGGCGGGCAGATCACCTGAGGCCAGGAGTTTGAGACCAGCCTGGCCAACATGGTGAAAACCCATCTCTACTAAAAATACAAAAATTAGCCAGGCGTGCTGGCGCGTGCCAGTAATCCCAGCTACTTGGGAGGTTGAGACAGGAGAATCACTTGAACTCGGGAGGCGGAGGTTGCAGTGAACCGAGATCATGCCACTGCACTCCAGCCTGGGTGACAGAATAAGACTATGTCTCAAAAAAAAAAAATTAAGGCATAAAGTCTACTCAAAGTTCCAGAAAACAACCCAACATAAACTATGACATCTCCTCAAGTGACTATCTTTTTAATGTCCTTGAAAGGAACCAGAAAGCATCTTAATCCCACACCATGAAAAAGTAACATTTTAATGACACAAGCATAAATGAACTGAAAACATATAGCTGGACTACATTTTTCTCCAAGGGACAGTTTTGGAAAAGTTCATTGAGGATCTGAATCCAAAGTATTTGGAAGAGCTATTTTGAAACAAAGTACTGTTGAGACAAAACCTAAAATGAATAGTGGGGGCTCATTCTAATGTTTAAACGGCATTTCACTACCAATATAGAAAAGCTATTTGTAAAGTATGAGAAAAATAAACCCTGCTTGTTTATACCACTTTTACTTAAAATATCCCTTATTCCTATACCTACGGAGAGTTCTCATTTAGACAGATCTGTTTTTCTTTCCCGTCAACTAAGCTGCCTCGATGCAGAGAATGTTTCTTCAGAATTTCTGAGATTTCACCTATATTATTTTTGCTGCTTCATTTACCTTTTTAGAAAGAGAATGATTGAGATCAAATTCATATATCATACAATTTACCTTTTCACAGTCGACAGTCTAGTGGTTTTTATATGTTTTCAGAGTCATACAACTATTGCATCATTTCGCATCCATACAAGAGCCAGTAGATTTATAATTCAAATGAGCTGAGGTGTCAGGAACCCAGCCTGACCCTCTTTTCTAGTATTTTCTGTATTCTTACCATAACTGCCACTGTCAAAAATAGTTATCTTCAGGCCGGGCGCCGTGACTCACGCCTGTAATCCCAGCACTTTGGGACGCTGAGGCGGGTGGATCACCTGAGGTCAGGAGTTCAAAACTAGCCTGGCCGACATGGCGAAACCCCGTCTCTACTACAAATACAAAAATTAGCCAGGTGGGGTGGCAGGCGCCTGTAATCCCAGCTATTCAGGAGGCTGAGGCACGAGAATCACTTGAACCCGGGAGGCAGAGGTTGCAGTGAGCCGAGGTTGTGCCACTGCACTCCAGCTGGGTGACAGAGACTCCATCTCAGAAAAAAAAAAAAAAAAAAAAAACCCCAAAAAAAAACAGTTATCTTCAGCCAGGTGCAGTGGCTCATGCCTGTAACCCCAGCACTTTGGGAGGATGAGGCAGAAAGATCACTTGAGCTCAGGAGTTCAAGACTAGCCTGAGCAACATGGCAAGACCTCATCTCTACTAAAAATCAAAAACATTAGCTAAGGGTGGTGGTATGCCTGTAGTTCCAGCTACTTCAGAAGCTGAGGTAGGAGGGTGGGTTGAGCCCAGGAGGTTGAGGCTGTAGTAAGCTTGATCACACCACTGCACTCCAGACTGGGTGACAGAGTGAGACTCCGTCTCAAAAAAAAAAAAAAATTATCTTCTTTTAAATGTCTGTTAATGCTTTCAAATGAAACATGAGGCCTTTTGTTTCCAAATGAAATGCAAAATCCTCGTGCTCTAAAATTAAGTTTTTACCTAAATCATCTTTAATTCTAAATCCAGGTCTGTTGACAGCAGAGCTTCTGCTCTTAAATCATTCATGATAAAACCTCACGAGATTGTCCCTGTCCAAGAGCAAGGATGCTACATCTTGCAGACTCCAGCTGAAGGTGGATAATCTACCCGGCTCAGCGCTGAACAGATGGGCCCTCCCTTCCCCCCAGACTATTCACCTTGTAGATCACATGGAATCTCTTACACCTGGCCACTCCCATGCTCTGAGATGCGGTCAAGAAAGACTAGAAATACATCAACAATAAATCTGCAAGTAGCAAATAATTAAAGAAAGCTAAAAAAGGACATAACTGACCTGGGTCCTCAGGCTGAGGGTGCATGAGGCGGAATGGGACCTCAGTGGCGACTTCACTAGAAAAAAAGAATGAAGATTGGTGTGAACACCCATACACACAATTGTAAGTAACACAGCAAAGACCTATGGCTGCGGAGAGTCACAAAAGATCCCCAGGCCCAAGCTGAAAGACAATGCAGTGGGAACTTTTTTTTTTTTTTTTTGAGATGGAGTCTCGCTCTGTCGCCCAGGCTGGAGTGCAGTGGCGCAATCTCGGCTCACTGCAACCTCCACCTCCTGGGTTCATGCAATTCTCCTATCTCAGCCTCCCGAGTAGCTGGGACTACAAATGCATGCCACCATGGCCTGGCTAATTTTTGTATTTTTAAAAAGTAGAGATGGGGTTTCACCATGTTGCCCAGGCTGGTCTTGAACTCCTGATCTCAAGTGATCCACCTGCCTCAGCCTCTCAAAGTGCTAGGATTATAGGCATGAGCCACCCTGCCCAGCTTCATCATTTTAAAGTGCACAATTCGGTGGCATTAAATACATTTACGCTGTTATGCAACCATCACCACTATCTAGTTCTAGAACATCTTTATTACCCAAAAAGAAAATCTCATCCCCCTTAACCAGTCACTCTCATTTTCCCTCCCTATAGTCCCTGGCATAACCACTAATCTGTTCTCTATCTCTATAGATTTGCCTGTTCTGGATATTGTGTGTAAATGGATTCATACAATATGTGGCCTTTTGTTATTGGTTTCTTTCACTTAGCGTAGTGTTATTAGTATAAGGTTTATCCATGTTGTAGCATGTACTAGTACTCCATTCCTTTTTATGGCTCAGTAATATTCCATTGCATGGATATACCACATTTTGTTTATCCCATTCATCTGTTGGTGGACATTTGGGTTGTTTCTACCTTTTGGTATTGCAAATAGTGACAGCTGCCTTTTAAATTATGCACGAAGCAGCAGCAAGTTAAGAAACATTTGAGACAGGCATTGAGGTTATGTACTGCATCATCTCAGCTCTTAGTCGGGCATAGTGGCGTGCACCTGTAATCCCAGCTACTCAGGATGCTGAGGCAGGAGAATTGCTTGAACCAAGGAGGCAGAGGTTGCACTGAGCCAAGATCATGCCACTGCACTCGAGCCTGGGCAACAGAGCAAGACTCTGTCTCAAAATAAAATAAAATAAAATAAAACAAAACGGTTAAAATGGTAAAATTTGCCAGGTGTGGTGGCTCATATCTATAATCCCAGCACTTTGGGAGGCCAAGGCAGGATCATCACTGGAGGTCAGGAGTTCGAGACCAGCCTGGCCAACATGGGGAAACCCCGTCTCTACTAAAAATACAAAAATTAGCCAGGTGTTGTGGCACACGCTTGTAATCTCAGCTACTCAGGAGGCTGAGGCGGGAGGATTGCCTGAACCCAGGAAGTGGAGGTCACGGTGAGCCGAGATCACGTCACTGCACTCCAGGCTGGGCCACAGAGTGAGACTACATCTCAAAAAATAAAATAAATAATATAATGGTAAAATTTATGTTATGTGTATTTTACCGCACACAAACACACACACACACACACAAGCTGGCTGCATGGAGTGTGCCAGTTTTCTGGGTGTGTATGTGTGTGTCCTTACCCAGGCATAGGTCTAGCTGTGGTCCCAAAGAAATCTGGTCCCAAAGAAACGCCTATGAGCCACGGTTCTGTGATGCATCCGAAGGCAAAGCATCATTCCTAACACCTCTGAGCACAACTGTCCAGAAAGCAGCTTTCATCAGAAACCGTTTTGGAGCCCCAAGTTTGCTGCCTTTGATATCTTGAGAAACAATCAAACAAGGAAGGTGAACAGGCTTACCTGGAGGTGAGCTCTCCCAGAAAGCTAGAAAACACAAACAAACGCCTGTCGTTAACTGTCACAGTGGTAACACGACCCTTTCCCATGATTCAGAGGCAGGACACAGCCCAGCTCTCATGGCCCTTGCACCCGAACTCACAACATCCAGGGTCTTCCCATCCCTTAATGTTCAACTTCATTACCTGTGACTTCATCTCTTTCTCAAGATGATTAGTTTAAAAAGGCCGGGCATGGGGGATCATGCCTGTAATCCCAGCACTTTGGGAGGCCGAGGTGGGCGGATCACTTGAGGTCATGAGTTCCAGACCAGCCTGACCAACGTGGTAAAACCCCATCTCTACTAAAAATACAAAAATTAGCCGGGCATGGTGGCAGGCGCCTGTAATCTTAGCTACTCGGGAGGCTGAGGCAGGGGAATTGCTTGAACCTGGGAGGTGGAGGTTGCAGTGAGCTGAGATCATGCCACTGTACTCCAGCCTGGGTGACAGAATAAGACTCCGTCTCAAAAAAAAAAGTTGGCTGGGCACGGTGGCTCACACCTGTAATCCAGCACTTTGGGAGGCTGAGGTGGGCAGATCACTTGAGGTCAGAAGTTCGAGACCAGCCTGGCTAACATGGTGAAACCCCGTCTCTACTAAAAATACAAAAATTAGCCAGGCATGGTGGTGGGCACCTGTAATCCCAGCTACTCAGAAGCTGAGGCAGGAGAATCACTTGAACCTGGGAGGTGGAGGTTACAGTGAGCCGAGGTCATGCCACTGCACTCCAGAGTGAGAGATTACATCTCAAAAAAAAAAAGTCAAGCCCTAACATTCAAGATAAGTCACAAGAGGTCATTGTGAAATACCTGCTGGTTGCTTTCCTTGACTGCTAAAAGAAACTCCACCCTGTTTTTAGATCCTTTTATGCACTATCCACAGTGAAAAAAAAAAAAAAAAAAACACTATGCTAACGAAAAATGCAAAATAGACCCATGTTCTACTTTGTTAGAAATTTGGGAAACTCTTTTTAAACGCTTATTTTCCTCAAGGGAATTCTTTACTACTTAGAAGTATGAAACCTAGGCACAGACTTGCCTTTGATGGCAGAACTACCCAAGGCTCATCCAGGTAAAAGGCCAGAGCCTTTGGCAATGGAATTTGAAACGAAAATGAGAATTCAAGTTTTTCCCTTTTGGTAAGATTAAACAAATGGAAGAAACTGGCTTCACATGAAAATGAAAGTGGAAACCTGTTCCCTTAAAACTCTGAGATATTGGCACTCTTGTATGAAAAGAAGACTCCTGTGCCCTGTGATTACATGTGTGAGAGGGGAGGGGAAAGTCCCCACTTTATGGATGGATACCTTCTAAGATGCAAAAACATGAAGATTTACTGAGAGTTCTTTCACAGCAGTTATTCTTTTCTGAAGGATAACATTTGACTAATCCTCATTCTTGCACATCAGCTTCTACCACATGCACATATGCACACGTATTTTTGCAAAGTGGCGCTAAGAATGCACACATTTCAGAGTCTGCTTCTCCACCCTTTCCCACCTGACATTTTATCAGACAGAAGCATGGTACTAGACAAACAGAATCTCTCCCAAGCTCTACTTGGTAATCCTTGGTAGAAGCTATGGGCCTTTCCTTGCTTTCTGTCTCCCAGTCATTCAGGAAAGGAAAAGTTCAGACCATCTAAGACCAGGACAGAGCAGCCCGAGGGTTGGTGCCGGGACACTTACCCTGACACTGTGAGCTTCACCTTGATCTGGTAAGACACCAGGATTCCCAGGACGGTCCGGTCTATGCCCTCCTTAATGCTGCCCAAACAGAAGGGAAAAGGAGAATGATGGAGAGCAGAGGAGGGTGAAGAGCAGATGGGCAGCCTTTCCATTCGAGGCAGGCATGCCGTCATGGAGGTTCTCCAGGGACTGGTGAACTCACTGAGCTTCCAAAGTCCTAGAAGTTCATGTACTTGGGGAGTGGGTATGGGGACTCCTTGCACGCACTGGAGGAATTCCTGTGTCTTCTCCTCTAGAAGTTCCCAGAGGGCAGAGCATGCAACCCCCTTCTCTGTGCTTGACCTCTATAGATGCACATCCCCCGGTCATCCTCCTCAGCAACTCCCTCCTACCACTTGCCAAAACTGCAAGTCCCCAAGTCCTCCAGCAGGCTTTGCCTGCCTGGATTATCTCAGTAACTCATCTCCCACGTGCCAGGCCCCTTCTCTGAGCTCTGTGGCCATCTGCAGGTTCAGCCTCAGAAGCAGCCTGTGAGCTGCCCTGGCCTGCCTTTGCTACTTCACCCCCAGCTGTGTCCCAGCGCCCCCCGCGCCAGTCTTGCCAACACAACCCTGCACCAGAATGCCCCCTCCTTCTCTCCTGCCTTCCAAGATATCCAGCTGTGTGTCCCCAGCACCCAGCATCAGACCTGGCACCAAGTGAGAGCTGTCAATGTTTAAGTGAATGAGCAGGATGTGCGAGACCCTCAGATGTGCCCCAAAGACAGTGCAATGTGACGTTCCTTGACAGAAATGTCATTCCAGATCCCACTAATACGTACTGAAGTTCTACTATCTGGCAGGCACTGTGCCGGGCATTTCATCACAGATGCTTATCGCGTGGGATCCAACGCGGAGGACATGAGTACTCCAGGATGTCCAATAACAGGAATTAAGATATGAAAAAAATCATGAAATGCTAACAAAAATCATGTAAATAATGATAGAAAAAAAGCCCAAGAAACCTGAAGGCTACAGGCAGAAGGCAGGGAAGGATGGAACAGCTCTGGAAAAAGAGTTGGGGCGGCGGCCAGCAGGTGCTGGGCCTGGAAGAAGACGTCAGCTCGGGAACCTCTGAGGGGAGGTGTCTCAAGCACGTGTTTCCAGGACCACAGTGCTCCCCAGAGAGCTCCTTCAGCTCACTGGCGTCTGGAGCTCATTTAAAAGAGGACAGAATAGCCAGACGTCGTGGCTCACACCTTTAATCCCAGCACTTTGGGAGACGGAGGCGGGCAGATCGCTTGAGTTCAGGAAATTCAAGACCAGCCTGGACAACATGGCGAAACCCCATCTCTATTGAAAGTACAAAATTAGCCAGGCGTGGTGGTGGGAGCCTCTAATCCCAGCTACTCAGGAGGCTGAGCCAGGAGAATCCCTTGAACTTGGGAGGTGGAGGTTGCAGTGAGCCAAGAACGCGCTACTGCACTCCAGCCTGGGTGACAGACTGAGACCTTATCTCAAAAAAAAATAAAAATAATTTTTAAAAGAGGACAGAATATCTTTATCTGGACTTGCGGAGTATGGCCAAGTACCTGGTGAAGAGAGGATACCTCCAAAGGGAAAAAAGGGGTACAAGCTTGAGATCCCCCTCTTTGCTGGGATTGACTTTTTTTTTTTTTTGAGACAGGGTCTCATTTTATCACCTAGGCTGGAATGCAATGGCATGATCATAGGTCACTGTAGCCTCGACCTCCTGGGCTCAAGCTATCCTGTCATCTCAGCCTCTCAAATAGCTGGGACTACAGGCACGTGCCACCATGCCCAGCTAATGTTTTAATTTTTTGTGGATATGGGTTTTCGCCATGTTGCCCAGGCTGGTCTCAAACTCCTGGGCTCAAGCGATTCGCCCACTCTGGCCTTCTAAAGTGCTGGGATTACAGGTGTGAGCTACTCCTCCCAGCTGAGATTAACTCTACCTTGCGCTGAATGGGGCCAAGCAGCTGCTGAACTGAACATGCTCTGCCACGTGCCTGAGAACACCCTGCAAGTCAGAACCCCTGGCATCTTCCTGGGCTGGGAGATTTGCTGTGGAGTGGACTTTGCTCTGCTATTAACTGATTCAGTGACCTTGGATAAGTCTTTCATTCTGGCTCAACCTCAATTTCCTTACCCATAAAATGCATATAAATATACCTTCCTCATGGAGGTGTGGAGAGTCATAAATGATTTTTTTGTTTTGTTGGTTGGTTTTTTTTTTTTTCTGAGATGGAGTCTTGCTCTGTCACCAGGCTGGAGTGCAATGGCACGATCTCGACTCACCACAACCTCCGCCTCCCGGGTTCAAGCGATTCTCCTGTCTCAGCCTCTCGAGTAGCTGAGATTACAGGCACCCACCACCACACCTGGCTAATTTTTGTATTTTCAGTAGAGACAGGGTTTCACCATGTTGGCCAGGATGGCCTCCAACTCCTGACCTTAGGTGATCCACCCGCCTCAGCCTCCTAAAGTACTGGGATTACAGGTGTGAGCCATCATGGCCGGCCGAGTCGTACATGTTTAGAAACTAGTCCACACACCATGAAACATTCCCACAGTGTGGTGAGCCATCATTGTTCATCTTACGATCCCTACGCCCTTGAATACATTGATCTAGGCTCTCAGTTTCCCTGATATTCTCTCTCCCGGAGCTTCACGAATGTGCTTTAGAATCTAACACAGTAACTTGGCCAATTATCCTCAGAAAATCCTTTGACTTCCACCTGCTTTCTGCCAATTGTTCACTGTTCCCCACTCTTGGTCTCAGAGAGTGTGAGCTACTGAGCATCGGAGTCATGGGGTCAAACAATCCAGTCTCCCAGCCATTGGCATCACCTCGGAGGTGGTCTACTGGGGCCACAGAGGGAACCCCCAGCATATCACATGGGGAGGTGGCAGTGAGTGGGCCTTGAGCCCACAGACATGCTCCCGGGAAGGGAAGCGCAAAAGCGTGGCTTGGAAGGACAGTGGACGCTGACTTGGGAACTTCACTGTATAGTCTTCGCTAGATCTGCTGCCCAAATTCAGCCAGTCGTCCTTTGAGTCAGGGTCAGCAGATCAGTACTTAGTTTCATTTAAATTTAATGGACATCTAAAGTCATTAGGACCTCCTGTTCTTTACAATTCCTGATGGAAATGGACGAATGAATGAATGAATGAATGAACACAGCCAAGAGCATTACTCAGTTTACATGCTTAGGGCACCACACTAGCTAGTGATACTTCTAAAAACAGTAGCTGACATTCCTGGAGCACTCTCTGTGTGTCAGGCCCCACGCTTCACATGGATTGTCTCACTGAATCCTTATAATCACTCTATGAGACTTGAACTATTACCGCCCCCACTTTACAAACAGGAAAACTGAGGTTCTCAGAGAACTCAAGGTGTTTTCCCAGGGTCAGCAGCAGAGCTGGGGTTAGCGCACAGCTGTCTCCAAGGCCCATGGGTGTAACCCCCACATCACACCAGGGGTGAGAGTGGGATCCTTGTGTGGGCCCGTAGATATGCACTCCACACTACACACGCCAGACCACCATGCTGCACGTGCGTGCCTGCGAGCCCAGCAGGGTGATGTGAAGGGAAGCAGACCAGCACCAGCCCGCCCTGCCAGGGCTTATTCCCTGAGCCTCGAGGACTCACATGGTGCTGGAGGCAAGGTTTGTGTCCTCGTGCTTGATTTTCCCATCCAGGGCAATGCCTCTCCTTTCTCGATTGTTAGCCAGCAAGGGCAGCAGCGTCAGCGTCTTGGTCAAAGTGCTGTTTGGTGGCACTTTTTCTCTAGAGGAAGAAGAACAGAGGAGATTTATAACCATCAAAGCTGCCATGGACCCCATGAGCCCCTATTTGACATTAGGCATTTTCCAGGATCCACATCCCCTGATGGACCTCCTGGGAAGGTGGGTTCAAGAGCCTGGGAACTTGACTTACGAGAAGCAGAACAGTGCTTGTGAAATCTCAGGGTGGGCTGGCAGCAACAGGAGGATATTTCTTCAAGCAACTCAGCCTATTCTGAATTGCTGAATTTCTAGAATGTTCTATGGAGTTAATGAGACAAACTGGCTCAAGAGTCAGAGACCACAGCCTCCTCCTGAGACTTTGTGAACCACACGGTGGCCTGCAGAACCTTCTGGTTGGTGTCAGCAACGAGTCCAGGCCAGAAAGCCTCTTGTCACCAAAAACTGTCACTATAAGGGGGTCACAGTGTGACTGTGTGGTAAGTTGTCTAGAGGGGCAACGCAGGGACCCACAATTTGTGGATCACACAGACCGAATAGCTTGGGTCCAAAGCAGCACATGCTCTTTCTCTACTGGATCTTCTTCATCATCAGTCGGGGTATAGATTTCTCAACATCTGACAGATGGCGGAGACCCTGTGCCAACAGGCGGGTCTGGGATCCAGCTGGGGACACAGCAATGTGTGTTTCTCCAGGCAGACACACGGCAGCATGGCCAGGATCATGAAGCAGCCTCTGCGGCTGGAGAGTTGGCTCCTCCACTCACGTGCATGCTGTGTGCCAGGCCAAGTGCTAAGGCCTGTCCTCAAAACTCTCACCTTACCCTCATCAACCCCATACCAAGCAGGTGCTCCAAGATCCCCATTTTCCAGACGGGAAGTGTGCCCACAGTCACGTGGCTGCACACTCTCTGACAGCAGAGCCCATTCGTGCCGGAAGCACACCCTCCATCCTGTGCCTAGCCAGAACAAGGTGGGGTGTGGCCAGCATCAGGACCATTCTAAGGCTGTCCTGAGACAGCTGGAAGTCTGAACTGCCTCTCTGGGAAAGGACTTCCTTTCCCTAATCAAGTTTCCCTGGATAGGTAAAAGCAGCTGTCCCCTATCCTGCCTCCAGTGTCTACAGGAAGCTCTTTACAGAAATCTGCCAGAGCCCAAGGTGGCCCACATCCTACCATCTGGGTCCTGGTGGAACCTCTCTTAATGAGCGTAATTTGAGCATTGAAAAAAGCAGAAACAGCATTGTAAAGATGGCTGGAATAGGAAGAGGGCCCTTGGGGTTGGGCTCAGAGGATGGACTTTTTGTGTTTGTGCAGAGCTTGCCAAAGGACTATGCCAAGGCTCTGGGGCCACTCCCCAGAGCTTCAGGATGTGGGTTTGGATGGTGGGGAGCAGCTTGGGAGTCAGGTCTGTCCTGGTTCCGTGGAAGCCTGCCCACTAAAGCCCCAGAAGCCACAGGGCTCTGGGACGATGGCTCCTGCTCTGCAGCTTTCTGAGTGGCCTCTAGCTTCAGACTTGTCAGCATGGTCCAGTCCAGCTCCCAGGCTCCTCCAGCCTTTGGGGGACTTTGGAATGCTTTCCAGTTTCCTGGGAATCTTTGACCCAAAATGCACCCAACACTTTGAAAGAGGACCAGGTGATGGAATACATATTAGGGGAAAACTCAGCCAGGATCCTTTGCTCCCATGTTGCTGAGCACATGAGGAAAGGTGAACCAGGGCCAAGACCCCTCCAGGGCACAGGGATGTGCGAGGATCCCCTAAAGGCAGAACAGAGCCCAATCTTGGCAGAAAGGAGGCAGTGAGTGGTGGTTCTTTCCTGTCTCCCTCCCTTGTAGACCTACAGTTTGAATCTGTTTTGAATAACAGTAATAGTTTCTCCTAAAGTTGCCTTTTAAATATTCCCATATAGGCCAGGTGCGGTGGCTCACGCCTGTAATTTCAGCACTTTGGGAGGCTGAGGCAAGCAGATCACCTGAGGTCAGGAGTTTGAGACCAGCCTGGCCAACAGGTGAAACCCTGTCTCTACTAAAAATACAAAATCAGCCAGGCACGGTGGCTCACTCCTGTAATCCCAGCACTTTGGGAGGCCGAGGTGGGCAGATCACCTGAGGTCAGGAGTTCGAGACCAGCCTGGCTAACATGGTGAAACCCCATTTCTAATAAAAATACAAAAAATTAGCCAGGGGTGGTGGCGTGTGCCTGTAATCCCAGCTACTCAGGAGGCTGAGGCAGGAGAATCACTTGAACCCAGGAGGCAAAGGTTGCAGTGAGTCAAGATCGCGCCATTGCACTCCTGCTTGGGCAACAAGAGCAAAACTCCGTCTCAAAAAAAAAAAAAAATACAAAATTAGCTGGGCTTGGTGGCGGGCTCCTGTAATTCCAGCTACTTGGGAGACTGAGTCAGGAGAATGGCTCGAACCTGGGTGGTGGAGGTTGCAGTGAGCTGAGATCTCACCACTGCACTCCAGCCTGGGCAACAGAGTGAGACTCCATCTCAAAAAAATCTATCTATTACCTTATATTATCTTAAGGAATCAGTTGTCTTTCATCATTCCCCTACCCTAACCTTCCTCTAACCCTGATAATATTTTTTACATACAACGGTGCTTAGAACATGCCAGCAAGGCAAAGAGTTAAGACCTGGTCGAGCTATCCTCTCGGGGGGCTGGAGGTGGGAGATCATCGCCCCCCACTCCAAGCCATGTATTAAATGAATCTATTTGACTTTGTGGCACACAGCAAAGCTGGGCAGGTCTCTCAGGCCAGCATAAAGGAACCATGGCAGGATTCTCATTTGTTTTTGATTCTAACAAAGGGGAAAAGTCATTCACAACAACAGGCTAAGAACAGATATATTCTAATCCAGTTGTCACTGGTATAAGATTTCAATTTGAGATCAAAAGATAGGGAATCCTAGCCTGGGCTGACAGTTCATTTGACCATCTTCTGGGAGGTGGAAATAGTACCAAATTCCTAACAATTCATTCCAAGGATAAATAGAAAAAGCCAGCTGATCCCATGGTGACATTTCTGTCTTTATTTCTCTCCTCTGCGTCATTCTTTGGCTTGCATTAATCCTCAGAACTCCTGTAAGATGGGCACAGAGGGGTGTGGTAGATGCAGAGCTAAGATGCTAACTTTCTGTGCAGCCCTCGAAGGGAGAAAGAGGAAGGAAGTGGAAGGCTGGCGAGCTAGCTGAACATTCTAGTTCCTTCTTCAGCAATAAACGGCGAGAAACTTGACACAGAAGGCTGAGACGCCCAGGAAACGGAAACCCCAACAGCTACTCACTGCGCTTCCTCCATAGCCACGGGCTTGACGTAATAATCACTCGAGTAGAGAACCACATTGGCCACCTGTTCCACTGCAAGGGGAAGACGGGAGTCCGGTGGTCAGCACTGGTCCCCCAACACGTGCACTTTCCCTGCGGCCTCCCAGGGTACACGCTGGTCTCTCCTCTCTGATGATGGTTTCCCTCCACTTCCAAGGCTAGGCTTTCTCAGCCCTCAGCTTCAAGGCTGGGGTTTTGAAGTCCTGTCTCCAGGCCATTTCTGGTCACCCATAACCTGCTCTGTATCAACTCCCACCCATGTCCCCTAAGGCTGCAGCTCCTGGGAGACCCCTCCTTTCCCCTGCTCAGCCCTTTCTAACATCCTCCATCTTACTTCATGAACATTGTCCTTCCTGTCCTCCAAGAGACTAGCTAGAGGCAGTACAGGACTGGTTGGTGGGTGGAACGTGGTGGATAGGAAGGTGGGCCTGGAGCCAGGCTGTTTGGGTGCCAATCTTGGCTTAGCCACTAACTGTGGGGTGAATTATTTATCTATTCTAAGCCTCAGTTTCCCCATCAGTAAAATGGGGGTAATAATTGCATCTAACTCATAGGGACGTTGTGATGATTAAAAAGATGACTTTTAATCACCTTTAAAATTAAGCTTGAGGATTTTTTTAAAAAATAAAGGCAGGGTCTCCCTATATTGCCCAGGCTGGTCTTGAACTCCTGGGCTCAAGGGATCCTCCCACCTTGGCCTCCCAAAGTACTGGGATTACAGGCGTGAACCACTGCACTCAGCCAAAGTTTGAGGATAAAGAAACAATTTGTGCAAGGCATGCAGTACAGTGCCCAGCCTATAGAAAGCAATTAATATTTTGTTTTTAAAAAGTTAACAGCTATCCGGGTGCAGTGGCTCACACCGGTAATCCCAGCACTTTGGGAGGCTGAGGCGGATGGATCACCTGAGGTCAGGGGTTTGAAACCAGCCTGGCCAACATGGCGAAATCCCCATCTCTACTGAAAATACAAAATTAGCCAGGCAAAATTGGTGCACGCCTGTAATCCCAGCTACTTGGGAGGCTGAGGCAGGAGAATGGCTTGAACCCAGGAGCTGGAGGTTGCAGTGAGCCGAGATCACACCACTGCACTCCAGCCTGGGTGACAGAGGGAGACTGTGAAAGAAAGGGAGGAAGGAAGGAAGGAAGGAAGGAAGGAAGGAAGGAAGGAAGGAAGGAAGGAAGGAAGGAAGGAAGGGAGGGAGGGAAAAGTCTAGAATTCCTTAGTCTGCACGCATCAGGATTTCTGACCCTCATCTGTGATGACTCACAGGGAAAAGTGGTATATGACACCTAGGGCCACTGCTCACCCTGGCTTGCCCGGGAGAGCCCATTTTAGGACTGGAAGTTCCACATCCTCAGTCCTGGGCCCTGGGACAGTCACCCCAAGATGCATAAGTCTAACTTTGTCTTGGTCATTGAATGTTTGAGTTAAAAAGTGAACTTAGAGGTTACCCTCACAGGTCATTCCATCATGTCTTCCTCATGAAAGAGCCAAATAAGACCATTATATAAGACCCCCTGTGCTTTGATGCTTTTTGAGCTTAGTTAATGTGTGGGAACAACAGGCAGAAGGCACCTCCCCTGTAGGATATGGGAAGGTCAGCCATGACATGATGGCCATTTGAGCCGAGACAGTCACACTTCACCATTTACAAAGCGCTTCCATGTGGGACCTCCTTCAAGCCACACAAAGCCTGGGAAGGTAGACAAGGAGCCCCTGCTGTGGATGCCAGCTGGGATCACAGAGCCCACAGCATGAGTCCACAAATTAGGCCTCACCCACAACAATGTGCTGCATCTGTCAACCACAATGAGCACTGTGGGGCCCTCCAGGAAGGCATAACCATGGAAAGAGATCACTTGCCAGGAATTTTGTTCCAAGACAAAAACCAGCCGTAAGTGGGCAGGAAGTTGAATGAGATAACTTGTAAGGCCTTTCTCCCTCCGCAGTCCTGCTGCCTATGACAGCAGAGACAAGTAGCCAGTTCCAAGGACCCAGAAGGGCCTTATCAGACCAGAGAAGTGACCTCTCAGGAAACAGGATCAGAAATTCTAGAAGACTATGCCCTCTACTTCTGAGAAGAAGGTCCTACCGAATGCTTTAATCTTCTTCACGGTCTTCTCTGTGTTATTGGTGACAGTCACGGTCACAGGGATGGGCTCCCCATGGAAATAGATCTAGAAAAGTCAGCAGATAGGTCAGAAGAAGAGAACAGATGTGGCGGTGTCTTTAATCTTACTGCTTTCTAGATTCATCTCAATCCCTTTCACTGGAATAAAAGCGGCAGAATTTAAGGAAGATGAAGTGATAGCAATACATTTCTTCTAAGGAAGGGCCTGAAACACATTCCACCCATCTGTGGGAAGCTGGGGAGGGGAACAGAGTTCCGATCATCACATCGGAGGAGGCCAGGGGTCAGGAGGTTATGGGGGCAGGATGAGTGAAGTGAAAGGAAACCACTGGGAAAGCCAAGTGCTGGCATCCCACCCAGCAGAGCCCGTGTAACACAGCCCCTGGCACACCCACACACGTGTATACACACAGTGCACAAATGGCTGACTGCTGACCAGAGGAACCAGAGCCAGCCTTGGCCAGCAGCTCTCACCTTTTCCCACCATGACACCCCTAAGAGATGACATCACAGGTGACACTGCCATCCCACATGGTTTCTGCAAAACTTAAATTTCCCAGGAAGTGAAGAATTTGGGATACCACAGCTATTGATGCTCCATGAGTGAACAAGGCCCATGGAGGTGGACAGGACAAGGACAGCTGGGGGGCAGGTATGTGAAAAGCAGCGCCCCTTCCTTCCCCAGTCCCTCGGGACAGCCAGTGGGTGGAACGCAAGCCAGTTCCGTCCTCCTCTAAGGACCATGCTGACCAGCTCCAGGCTGTGAAAACAGGCCAGTCACTTACGCATGTTGGTGCTTTATCCTAGAAACAAGCTTCCTTGCAAGGCACCCATGTAGTTAAGGGCTGGGGCTGGTGAAGAGAGGGGTGTGGGGCCTGCCCCTAGGCCTGCTGCCCTGCGGGTAGTAGCGATGGTAGGTGGTTACCTCTTTGTTGAGAGAGACCGCAAGGTGCAGGGGCTTGTCAGACATGAAGAACTGCCAGGCCGCCTCAGCTCGGGGCTGGGGACCCATCTCAAGTGGGGCATGCTGTACTTTGCGGATCAGTAATCGCACGGAGCTCCTGTGGGAAACAGCCACAGACAAGCCAGGGATTGGCACCCAGGCCGCTTTAGGGAGGCTTCTGTTCTCTCCCCACTGTCACATGGAGATTCTCCAGGAATGCTCCCCATGGAGACAGGGTGGACGGGAAGAGGGCAACGACACTGGTCAGAGCCTGAGGCAGCCCTGACGGTGGAAGAGCCTGGGGGTCTGGGTCCTGGTCCCTTCCCTGTGGGGGAAGCTGTGGGGCCAGGCAACATCCCGAGGGCCAAGCTTAGCCCCTTAGGCTCCGTGGATTCCCAGCTCTGCCTCCTGTCAGCAAGGCTAAGGTGTGAGGGCGTCAAGGGCCTCATGGAATAGCTGCCATATACATGCGAGCTCCATTACTGCAGCTCACTATCCTGCGCCTCCAGAGATGTGTACATGGGGCACAAGGAGACAGTGCGAAGGGCCAGGCGGAAATCTTGTTTAGGTAAAAAAAAAACAGCACAGGGGGTGGGAGAATGGGAAGGATGGAGCGGTAGGCTCAATGGTTGTAGAGTTCCTGCTCAGGCAATGGGAAAGTTTTGGGTATAGACAGCGGTGAAGGCTACACAACATTCGGAATGTACTTAAGCCACTGAATGGTACATTTAAAAGTGGTTAAAATGGGCCGGGCACAGTGGCTCACGCCTGTAATCCCAGCACTTTGGGAGGCCAAGGCGGGCGGATCACTTGAGGTCAGGAGTTCAAGACCAGCCTGGCCAACATGGTGAAACCCATCTCTACTAAAAATACAAAAAAAAAAAAATTAGCCAGGCGTGGTGGCGCACGCCTGTAATCCCAGCTACTCGGGAGATTGAGGCAGGAGAATCGCTTGAACCTGGGAGGCGGAGGTTGCAGTGAGCCGAGGTCACATTGCACTCCAGCCTGGGGGACAGAGCGAGGCTCCATTTCAAAAAATAAAAGAAAAAAAGAAAAAAAAGTGGTTAAAATGGCAAACTTCATGTTGTGTACATTTTACCACAAAAAACAAACAAACAAACAAACAAACAACAACAACAAAACTTCAACAAAGGGGAAACCCGGGAGCTTTTCGGGGCTTACGTGAGCCCTGGAGGTTGCTAACTTCCCTGTCATTTTCTTGTTTTCTTTTTTTTCCCCAAAAATGATCAACCTTTGACCTCCATCCCACATGCAGATGGTACCCCAGCCGTGCCAGCCCTATGGGAAGAGGTCTGTCCCACAGAGACAAGGTGGAGGTCGTCTCTTCTCTCCACCCCCACCGCAGACCCCTCACCTATTCCGCAACCATACTCTTACTTCTTGGGGATTTTGTCCTCTTCGGCATCGGTGCTGTCTGTGGCGAATGCTTTGACCTCAAAGTCAACCCCACAGGACTGTTGGGGAGAGAGAGCAGACAGGCAGCGATCAGCGACTCCCTCCCTGGGTGCCGGGCCAGAGGGCCACACCTCACACAGGGCACATGATGTGGCACTATCTCTTTTTGTCTTGGCCATGTCCTATTCGGGGTTGCACCATTTAGGGATTTGGAAGCATACTGACAGTGAAACAATTACAGTAGCGCAAGGAGTGTGCCATGGGCCCAAAGCCCCCAGAGGGAGGGGATCCACCTGCCCCATGAGCCCTCCTGCTGCCGTGGAGAGTCATTCACATCCTGGCTATCCTTGCCTCCTGCCACCTTGCACACTTAGGTGTCCCCAACTGTGATCCCATGCATCTTACTGACTTCCACTGCCTACAGCAGGGGCCAGAGGTACAGGCACTCACAGGGCCAGCGCTGGGGTCCAGGAATGCCCTGATAGGGTATGGAAACCCTGACCCCCATGGTCACCTGCTGTTCAGCGGCAGCCTCATGTGGCCAGGCAGCAAGGCACCCAGTGCGGGCAGCACGATTTTTTTTTTTTTTTTTTGGAGATGGAGTCTTGCTCTGTTGCCCAGGCTGGAGTGCAAGTGGCATGATCTCGGCTCACCACAACCTCCGCCTCCCGAGTTCAAGCAATTCTCTTGCCTCAGCCTCCTGAGTAGCTGGGATTACAGGTGTGCACCACCATGCCCGGCTGATTTTTGTATTTTTAGTAGAGTTGGGGTTTCACTAGGTTGGCCAGGCTGGTCTTAAACTCTTGACCTCATGATCCGCCTGCCTTGGCCTCCCAAAGTGCTGGGATTATAGGTGTGAGCCATCGCGCCCAGCCAGCTTGATTTTTAAAAAAGAAACTTCACGTGGAATTTGGAGTGAAATCTCCTAGTTTTTAAATTAAATAAAAAGACTTTTAAGCATTGTGTGGGCTGAATGAACGGATCTGCCAGTGACCTTCCCCCGATTCCCAGTGTGTGAAGCCCCTGGCCCCCAGTGCAAGCCCTTTGTAACCTCCCTCATCTCTGCACGTTCACATGCGTTGGGGAGCCAGAGGAGGGCACCGGCCTGCCCTCCACCACTGCCTGGAGGGGAAAGTAGAGCTGGCAAAAATTACAGGAAGCCAGCTCTGTCCATGGTGACATATGAGGCACGGATTTATTGGTTCTGCAACCAGGGAATCATAGCAGTCCTAAACTCTAAGTGGAAAATAAATATGCATCCTTCCCTGCCATCAGCCGGCCGTTGTTGAGCCACACCAACGCCTGTTCTGCTCGCCCACCTGGGCTTCTCAGCTGTCAAGCCCCCAGGCCCCCAGGCATTCAGGCACTTCTCTCAAGCTCCCTGGGCTCAGGGCGCACCCACTTTCCTGAAGCCCTGCAGCTGTGCTAAGACCTGCTCCTCTCCTAGAACAGAAAATAGGTGGTGCTTTGTTGGGCCTATACAGTGTTGTAAAAATCAAGAAAGGTCACCTAAAAATCTGAATTTGGGGTCTCTCTTATAGAGCACTATAAGATCTAACACAACCAATTCCATTCCCCATTGTTCTGTGCCCCCTTCTTCTGTAATCACCTCATCTTCCCCCATCTTGGCTGCGCACACCCCACCCCATTGTCCTGGACCACTAGCTTCGAGATGTTCTGAAAGTTGGATTTGTAACACAGCCCAGTAAACAGACACAAACGTGCAACAACTCTCCTGACACCATATTCAGCTTCACCATGTGTGACATACTCTGAGATTTTCCAATCCATTCCATTTTGTTCTGTTCTATTTTTTTTTTTTTTTAGATGGAGTCTTGCTCTGTTGCTCAGGCTGGAGTGTAGTGGCACAATTTCAGTTCACTGCAACCTCCGCCTCCCAAGTTTGAGTGATTCTCCTACCTCAGCCTCCCAAGTAGCACACTACCATGCCCAGCTAATTTTTTTTTTTTTTTTTTGAGATGGAGCCTTGCTCTAATGCCCAGGCTGGAATGCAGTGGCACAATCTCGGCTCACTGCAATCTCCGCCTCCCAGGTTCAAGCAATTGGCTGGGATTACAGGCACGCGCCACCATGCCTGGCTAATTTTTCTATTTTTAGTAGAGACGGGGTTTTGCCATGTTGGCCAGGCTGGTCTCAAACTCGTGACCACAGGTGATCTGCCCGCCTCGGCCTCCCAAAGTGCTGGGATTACAGGCATGAGCCACCGCACCCTGTCTGTTCTATTCTATTCCATTCCATTCTGTTCCCTTCCATTTTGGATCCACTACATTGATTTCACGAACCACTAACGGGTCAGATGTCGCAGATGCCCTGCGACAAAAACACTGCCCTTGTCATCACCTATCACTGCCCATCCCATAATCCAGTTACAGAAACTGCCTCTCTGTGTAGCTCCCTTCCTCATGAATCCCAGACCCAGTGGCTTAGAGGGCCTGAACCCACGGGTCCTGGCACCTCCTTCTCCTCCTGTCCCCACCGCCTCCTTCCATGCTGGAGCCCCGTCCACCTGACTCACTCCTCTCTCACACACCCTCAGTCCCCACAGCACATGCTTGGCCATCTCAACTCTGTTCTCAACTCTGTGGCCATAGTGACCATTTGGAAAGTCAGCGCCTGTCATTCACAGCCTGCCAATGGCTCCCATCTCATTCAGGCAAAAACTCAAGTCTCTACAACATCGACAAGGCCCTTCATGATCTGGCCACACCTCCCCTTCCACTCTAACCTCAGCTTCCCACTTTTTTTGTTTGTTGTTTGTTTTTGAGACAGGGTCTCACTCTATCGCTCAGGCTAGAGCGCAGTGCAGTGGCATGATCACAGCTCACTGCAGCCTCTGCTTCCAGGGCTTAAGTGATCCTCCTACCTCAGCCTCCCAAGTAGCTGGTACTACAGGCATGTGCCACCAATCCTGGCTAATATTTGTATTTTTTGTAGAGATGGGGTCTCGCCACGTTGCCCGGGCTAGTCTTGAACTCCTGGGTTGATCCGCCCACCTCAGCCTCCCAAAGTGCTGGGATGACAGGCCTGAGCCACTGCACTTGGCCTCCCCCTTTCATCCCTTGCTCCTCTCACTCAGCAGGCAACCTCCTCACTGCCCCCGGAACACACCAGGCGAGGTGCGCCCTCTACCTGGAAGGCTCTCCCCTGGGAGAGTGTGGCTTTCTCCTTTGCCTCATTAGAGACTGGCTTTAAACATCCTCAACACACATCCCACCAGATACTCCCCTTGTCTCTCACAAGCCTCTTGTTCTCCACAGCATCTGTGGCCACCTGGCATGCCGTGTAGTTCCTTGTTATTTGGGTTTACCTGGTGCTCTCGGTTAATGTGTGAGACTCATGGGGGTTGGGACTCTGTGATTTTGTTCACAAGGATGTTCATGGTTAATAACTGCTGAAGATGAGTGATGGGTTCATAGAGGATCTTTATACTGGTCTCTCTACTTTTGGGTACGTTTGAAATTTTCCATGAAAAAAAGCTATCTTTAAAAGTCTAATGGGCCGAGCGCGGTGGCTCACGCCTGTAATCCCAGGACTTTGGGAGGCCAAAGCAGGCAGATCACCTGAGGTCGGGAGTTCGAGACCAGCCTGACCAATGTGGAGAAAACCCATCTCTATTAAAATTACAAAATTAGCCAGGCATGGTGACCCACGCCTGTAATCCCAGCTACTCGGGAGGCTGAGGCAGAAGAATCGCTTGAACCTGTCAGGCAGAGGTTGTGGTGAGCCGAGATCATGCCATTGCACTCCAGCCTGGGCAACAAGAGTGAAACTCCATCTAAAAAAAAAAAAGTCTATTGAAGGAGCCAGTGCAGTGGCTCACACCTGTAATCCCAGCACTTTGGGAGGCCAAGGCAGGCAGATCACCTGTGGTCAGGAGTTTGAGACCAGCCTGGTCAGTGTGGTGAAACCCCGCCTCCACACAAAATACAAAAATTAGCTGGGCATGGTGGCACACACCTGTAGTCCCAGCTACTCAGGATGCTGAGGCTAGAGAATCACTTGAGCCCAGAAACCACAGGTTGCAGTGAGCCAAGATCACGCCACTGCACCCCAGCATTGGTGACAGAGTAAAACCCTGTTTCAAAAACAATAAAAAAGTCTATTGAAGGAATGAACAAATCCATAAAACCATGGCATTTCTTCTTGAACTAACCTTCCCTGAATCTTGTGGAGCTGGCTGCAACATCACTGAACAGGGCAAGTAGTCAGGAAACTGTGGAAAGAAACAAATAAAAAATCATTTATTTCAGAAGGGGCTGTTCCATTAAGTAATATATAATCATGTAAAAATTAGAAAATAAAGATGATAAGCAAGAAAAAAGAAAAATCACATTCACCTATACTCCTGACACCCAAATACATATTGCTAACATAACCTTCCCAAAATTTCCTGCCTGTACACATAAATATGTATGTTTTGTTTTGAGATGGAGTCTTGCTCTGTCGCCCAGGCTGGAGTGCAGTGGAGTAGCTGGGATTACAGGCACACACCACCATGCCCAGCTAATTTTTGTATTTTTGCTAGAGATGGGGTTTCACCATGTTGCCCAGGCTGGTGTCAAACTTCTGATCTTAAGTAATCCACCCACCTTGGCCTCTCAAAGTGCTGGGATTATAGGTGTGAGCCACTGCAACTGGCCACGCCCAAATATGTATATGTGAGAAGACGTTTTACAGAAATGGGACAAAGTGATGATCACGTTCTGTAGTCTGTTTACTCACTTCATTAATTCTAGCCCTTTTCAGAAAGCATTGTGACCATTTTCCCACATCATAAAATACAGTTCTGAATCATCCTTTTTAGGGCTCTATAATGTACACTTAACGTAGCCAGTCCCCTTTGCTGGCTACTGAAGTGGTCTTTACTTTTTTGCCATTACAAACAATGCTGTAATAAATCAGTTTTAGACAATTAATTCCATAAGCTGAACTGCTAGAAAGAGAAGCACTTTTTTTTTTTTTTTTTTTTTTTTGAGACAGAGTCTCGCTCTGTCACCCAGGCTGGAGTGCAGTGGCGCGATCTAGCTCACTGCAAGCTCTGCCTTCCGGGTTCACACCATTCTCCTGCCTCAGCCTCTCAAGTAGCTGGAACTATAGGCACCCGCCACCACGCCTGACTAATGTGTGTGTGTGTGTGTGTGTGTGTGTGTGTGTGTGTGTGTGTGTGTGTGTATTTTTAGTAGAGACGGGGTTTCACCATGTTAGCCAAGATGGTCTCAATCTCCTGACCTCGGAGAAGCACACGTTTTAAGGCTTTCAATACGTGTTGACATATTGTCTCTAAAAGGTTATGTCACTTCAAACTCCCAGCACAGGTACATGGGAGCACCCAGGACCTTATAACTTTTTTGTAAATGTGATTTTGTAAAACAGTTGTGATAAACATAGAATAACATCAAATTTACCATTTAAGCTCTTTTAACTGTACGGTTCATTGGCATGAAGTACATTCACACCATTCTGCAGTAATCACCACTATCTATCACCAGAACATTTTTCATCTTCCCAATCTGAAGCTCTGTTCCCATTAAACCCCAACTCCCCATCCTCCAACCCCCCAGCCTGTGGGAAGCTCTATTCTGTCTCTGTCTGTATGAATCTGATTACTCCAGGTATCTCCTGTAAGTGAAACCATAGAGTATTTGTCTTTTTGTGTCTGGGTCCTTTCATTTAGTATAATGTATTCAGGATTCATCCATGGTGTAGCACAGAACAGAATTTCATTCCTTTTTAAGGCTGAACCATGTAACTTTGGAAGTGTATATTCTCTTAAGACAAATAAACATGCTCGTAAAGCAGATGGTAGCTTCCCCCAATTGAGCTCACGCCCAAGACTTCAGAGAGTTTGCACGCTGGCACCGTTGGTAGCCAGGTCTCAATGGATGACAGACGGGCCCCCAGAGAGATGAAAATATCTCCTGTGATCCCCCAAGCTGTGGGCAAGGAAAAAGATGACATCTTACTTCGCTAAGCTCTCCTGTCCTGTAGGGAACCCTTTCCTACTTAGAACTCCCCAGGGCCGAGGGGCATTTCTGTGAGCTTTCTTTTTCGAGCTTAGCAAGCAAAGGAATAACACGTGCTCATGTAATTAGGGGGTCGGGTCAAGGGAAATATGTAAACGGTAGGTTGAAAGGGTGTCTTCAAAGGCTAAGAGGCTATTTTCAAGGACTTAAAAAAAGACAATCACAGACCATGCAATCTAGAATTTCTTTCAAGGGTGCAATTTCCAGGCCTGCAGATGTGAAGTTCTTCCTCTATCCCCTTTCCTTTGCCCCCATCCACATGATAAGGTGCTGCGGGTGAAGGAAGCAGGGCTGGCCGGAGGAGTCACCCACCGTCAGGAGAAAGGGGTACGTGTTGCTCCCCAGCTTTTTAAGCAGGCTCTCTTGCAGTTTTGTGGGGGTGCTCGCGGCCCCCACAGGAGGATACACCTGGACCCGGGAGAAGTACAGGTCCCTGCGGAAGGTCAAGCCGATCACGTCAATGTCCTCTTGGCCATAGCGGAAGGCGCAGGTCAGAGTGACATACACTGCAAGGGAGATGAAGGCAGGGTCGGACTTGGCCCTCGGCCTGGCACCCACCACCACTGACGGAATGGGCAGCGAACACGGGTTTTCAACCTTTAGCATCTGGAGGGGATAGGGGCTGGGATTGGAGAGAACCCTGCCACCCAGCTACTCCACACCACTCTGGAGAATCAGCCCCTTCATGAGGGTTCACCGCTCTAAAGGGAGATCCTGGCATCTTCCTCCCAATTGTATCATGTTGCCAGAATGGTAGAAATCTGAAGACAGAGGACCCAGTCCCCTCCATCCTGCCCGCCCCCTTCATTCCCTAGCTCTGTGGCCTCAGAGGCTTTGAGACAGTGCTGGCTGCTCAGGTTCTAGAGGGCAGGATGTCTGGACGAATGAAGGAAGAAGGTAAGATGCAGAGGGAAACAGCGCTGGGCAGCAAAGCAGATGTGGGCCAGGGTCAATCGTGGGCTGAGTGAGGAGCCTGAAGGCTCACAGGCCACATGGGGAGGTGAAATCCAACTTGAGAAGGCTCAAGTTCCAGCCTCCTTTTCACGCTGCTCTGAAACATACTGAGCATTCTCTAAACCCCCACTTCTGAAAATTCTACTTGTTGAACAGACCTGAAGTGTGCGCCCAGTAGACCAGAAGAATTGTATGAAGTTCACTACACCTTCTAAAAAAGACACGAAGCACATATTTCTCAAATATAAAGCACGAGAGGCGGCCCCGCCAAGTGCGTGGTAGCTGTTGGTTGAGAATTTTGCCTGCAAGCCCCAAAGGTAACTGCCCTTCGCTGCTGACTCAGAAGAAACAGTGGCCACTCACTCGCCCCTCATTCAAGCTCAGGACTAAGAAGGTGCCCAGAGACCACGTGGTTTGACAGCTGTCCTGTGCAGTGGCTTTCCCTGAGAACAGGCGCCCTTCTCTGGTCAAGGACTTGGGCTTTCGGGGCTCAAACCAGATGCCTCCTGGTCCAGAGAGGAGCAGGGCACCCAGGAGGAAGGTGGAGAGGACAGAGGGGGCCGTTTGGGGCCCCATTTCAGCCATGCCCCCTCAATGCTGATGGCCCCATAGCTGACGTATTCCAGTGGCACATCCAGGGTTCTGAACAATTCCTTGATGTTGCCAGTAGCAACACTCAAAAAGGCATATTTAGAATGGAACTGAGTCAGTGACATTATCACAAGGATAGCTGGAATCTGTTCTAATTTGGTTTATGCAACTGTTATTAGTAACAAATTACTTACCACACACATCAAAACTGCCAGAAATCTTCAAGGGCGCCGTGACACTGGTTCAGAACCATCGAAGTAAGCACCATAATAAATTCTGGGTCTTACTCCCCCTGCCCCCAGCAGGCATCATTTCCCCCTTTTTGGTGTTGGTTGAGAATTTTGCCTGTCAGCCCCAACGGTAACTGCCCCTCGCCACTGACTCAGAAGAAACACTGCCCACTCACTCGCCCCTCATTCATTCAAGGTCTTGTGTCCTCCTGAGTCCTAGGCACCCCAGGCACCCTCCTGAGTTTGCCCCTAGCACAGAAGTACATGAAACAGGGGCGAGCAAACAGGAATGGGGGCCACAGACCTGGGCTCCGTCTACCATCTACTTATCTGCCACCCTGGACAATGACTTTGCTGAGCGAGTGAGCTCTGGTGTCAACAGGACCTATGTCACGTGAATTAGGTACAGGAGTGTGGGTCAGTGGGCCTGGCACTGGTTCCATGTGCAAGAGCGCTGCCTCTGCCTTCCTGTCTCTCCTTCCATGTAAATGCCCCTTCCCAGAGCCGCCCAGAGAGCAGTCCACTCCGCCCAGAAACCAGCCTGAGACAAGGGGCTTCATCTCACCTTTCTTTCCCTTCACAAGATCAGGATCAACCAACACGACACCATCTAAGGCAAAAGAGGGAGAGAGCAGTGAGGGTGGAGAAGATGAAAGAAACCAGACACCTACTTTAAAAACTGCGCATGTTTTTAATTACACATGTAATCCATGTTCATTATAAGAAAGAAAGAAAAGTCAGGCAAAGGGAAAAAAGTCATCCAAATTCCTACTGCCTGAAAATACCTATTGTGAAGATCTTGGTGCAGATTTTTATTTTATTTTTCCAGGTCAGGTGTGGTGGCCCATGCCTGTAATCCCAGTACTTTGGGAGGCCAAGGCAGGAGGACTGCTCGAGCCTAGGAGTTCGAGAGCAGCCTGAGCAACATAGTGAGATCCTTGTCTCTACAAAAAGTTTTTAAAAAAAATTAGCCAGCAGCCTGGGTAACAAAATGAGAGCCTGTCTCTATAAAAAAACAAAAAAAAAAAATTAGCTGGGTGTGGTGGTACATGCCTGTAGTCCCAACTACTCAGGAGGCTGAGGCAGGAGGATCCCTTGAGCCCGGGAAGTCAAGGCTGCAGTGAGCCATGATCATGCCACTGCACTCCAGCCTGGGTAATAGAGCCAGACCTTTTCTCAAAACATACAAAAAAGAAAAAAGAAAAAAAGTTAGCAGGGCATGGGCCAGGTGCGGTGGTGCATGCCTGTGGTCCCAGCTATGTGAGAGGCTGAGGTAGGGGGAATTCCTAAACCTGGGAGGTTGAGGCTGCAGTGAGCTGTGACTGTGCCACTGCACTCCAGCCTGGGTGATAGAGACACTGTCCCACACCCCCGACAAAAAAAATTTTTTTCCAGACATATATAACTTAATTATACGAATGCTTTTACTAAGTAAAGAAAAAGATCCTATTGTACATACTGTTCAGCTAACTGCTTTCCTCACTCAATTATACATTGCAAACATCTATTCATACTCACATACATACATCTATACACACACGTATATATATACACACACACACATATAGAGAAAACGTGCTAATCATTTTAATAGCTATGTATTACTCCATTGAATGGATGTACCATAAATTATTTAATCACTTCCTATTGTTAGGGCATCTAGGTTGTTTCCAATTTTTCCCATTGTAATTAATATTGTGATGAACATCCTTATACATATGTCTTTATATCTCTCCATGACTTTTTAAAAATAAATTATAGAATTGGATTTGGCTTTTGATAACATGCTGCCAAATAACCTTCCAGAAAGTGTTTTGCCAAGGCACATTTGCATATCCAGTGTCTGAAACTGCCAGTTTTTCTACACTCTTTAAAAGACGTTTTGTGTTGAAATGATTATAGATTCACAGGAAGTTGCAAAGATAGTACAGAGACGTCCCTAGTATCCTTCATCCAGTTTCTCCCAATGGTTCCATCTGCCATAATTACAGTACAATATCAAAACTAGGAAGCTGACGTGGGACATTCTGAGAAACATTTTGGTTCTTTCCGGTTTGGAGCTACCACAAATAAAGCTGCTGTGAACAATCATGTATAGGTTTTTGTGAGGACACAAGTTTTCATTTCTCTGAGATAAGTGCCCGGGATGCAACTGTTGGGTCATATGGTAAGTATGTGTTTCATGTTTTAAGAAGCTGCTGCTGGGTGCAGTGGCTCACGCCTGTAATCTCAGCACTTTGGGAGGCTAAGGCAGGCAGATCACTTGAGCTCAGGAGTTCAAGACCAGCCTGGGTAACATGGCAAAACTCCATCTCTGCAAAAAATACAAAAATTAGCCAGGCGTGGTGGCACATGCCTGTAGTCTCAGCTACTTGGGAGGCTGAGGTCGGAGGATCGCTTGGGCCCAGGAGGTGGAGGTTGCAGTGAGCCAAGATCTCGCCACTACATTGAAAGTAATGGCAAAAAACTGCAATTACTTTTGCACCAACCTAAAATATTTTAGCCATTTTGGTAGGTGTATAATATGCTCTCACTGTAGCTTTAATCTGTATTTCCCTAGTGGCTAATGATACCAAAGATGTTTTCATGTGCTTGCTTGTCTTCATGTATCTTCTTTGATGAAATGTATCTTCCTGTCTTTCCCCCATTTTCTCATAGGATCTTGCTTTTTGTACTGCTGAGTTCTGAGCGTTCTTCATACATTCCAGACATGAGTCCTTTGTCTCTTCACACTCTTTAAAATTCTTTCCAGCCGGACACAGTGGCTCATGCCTGTAATCCCAGCACTTTGGGAGGCCGAGGCGGGCGGATCACCTGAGGTCAGGAGTTTGAGACCAGCCTGGCCAACATGGTGAAACCCCATCTCTACTAAAAATACAAAATTAGCTGGGCGTGGTGATGCATTCCTGTAATCCCAGCTATTTGGGAGGCTGAGGCAGAAGAATCACTTGAACCCAGGAGGCAGAGGTTGCAGTGAGCCAAGATCATGCCACTGCACTCCAGCCCGGCCAACAAGAATGAAACTCCATCTCAAAAAAATAAAAATAAAAATAAAAATAAAAATAAATAAAATTGTTTCCAATCAGCCAGTGGCGCCTCACTGATGTTTTAATTTGCATGTCTTTATTTAGATTATTAGCAAGGCCAGTTTTTAAAAACACAAAGTGAGCGGTTATCTGTGACTTAAAGGAAAACCAGCATTACAGTTTTCTCCAAGCAACTTACCCACAGGCTGGACTTGGCTGACATGGTCTATGTAGTCTCTGTTCCCCAGGTAGATGGTCACCTGCAAGAAGAACAGGTGTGGGTCTAAGGGCCAAAGAATGCTAAGCTAAGGCATCCATGATAAAAACCAGCAGCAGCCCGGGCGCGGTGGCTCACACCTGTAATCTTAGCACTTTGGGAGGCCAAGGCGGGCGGATCACGAGGTCAGGAGTTTGAGCCTGGCCAATATGGTGAAACCCTGTCTCTACTAAAAAAAAATATAAAAATTAGCTGGGCGTGGTGGCACGCGCCTGTAGTCCCAGCTACTCAAGAGGCTGAGGCAGGAGAATCAGTTAAACCTGGGAGGCGGAGGTTGCAGTGAGCCAAGAGCACGCCACTGCACTCCAGCCTGGGCAACAGAGTGAGACTCCGTCTCAAAAAAAAAAAAAAGAAAGAAAGAAAATTATGTAAATGAGACTTTTGCCATCCATTTGCATGTTAAATCTTTTATTTCCAGCTGTGGAATGAAAGGTAGCCCCTCTTTGTCACAAGAACTTCTGGACAGGCTGGGTGTGGTGGCTCACCCCTGTAATCCCAGCACTTTGGGAGGCTGAGGCGGGCGGATCACCTGAGGTCGGGAGTTTGAGACCAGCCTGGCCAACATGACGAAACCCTGTCTCTACTAAAAACACAAAAATTAGCTGGGCATGATGGTATACGCCTGTAATTCCAGCTACTCGAGAGATTGAGGCAGGAGAGTTGCTTGAGCCTAGGAGGTGGAGGTTGCAGTGAGCAGAGATCGTTCCACTGCACTCCAGCCTGGGTGACAGAGCAAGACTCTGTCTCAAAAAAAAAAAAAAAAAAAAAAAAAAAAAGAACTTCTGGACAACGCAAAGAGGTGTGAGTTCTGGAGAAGCCCCTGAAATCCCACCAGGTGAACTACTGCACAGGTAGACCTAAAGCCACGCACTGAGGGAGCTGGGTGGGAAGGGGATGGCCATCATCTGGGCCCACAGGCCCTGGCCCTGTCCTGCCCCTGGCAACGAAGGTCTCTACCCACTTATGGGAGAGCAGGGTTGGGTTTCCCAGCCCTCAGCACTTTAATCCATAGGACTGTGGCTTGGTGGTAGTAATCTGGAGTCTCTGCACATCTTTAAGCATCTACTGCAGAGTCTAGGACACACAGGGATTCAGTGTTTGCCAAGTGCACCAATGAATGAGAGTACACTCTTTCATTGAGTGTGGCCCCCTTGGCTGGCCCCCTTCTTCGAATGAATATTTTGAATTCCAGGAACGGCCTAAATCATTTTTGTTGGCATTAAGTCCTCTCCTATACGCTCCCCTTTCACCCATATCAGATGTCCCGAAGCGTAGCCCTGTGCCCTCTAGGTTACTCGCATGAATGATGCTGAAGTGACTTCCAGCAAATACCACTAGAACCCTGGTTTACAGAGAAGATTCCGTAGGAAACCTTATACTCCCAGCGCTAAGCATGTTTGGGAGGCCTCACTAGCCTGGGTGGTGTGGAAGCCTGGCACCTGTGAGCAGCGGGCTGACCGGGACACACACTGCTACCTGCTGGTTGCTGCAGCGAGTCCCAGCTTCCTAAACACTGTGGGTGTCTTGGCCTTGCCCTCAAGATCCACCCTGCGGGGCTGACCAGGGCGTGTTGCCCTAGTAGATTCCCTGGTCTTCTGGCTTCTGGGCAAGGTGGGCCAGATGTTTGTCCCCACCTTGCCTGCATGGTGGCTGGGCCTGCGGCTGGCACAGCCCTCTAGTGGGGATCACAGTTCCTGGGAGGTAGCCCTGAGGGCCTCGGGGTTCTGAGAATTGTGCGATCCCTCATCCCTTAACCCCAGGGAGGTGCCAGCACCCAGCTGCTCGTCACTGCCGTGTGGCGCATGGAGCTCTTTCTTGTAATTTTTTTTTTTTTTTGAGACAAGGTCTCATTCTGTCGCCCAGGCTGGAGTGCAGTGGCACTATCTCAGCTCACTGCAACCCCTGCTTCCCAGGATCAAGTGATCCTCTCACCTCAGCCTCCCAGGTAGCTGGGACTACAGATGCACGCCACCATGCCCAGCTAATTTTTTATATTTTTTTGTAGAGACAGGGTCTCGCCATGTTGCCCAGGCTGGTCTCAAACTCCTGGGCTCAAGCAATCCACCCACCTCGGCCTTCCAGAGTGCTGGGATTACAGGCATGAGCCACCACTGTACCTGGCTATTTCTTGTGATTTCTTTCACACCTGCCTACACCCTAGCAAACAGCCCCTTTTAAAAACTCTCCTCTGGCCAGGTACAGTGGCTCATGCCTGTAATCCCAACACTGAGAGACCAAGGTGGGAAGGATCACCTGAAGTCAGGAGTTCAAGCCAGGGCAACAAAGTGATACCCCCTCCTCTGTCCCCTGCCATCTCTCAAAAAAAAAAAAAAAAAAAAAAAGATTAGCCCGGGCAAGGTGGTGCCTGCTTGTAGTCTCAACTACTTGGGAAGCTGAGGAAGGAGGATCACTTGAGCCTAGGAGGTTGAGGCTGCAGTGAGCTACGATCGTACCATTGTACTCCAACCCTGCTCTCCCACAAAGGGGGTAAAGAGATCTTCACTGGTCTCCAGAGTAAGACCCTGTCTCAAAAAAAAAAAAATTCTCCCCAAATCAACCAATTTGGAGGCTGCCTTGCAGGAATGGTAACTATGACCTCGCTATTCTGCTGCTCAGTGTCTACTGGCTGCTCACTCCTTCTCTGTGGAATAAACCCCAGCGCCTTGTGCGTGGCCACCCTGAGAGCATCCTCTCTAACAGCTCCACTCTTCCCTGGGCTCTGGCCACAGCGGCTCTGCCACAGCTCCCCCAAACACCACAGATTTGTGCCTCTGTTCCTATTGTTTCCACGGTAAGGAAGGCCCTTCTGCTGCACTTTCACCTGGGGGAAATCCTACCCACGCTTCAGGGGACACCTCACGGTCCCCATCTCTCCCTTTGCCCAGCACCCCCTGGCTTTTGGTGCCCCGGGAGCATGTGGCCTGCGACCACACCTCAGTGTGCAGCACACTGTGTTCTGGGTGCTCTTGCAGGAGCCTGTCTCCTTTGCTAGACTTCGCCTGTCAATTAGGCAAATACTGCTTTCATCTATCCCACACACGGTTACAGAGGCCCCAGCAGCTGCTGGCTACTGAAAATAAAAACCGAAGAAGACATCCCCTTGGTCCCCAAGGTCCCTGCTCTTTGGTTGGGAGCCCAGCAAGTGAACTGGCAATTGTGCCCCTGGAATAAATGCCAGGGCAAAGGCTGGTGGGGAGGAAGCCTGAGGGGAGGGCACTGAGGAGGGAAGGAGAGAGGGAAGGCTCTTGCTTTCAGAGGAGGCTCTACCTGGTGGACAAATGGCATAGCCAGAGGACAGGGGACGGTTGAGGGCATGCTCTCTGAGCAAAATGTATACGAAGCCCGGGGCCCCGAGAATGCTTCTGGAACTGCCAATGGCTTCACCATGCCACTGAATGGGGATGCAGGCTGCTGCTGCTGAAATGGTCTCATAGGACGTGGCCCTAAAGAACCTCAGAAGACGTTGAAGCGTTTTAAGCAGGATGAAAGACTTGAATTAAACAGTATTTAGGAAAGCTAAATAGAGAAATAGCTTTTGGAAGAATTAAATAGCATTTCGAGTGCTTATCATGTATCAGGGGCCAAGCTAAGCACTTTGACCACATGGTTTCACTTAATCCTCACAGCAACTCAATGAGACAGGAATGCAGCCCATTTTATAGAAGGGAGCACTGAGATTTAGCTCATGCCAGCAGCAAACTGGAGAATGGATCGGCAAGGGGAGAACCAGTTAGGCAGCCTGACTGTGGAGCTGATGAGGGGGACTGCAGAGTGGACGGGAGAGACAAGGGCAGGTGAAGAGAGGGCATGTTTCTTCTCTTTCAAAAGGTTTGGCTGCAAGGGAAGAAGAACTAGAAAGGATATAGGGTCGAGGGTAGTTGGTGGTTGTTCTTAAGGTGCATGAGGTCGGTACTTATTTGTTTATTTATTTGAGACAGAGTTTCGCTCTTGTTGCCCAGGCTGGAGTGCAATGGCGCGATCTCGGCTCACTGCAAACTCCACCTCCCAGGTTCAAGCGATTCTCCTGCCTCAGCCTCCCGAGTAGCTGGGATTACAGGCATGCACCACCACGCCCGGCTAATTTTTGTATTTTTAGTAGAGACAGGGTTTCTCCATGTTGGCCAGGCTGGTCTCGAACTCCTGACCTCAGGTGATCCACCTGCCTTGGCCTCCCAAAGTGCTGGGATTACAGGCATAAACCACCGCGCCTGGCTGGTACTTATTTTTATGCTCAGACAAAGTACTAGCAGAGAGGAGAGGCTGCACACACAGCCAGACCAATGACTGAGGCCCCTGAGAAGGTGGCCAACCATGAAACCCAGGGTGTAAGAGGTGGTGAACCTCAGATGGGAGCAAACTACCCCTTCCACTGCAACAGGAAGGACAGGGGCAGGATGGGGGCAGGTAGAGAAGTGGGTGATGTGAGACTGTAGCCAGCCTTCGGGGGCCCATCCAACAGCCACACACCCCTTCTTCCTGGATAAAAGCCGCCAACTATTGTTCAGGGACCACCATCTTCCACCAGGCGGTATGCTCAGAGGAGGCCGGCTCCAGGGTACGATTCTTGATTGGCCTGATTCACTACGATCATCTAATTCTTCTGGCTTGGGATTGGTTTACAGTGGACATGTGACCCAGTTTTGGCCAATGAGATATGAGAGAAGAGTCTTGGGAAAGATTTCCTGACCCTTACAAGAGACCCCAGGAAACCACAGCCTCTTCCTTCTGGATGTTGTCAAGTGTGGGTGAGACGCCAGGAGCAGGGGCAGTCATTTAGCCACCTGCTGGAGGATGAAGGTCAAAGAAGAGGGCAGCGTCGGGAGAATCACAGAGAAATGGGCTCAGAGCCCTGGCACACCATGCCTGGGGCCACACAGACATCGCTGGCAAAATGATCTGAATACATGAGACAGGAATTGAATTCTCTTTTCCCACCTGTGAGGACTTATCTACAAAAACCATCTACATTTCTTGGTGGAAAATCTAGGAGCAAGGGGAAAACAACGTGGGAAACCAACACGAGTGGTTTCCTCTTCAGCCAGAAGTTGAGATAAAATGGACTGGAAAGATACAACTTGGGAAAGGGCTTGGAGAACGAAAGAATCAGAGTACTTGATTAAAATGACCGAGTTCCTTAACTAGGAGAGGAGAAGGCAGAAAGCACACAGGCAAAGCCGGATCTCCTGGGTGGCACGGTAAGGATGGGGAGGTTCTTTGGACCCCATACCGGGTTCAGAAGTCAGCCACAATGGGCCAGGTGCGGTGGCTCACACCTGTAATCTCAGCACTTGGGGAGGCCAAGATGGGCGGATCACCTGAGGTCAGGAGTTCGAGACCAGCTTGGCCAACATGGTGAAACCCTGTCTCTACTAAAAATACAAAAATTAGCTGGGCGCGGTGGCACATGCCTGTAGTCCCAGCTACTAGGGAGGCCGAGGCAGAATTGCTTGAACCTGGGAGGCAGAGGTTGCAGTGAGCTGAGATCACGCCACTGCACTCCAGCCTCGGTGACAGAGTGAGACTCTGTCTCAAAAAAAAAAAAAAAAAAAAAGCCAGAATGATGGCGAGCTACCCTGTCCAGTAGGGTAGCCACTGCTTAAGGTGGCTCCCGGACACCTGAAATATGGCCATTCCAAATTGACATGTTCTGTAAACATAAAATACACATCAGATTTCAATAATTCTTATATTATTATTTACAAGTTGAACTGATAGTTTTTTGGATATAGTGGGCTGAAATAAAATATAACATCAAAATGAATTTCACCTGTTTCTTCTTACTTTTTAAATGTGGCTACTAGAAAATTTAAAATTACATATGTGGCTTGCACTAGATGTTGCTGAGCTAGATTTTTGGCCCACAAGAAGCTTTCGAGTGGAGCTATCCACAGAGGCTGGACGGTGGACCCTCTCCCATGCGAGGAAGTTCATGGGCACACCTGGAGCATCTAACGTGCCCCTGGAGAGTGGTGGAAAGGGGGCAGACTGGGGCATTTTCCCTTATCCAATGGCCCTGCGGGCCCAGCTGAGGCTTGAGACCCCCCGGGTGGGGTAGGTGCACGGAGAAGAAGGAGTCACATTGATCACTGTCTGGGTTTTACCCAGGCAGGTGACACAATAGATAGACAAAAGGCCAAGGGCATCACAGGTACTGACAAAACTGTGTTTAAATAGTAAGTCAAGGGTTCAAGGCTGGCTAGGAAAAGATGCAGAGGTGGGGGTGACAGTGTGGGGATTGAGGGATTCGGAGAAAACTGAGGGACACAGGACTAAAGTCTTGATGAGACTGAAGAGAAGCTCTATTTCTGCAGTTCATTCACTCATTTATAGCTCAGTGATCATCCATCTTAGACAGAGACAAAAATAGACACAAAGCTTCCCTGGCCCTCACAGTGTTTGTTTGTTTTTTATTTGAGACAGAGTCTCCCTCTGCTACCCAGGCTAGAGTGCAGTGGCACCATCTGGGCTCACTGCAACCTGTACCTCCTGGGTTCAAGTGATTCTTGTGCCTCAGCCTCCCAAGTCTGGGATTACAGGTGCCTGCCACCATACCCAGCTAATTTTTGTATTTTTAGTAGAGATGGGTTTTGCCATGTTGGCCAGGCTGGTCTCGAACTCCTGGCCTCAAGTTATCCCGCCTCCGCCTCCCAAAGTGCTGGGATTACAGGCATGAGCCACCGCGCCCTGGCCCTCAAAGAGTTTTGATGTTGATCATGACTACACTGTACTTGAAAAAGCTCCATTTTTTTTAAACAATAATTTCTATCAAATCACTCACTTGTGCACCACTCACCGATTTGTCCCGGGAGATCTTCTTGAAGATAACATGGTTCGGTTCGGACTTGCTGGTCTTCCCGCTGGCTGCCATGTTATCTGTCCCTGGCAACTTCTACCACCTTGGGGTGTTGGTCAGGTGTTAGAGGGTTGGAGAAAGGTAAGACAATCCTAAATATCAAGTCAAGAACATCCTAGTTATGAAACCTACTCACGAGATCCTGTGCGTCCTCACCATGCCCTTGTACCGGCTTCAACATCCGAGTTTCATCGGTGAGTCTTTGCTTAGTTTGTATTTTACTGCAGCATGCTTTGGGGTGTTTTCAATATTTTATTTTTCTTGGTAAGCTTCAAACATTTCTCAGTACACCTTGCCAGGGAGTCTAGCTAGATTCCAATGAGGTTTTACTTTCTGACTAACCTTTGGTGTTATCACACTTAGCCAGGTTGAATTTAAAGTTCTATCGTGACTGTGTCTAATGGCGAATAAATCAGAAAAGTTCCTGAAAACCACAACATAACCACTTCGCAAAGACTGTTTTCAAGAAGATATTAATGGCCGGGCACTGTGGCTCACACCTGTCATCTCAACATTCTGGGAGGCTGAAGCGAGAGGATCATTTGAAACCAGGAGTTGGAGACTGGCCTGGGCAACATAGCAAGATCCTATCACTTTTTTTAAAAAAAAAGAATATATTAAAATCCCAAAAGTTCTATTTGGCAATTCCTACTAAGAGATAGCCACTCTGTTTTACAATTAAGAGGCCATCTTAGCGGTCTAGAATTAAGCATACTCTGAGGTTTTTTTTTTTTTTAAGATATAGGAGCTCGTTCTGTTGCCCAGGCTGGAGGGCAGTGCCACAATCATAGCTCACCGCAGCCTCGAACTCCTGGGCTCGTGATCCTCCTGCCTCAGCCAGCTGAGTAGCCAGGACTACAGGTGTGTGACACCATGCCTAGCTAATTTATTTTTATTTTTGTTTTTTTGTAGAGACTGGGTCTGACTGTATTGCTCAAGTTGGTCTCGAATTCCTGGCTTCAAGTGATCCTCCAGCCTCAGCCTCCTGAGTCACTGGGACTATAGGCATGAGCCATTGCACCCGCTCACTCCAAGTCTCCTTAAATAGCAACCAAGTCTTATGGAAACCACACAGAAAAGGTGAAGGCGGGACATACTGTCTGCAGGAAAACGCCCATCCTTGCTCTTCCCCACACCTGCCCCAGGTTTCTGATAAGGTTTTGGCCTGTGGTGGTCACATACCTTGTGATTTGTCACCAACCAGGTGGGAAGGGCCGGGTGGCAAGGAGAGGGTCTCTATGCTCTGAGATGATGAATAGCCAGCCCCTGTTCTGAGCAAGCTGGTACCGTCTTGCCAGATGAGCCTGAAGGGGCACCGCTGAGGCTCCTGGCCTACGTATGTGGGGAATTTGTAGGGGATCTAGCGAGGATGCCCAGCATCCAGGTCTCAATGTCTAAAAGCCAAATCCCACTTAAGGAGCAGAGTTGGATTAGTGCTGAGACAGTGAACTGGTAGTTTCAGCAGTTCTAAGCATTAAGCAACACCCCCCGCCCCGGTCTCCATACGGAGGGTCTCACAGATGTATGAGTCACCCAGCTGACTTGGGGAAGGTTGGTGGGAGGGCCAACAGCTAAATGAAAGCTACTTTTTCTTCTAAACCTCTTTGGATTCTGGAAATAGACTGATTATCTCTTCATTCCCGGGCATTGCCAGGACAGGAAGAGATTTGATTAAACTCAGCAGGCAGCTAATGCGACCTTGCGGGTGGGGACTAAACAAAAAGGTCAAGGAGAAATGTCAACCTCAAGATGAACCTGGTGTTATGCAAGCCAAGCTGGATCTGTCCCTCTCCTCCACCCGGTCCTACTGATTGATGGCTTCAGGAGTCCTGTTGATCCCCTCAGTGTCTCTGGAACCTGTCTGCATCCTCCCATCCCCAGCACCGCCTTTGCTTCTCAGGACCGGAGTGATTCCCCACTGTCTGACTACATCTATTTCTTTTCTTTTTTTTGTTTTGTTTTTTGTTTTGAGATGGAGTCTTGCTCTGTCTCCCAGGCTGAAGTGCAGTGGTGCAGTCTCAGCTTGCTGAAACTTCTGCCTCCCAGGCTGAAGTGCAGTGGTGCAGTCTCAGCTTGCTGAAACTTCTGCCTCCCAGGTTCAAGTGATTCTCTTGCCTCAGCCTCCAGAGTAGCTGGGACTACAGGCGCCTACCACCACACTGAGCTAATTTTGTATTTTTAGTAGAGACAGGGTTTTACTATGTTGGCCAGGCTGGTCTCGAACTCCTGACCTCAGGTGATCCACCTGCCTCGGCCTCCCAAAGTGCTGGGATTCCAGGAATGAGTCACCGCACCCAGCCGACCACATTTATTTCTACCCTCCAAGCCCTTTTCCACACAGAGGCAGAGAGACCTTCTGAGCCCTGTCATCCCTCGCTTACAATCACCCATTGCTCTTAGAATGCAGGCAAAAAGCTTGCAGCCTCTGGAACCTCTGCCTGCCTTTCCTTCCACGCCGTCTGCCACGCTTCCTCCTTCCCACTATTATTTCTGCCTGGAACAAGCCTCTCCTCTCTCCACTTTGTTGACTCTTCTTGGCCTTTCAGATTTTTGACCAGGAGTCACTTCCTCAGGGGAGCTATCCCCAACCTCCAGGACCAGATTGGAGGCACGCTTGCATTTCACTCTTTTTTTTTTTTGCTTTCGAGATAGAGTCTCACTCTGTTGCCTGGGCTGGAGTGCAGTGGCGCGATCTCGGCTCACTGCAGCCTCCACCTCCTGGGTGCAAGCGATTCTCCTGTCTCAGCCTCCCGAGTAGCTGGGATTACAGTTGTGCACCAGCATGCCCAGCTAATTTTTGTATTTTTAATAGAGATGGGGTTTCGTCATGTTGGCCAGGTTGGTGTCAAACTCCTGGCCTCCTGAAGTGCTGGGATTATAGGCATGAGCTACCGTGCCTGGCCACATTTCACTCTTGCTTGGGAATTATTCTACAGTCTCTCTTCCCTCACTGGAGTCCAGGCTCCATGAGGGCAGGGCCTAGGCCATTTTGTTTCCTTCACTTTTGTCTTCACAGTGCCCAGAACAATGCCTGCTCCCAAGAACACTCAGGGAATGGATGGAGGGGACTCTGCGACCACTAACACACTTACATGGGGGACTGACTTGGGAATGAAACAAGTATATGCAGAAAGCCTGTTCTGACGTTTGGGGTATCAGCATCCACCCAAACATTCCAATGGCTTCCCATTTAAGTCTGGACAATGCTTGCCAGGTCCGGCATGCTCTGGCCCCCCTTTACCTCTGACTTTATTTCTCACCACCCTCTCCCTTGCCCACTTCACTCCAGAGTACTGAGCCTGTTTTCTTTTCTTTTAGAGACAGGGTCTCGCTCTGTCACCCAGGCTGGAGTGCAGTGGTGCAATCATAGCTCACTGCAGCTTTGAACTCCTGGGCTCAAGCGCTCCTCCCACTTAAGCCTCCCGAGTAGCTAGGACTACAGGCACATGCCACCACACCCAGCTAATTCTTTAACCTTTTTGTAGAGATGGGGTCTTGCTATGTTGCTCAGGCTGGTCTCGAACTCCCAACCTCAACTGATCCTCTCACCTCAACCTTCTAAAGTGTTGGGGTTACAGACGTGAGCCACCACCACTGGCCTGCTTTTCTTTAAACCTCCGTCTAGGCCTTTCCACTTGCTATTTCCTCTCCTGGAACAGTCTTCCCACAGCCAGCCACATGGCTCACTCCTTCAATGGCTTTGAGTCTTTACTTCAATGTCACCCTATCCTTAGCATACTCTATGGTTGGCCTCACCATACCTGAACTGCAAACCCCCTATTTTAAAACACAAAGATTATTCATTGGTGCTAAAACCATTAGGTGAAGAGTTGCTGGGAAAATGACTGTAGGAGTGAAGTGATGCCACACGGATCATGGTGTCATCACAAGGTGCACGGCAGATGCCATGGTCAATCTTAGCATTGCTGGTGGTGTCAGCCACATGGGATGTGTCCCCTTGGGTTAACTTGAATCCATGAGCCTTCAGACATCATTTCTAGTTTATCGGAAATACAAGGAACGAGCTACGTGACGCAAGTGAGCAGCCAGACAAATCCAACAAACAATGCCATAGAAATGGGTAGGCCAGGTGCAGTGGCTCACGCCTGTAATCCCAGCACTTTGGGAGGCCGAAGCGGACGGATCACAAGGTCAGGAGTTCGAGACCAGCCTGGCCAACATAGTGAAACTCCGTCTCTACTAAAAATACAAAAATTAGCCAGGCGTGGTGGTGGGCGCCTGTAGTTCCAGCTACTCGGGAGGCTGAGGCAGAAGAACTGCTTGAACCCGGGAGGGGAGGTTGCAGTGAGTCAAGATCGTGCCACTGCACTCCAGCCTGGGTGACAGAGCGAGACTCTGTCTCAAAAAAAAAAAAAAAAGAAAAAAGACATGGGGTTTACTAGATTAAAAGACGCTAAGACACTCGAGACCCAGATGTCATGTGCAGCCCCAGACTGAATACACAACTGGTCAAAAAGGATGTGTAGGACATTTTGGGTTCATTGGGAAAATCTGACTATGGTAAAATGCCTGGAGTAGAAAGGTGAGAGATTGTGACAGAACCAACAAGACTGCAGAATGGTGTGCTTAGCATGTCCACGTTTTGCAAACACACAGAGACTATGTATTTGTGTATACATACATATATGTACATTTACACACACATGCATATACACACAAGCATATTTACACACATACATGCAGGTTCATATGCATGCTATACCTATGCATACTTTGCAAGAATACACCTTAAGCTAACATTGGTAGTTAAAGGTCTCTCATTACCTTGTAATGAAATGGTAGGCTTTGTTTCAATTTTCTTGTCTATAATTTTTCACATTTTCTCCTATGACCATTTACTGCTCCTATAATAGAAAGGTTAAAATACAAAACTGTGTTATATAAGTGAGGTGTGGTGGCTCACGCCTGTAATCCCAGCACTCTGGAAGGCTGAGGCTGGAGGACGGCTTGAGCCTGGGAGGTTGAGGCTGGAGTGAGCCATGATCACACCACTGTATTCCAGCCTGGGCAACAGAGCGAGTCCTTGTCTCAAAAACAAACAACAAAAAAACAAACAAACAAAAAACAATAAATAGGGCCAGGCACAGTGGCACACACCTGTAATCTGAGCACTCTGAGAGGCAGAGGCAGGTGGATCACTTGAGCACAGGAGTTTGAGAACAGCCTGGGCAACATAGTGAGACCCTATCTCTATAAAAAGTAAACAAAATTAGCCAGGCCTGGTGGTGTGTGCCTGTGGTCCCAGCTACTTGGCTTATGCCAGAGGATTGTTTGGGCCTGGGATGTTGAGGTTATAGTGAACCGTGAGCATGTCACTGTATTCCAGCGTGGGCAAAAAAAAAATTGCTGTGGCCGGGCACGGTGGCTTACACCTGTAATCCCAGCACTCTGGGAGGCCGAGGTGGGCGGATCACCTGAAGGTCAGGAGCTTGAGGCCAGGCCAACATGGTGAAACCCTGTCTCTACTAAAAATACAAAAAAAAAAAAAAAAAAAAGCTGGGCATGGTGATGTGTGTAATCCCAGCTACTTGGAAGGTTGAGGCAGAAGAATCACTTGAACCCAGGAGATGGAGGTTGAAGTGAGCCAAGATTGTGCCACTGCACTCCAGCCTAGGCAACAGAACCAGACTCCAACTCAAAAAAAAAAAAACAAAGGGGAAAAAATGACTAGGGTGCTTCTTTCAGTGTCCCCATCAGAGGGCTGCCCTGAGCTGAGGCTGCAGGACCCAGGCCCAGTTTGCAGCTGTGAGTGCTTCCAGATTCCCCCATTCTCCTGCTGCTTCATCGTTCCCGGCTGCTGGAAGGCACAGATCTGCAGATCTTAGTCACTGCTCTGCCAATGCCGTGCAGGTGGGGAAATTTGGGTGGACTGGATGACAGATCTCACTCTTTTTGGAAATGTTATTCCCAACTCTTGGTCTGTGATGATTTTTTCTCTTCTTGGTGGAGAAATGAGAAAAATAAGGACACTCTTGTAGTTTTTCTGGGAGCCAAACTTATTCAATATAAAGGACTGTCCTTTTGAGATTATGAGCTTTTTAATTTTTTGGTATTAAAATATCCTTCTTCAGCCAGGCATGGTGGCTCACGCCTGTAATCCCAGCACTTTGGGAGGCCGAGGCGGGCAGATCACTTGAGGTAAGTAGTTCGAGAGCAGCCTGGCCAACATGGTGAAACCCCTTCTCTACGAAAAATACAAAAATCAGCTGGGTGTGGTGGTAGGCGCCTATAATCCCAGCTACTTGGGAGGCTGAGGCAAAGAATCACTTGAACCTGGGAGGTGGAGGTTGCGGTGAGCCGAGACTGCATTCCAGCCTGGGTAACAGAGTTATACTCTATCTCAAAAAAAAAAAAAAAAAAAAAGGCATTGTTCTTCTTCTTGCCCTCTATCTTTATTGAGATATATATATATGAAACGGGTGAATTTTGAAATAGTGACAGACATAGATGAGTGCAGGCAGATACATATAGAGAGGTAAAATATATCTATTTAATAACCAACAAAATTCACCCATTTTGAGTGTACAGCTTGATGAGTTTTGGTCATCATATACATTGTGTAACCATCACTGTGATCAATTCCACCACTCCCCAAAGTTCCCTGTACCCATTTCCATCAACTCCTCCATTCACGCTCCTGCCCCAGGCAATCACAGATCTGCCTTCTGTCATTAGCTCTGCATTTTCTACAATTTTATTATGAAATTTTAAAGCACAGAAAAGTTAGAAGAACAATACAATAGACACCCACACAGTCAACTTCAAGACTTGACACTTAACACTTTGCTGCCTGCAATCCTCTGTGTCTATCTCTGTTTTTTTCCTTTTTAACTATTTGAACGTACATGCAGACATCACGACATTTTACCCGTATTTCAAAATGCAGCTCCTAAGCATAAGGAGAAAAATGTCCTTTCTTTTTATGAAATAATAACCAAGAGTATATGGTAGTTTAGAAAAAAGTCCTTACTTGGCAAACATTAAAAGCTGGCAATCTTCCCCTAGATTTATTTTTGCGAATTACTGGTCTATGAATTCTCAAAGTCTGGGAACCAGTGGCTATAGCATGCTTGTTTCTCTGGGGTTGGCTTCCAGTGAGACAATGCTATGAACCCTGTGTTTCATCTCCAAACACTAAACACAGCAGCCGGCTTGCGGGGCAGGGGAGGTGGGGGCGGGGTGGAGACATCCAGCTAAGAGGCTTATGGGCTTTGGGGTGGGGTTGTCGTCTTAAGGGTTTACTGGGGCACATGCACGAGGAAAATGGGTACACTCTGCTAAACATCAGCTACAAAATGAAAATCTTGTGTCCTCATTGCCTTGATTTTACTGAAGCAGAGAACACCTGGGAGGTTTGAGGTATCTATAAAGAGTGCCAGGGAATCGGAGCTTTTAAAAGTCACCTTATTTCCAACATGTATCTCCTAGACTTAGTCAATCAGTTTAAACAATAGAGGGCTGTTTTGGGTTGGGCTGGCTAATAATATCTGAAATCATAAACGCAATCCTGTGGGTGCACAAGGTAATGAGAGACCTTTAAAAAAAATCACTTTGTTCCCATTCCATCCCTTACTTTGATCTCCTCTGTTAACATCCCCAATAAGTTACTGAATGCTTCCAAGGATGGGGAAATCACTACTTTGTTGTATATCCATCTTTTTTTCAAATAGCATAAAGAGTGACAAAACTATTATTTACTAATTATTAGTATTTACTATTATTAGTATTTACTAGTATTATTTACTATTAGAATTAGTAAATTATGATTTACTAATACCAAATTATTAGTATAAAGAGTGAAAAATTATGTTAGGATGGAATTGGCTTCCCTTCTGCTTCTCTCCATTGCTCGAAGTTAATCTCTCTTCCACACGTGAATCCTTCCATGATTAGCCTTGTAGGCACTGAAACCCTCTCACCACCCTGGAGGTCCCACCCCAGACAGATTTCCAATGTCTGTCTGGAGGCATCGTGCTAAAAATGGTACTTAATGTTGCAGGTTCCCATGTAATAGGAGCATGATGTACAAACAGCCCCAGATGGAGTCCTGGGTTCTTGGCCTACTGCTGAATCCATTGTGACCTTGAGGGAGTAGCCTGGCCTATTTCCTTTATCCGTCTGTCTGAGGGGACCCCCCAGCCTGCCTTGTCTTGCAAGGTGGAAAGATTTATGGAATGTGCAGATGGCCTTCAGAAGGTCAAGTCTTGTGCAGGAGGATCCTGATCAAGATTTTCTCGTCCTCTCCAGCGGTGAGGCTGATGTCTATCTTGTGTGCTTCTTCACCCTCTGGTCATGCCACCTGGGCCCCAACACTAAAGGGGGTTCTGATGACGATGAGGTTGCTTCTACAGAAGAGTTGAGAGCCAACCACAAACCGAGGGCTTACCCTGGGATCCCTGGATGGGCTTCGGGATCTGTGAACCTAAGTTGCATGCAGAATTATGTACATATGCCTTTTTCTGGGGAGAGGGCTTGCAAGTTTTCTTCAGACAGATCCACTGCTACTGATCAGAAAAGTCTGAAAAGCACTGATCCTCTTTCTTGTTGGAATTAGAAGGGGTGGTTGCACAACACTGTGGATTTATTAAATGCCGCTGAATTGTTTACTTTAAAATGGTTTATGTTATGTGAATCTCAAATTTTTTTTTTCTTTTGAGACACGGTCTTGCTCTGTTGCCCAGGTTGGAGTGCAGTGGCATCATCACGGCTCACTGCAGCCTTGACCTTTGGGGCTCAGGTGATCCTCCTGCCTCAGCCTCTTGAGTAGCTGGGATTACAGGGATGTGCCACCACACCCGGCTAATTTTTGCATTTTTAGTAGAGACAGGGTTTCATGATGTTGCCCAGGCATGTCTCGAACTCCTGGTCTCAAGTGATCCGCCCACCTCAGCCTCCCAAAGTGTTGGGATTACAGGCGAGAGCCACCACGCCTGGCCTACTATTACATTTTTAAACGATTTTCTCTTCCTTTCAGCTAGTTATATCTTGGGACAATCTTGGGGCTGTTTTGGTTTGTTTTCCACTAATTCTACTACTATAGACCCACCATGTGCTAAGCACTCTATCGGATGTAAAGCATATGATGGCCCTGAGATCTCTTTAGTCTCTTATGACCATCCGGGTGTACTTCTGGGGGCAACAGGACTTATGGCTTCCTAACTAGAAGCCAGGCTGTTTACAGTTGATCCTCTTACTGCCTGGCTCACAAGCATGCCTACCTATCCTCTCCTCACTAGTTCTCTGACAAAAATGAAGCCCAAAGTCAGAATTTGCCTGCCGTCATCTTCCTGTGCCTGGGGTCAGAGCAATCCACAGTGGGGGCTGGGCCCACAGTCATGTGCAAGACTAATGTCCCCACTTGAGACGTAAGTGTATGCTTACAGAGAAGTCAACCACATCCAGTGTAGGGCATTCAAAAAAAGGTCCGCAAGAATTACTGTTCTAGAATAAATACTCAGGTGATGGGGGAACAGCATGTAGACCCTGCTGCAGCCAGCCGCCGAGATGGCCGCCCCGTTCCCCTTGCTGTGCTCTCACTGCAGTGGCGCTGCCTGTGCCATCCACGTTAGACGATGGAACGTTAAAAAGGTGACCCAACGCCGGGCACAGTGGCTCACGCCTGTAACCCCAGCACTTTGGGAGGCTGAGGCGGGCGAATCATGAGGTCAGGAGATCGAGACCATCCTGGCTAACACGGTGAAACCCCGTCTCTACTAAAAATACAAAAAAATTAGCCGGGTGTGGTGGCGGGCGCCTGTAGTTCCTGCTGCTCGGGAGGCTGAGGCAGGAGAATGGCGTGAACCCAGGAGGCAGAACTTGCAGTGAGCCAAGATCGTGCCACTGCACTCCAGCCTGGGCAACAGAGCAAGACTCTATCTCAAAAAAAAAAAGTGACCCAAGCAGAGTGACAAGGGCTTGCTTACACACAGATGCTTGCTTGCTTGCTTGCTGTGCCAGCAGTCCCCCCAGCAGACATGTGAACAAAGCCACCTCCACCATCCGTTCCCACTAGGCCAGGCCAGCTGCCTCACAGAATCTTAGTAAATAATCAGTCTTAAGCCATGAAGTTTGAGGTAGTGTGTTACGCAGCAAAAGCTAACTGGATTTTGTTTCAAACCCATCATAAGAAACAGTGCTGCAACAATTAGGAACATTGGACTGGAGGGTGCGTGATACTGTCACTGTTAATTCCAGTAGGTTAATCACAGCCAGGTACCTTTGCCGGTTTGGGTTGGGATGCATGGTAATTTATGGGTAAGACAACATGCTTGAAATTTGCGTTAAAATACCCTGGGGGGAAGCATCAAAGAGGGCTGACTGAGACTGACAGGGCTGTTAAGTGGTGGGAACACTGGACTCATTAGAGACAATACTGTCTACTCTCTTGGGTTCTGCATTTGTCCTGGTTTGGATGTTCTCACTGTGCTCGCCAATTGCAGGTTAGAATATGAAGGCAACATGGTGCCGGGGAAGCTTCACTAAGGAGCGGGGAAGGTTAAGAGGACAGGAACAGTTGGAGCATGCACAGAGAGGGAGGATCTGGAACAAACAGGCCAGGAAGGGTTGAGACCTGTTAGGAAAGCCAGAGTTCCTGGAGGCCAGAGAAGTCAAATTTTGCTTAAGTGAGGCAGCTAAGAATCATTTTGTGATTAGTCCTATCTTTCACTGGCAGGCATCACATACCTCATGCACTTTTACAGAATCTATGCAGATACAGGCATACCTCATTTTACTCAAGATTGCCAAAGGTTGTTTTTTTTTTTTTTTTTTTTTTTTGAGACAGAGTGTTGCTCTGTCGCCCAGGCTGGACTGCAATGGCGCGATCTCGGCTCACTGCAACCTCCACCTCCCAGGTTCAAGTGATTCTCCTGCCTCAACCTCCTGACTAGCTGGGACTACAGGCACACACCATGCCCAGCTAATTGTTTGTATTTTTAGTAGAGATGGGGTTACACCGTGTTAGCCAGGATGGTCTCAATCTCCTGACCTCGTGATCCGCCTGCCTCAGCCTCCCAAAGTGCCGGGATTTCCAAAGTTTTTTAGATGAAAAATAGGAATTTCTAACGTAAGCAGGACTTATTAAAGCAGGACACGAGAGAAAAAGCCATGCGGAGGAGTACAGCCCATTCACTTTTGAAGGCACACCTTAGTGTCACGCCTGTCCCTGTGGGCCTGGTGTGGCAGGCAGTGCTGAAGCAGATGGGCCCAGGACTCTAGGACGAGGATAACTTCTTGCTGAGCTGTTAAACATTTCCCCATTTGCGAAATGGGGTACAATCCAGATTACAGAATTTGAGAGCCACAGACTTATTTTATTACTACCCAAGCCATCTTATAAAAACAAAAATGCTTGTGGTTTCTGTATCAAAGTAACCAGACTTGGTACAAGACAGTATTATCACTGTCATTCTTGTCTCCTGGTGCTGGAAACAGGTATGAGTGGAAAGTCCACATTTTACAACATCTACTCAGGCCAGGTGCAGCGGCTCATGCCTATGATCCCAGCACTTTGAGAAGGCAGGTGGGTGGATTGAGTCCAGAGTTCGAGACAACCCTGGCCAATATGGCAAAACCCCATCTCTACTAAAAATACAAAGAAATGTGCCAAGCGTGGTGGCACGTGGCTGCAGTCCCAGCTACTCGGGAGGCTGAGGCGGGAGGATCACCTGAGCCCAGGTCAAAGTGGCAGTGAACTGAGATTCTGTCACTGCACTCGACTTGGGCAACCGGAATGAGACCCTGCCTCAAAAAAAAAAAAAAAAAAAAAGAAAAAGAAAAAGGTCTAATCAATTAAAATTGCTGTTCTGCTACAGACACTCAGGTAGTTCTGCAGGATTTGGTACACTCAGCAACCTGGGACTTCCCAGCCAACTTGCTCCTGGAGCCTAAGAGCACCTTCTTCATCCATTCACCCGTGTCCACACAAAACGTCCTGTGCCATGCTGTGAAAGCAGGTGGGGCTTTGGGACATCTATAAGAGGCAGCATATGAACAGTATGTGCTTGAACAATAAGGCTTTGGGCAACATGGTGAAACCGTCTCTACAAAATATAAAAAATTAGCTGGGTGTGGTGGCACGAACCTATTGTCCCAGCTACTCGGGAGACAGAGGTGGGGGGATCACTTGTGCCTGGGAGGCGAAAGCTGCAGTGAGCCAAGATTGCGCCACTCCACTCCAGCCTGGGTGACAGAGACCTTGTCTCAAAAAATAAAAATAAATAAAAAAAATAGGGCCAAACAAAAGTGGCTCCACTCCTGTACTCCTGGCACTTTGAGAGGCTGAGGCAGGAGGACTGCTTTTGGCACTGCCGTTGGAGACCAGCCTGTAACATATTGAGACCCCATCTCTATTAAAAATAAAATTAACCAGGCATGGTGGTGTGCTCCGGTTTAGGGAGTAGATCACTTGGGCCTGGGAGGTCGAGGCTGCAGTGAGCAGTGATCACACCACTGTACTCCAGCCTGGGCAGCAGAGTAAGACCCTGTCTCAAATACATACATACATACATACATATACATACATACATACATACATACACACACACACACACACACACACACACACACACACACACCCCTATGCATGCCTCCTGCTCTGACCAACAAAACTAGCAGCTGGAAAGGCCCTAGTCCATGCGCTAGGCAGGGAGTTAAACGGAAGTCACATTCCCCGGTGCTGTGAGACCCCCTTACCTTTAGCTCAGCATTGGCAGTTAAGGGACTGGAATGGAGCTCAGGCTGAGCACAGAGAACAGCCATGCTTCCCTCCAAATGCAAAAACAGGATGATCTGAGACTACTCGAACACTTATTTGGGGACTATTTGGAGAATCACCTTTTTGAAGGTGATTGCAAAGGGCTCGTCTAACTTTTTTTTTTTTTGAGACAGGGTCTTACTGTATCACCCAGGCTGGAGTGCAATCATAGCTCACTGTAGCCTCCAACTCCTGGCCTCCAGTGATCCTTCTGCCTCAGCCTCCCAAAGTGTTGGGATTACAGGTGTGAGCCAACACATCTCGCTTTCATCCAGCTTTGTGCAAGCATTGGCTGCCTCAGACTTCAGACTCTGATGGCAGCTTGACTCCAGGTGCTAGGCTAAGTGGACGACTGGCTGAGTTTCCTGATAAGGGTGGTCATCATTTGCTACAGCTCAGGCTGTGTGTCAGGAATCTGAGCCACCACAAGTGAATGCCTCTCTGCTGCGGCAGTTCACTGGAGAGAGGCTCCGTGCAGAGGGCTGAAGAGCAATCCGTGCTGGGCTCTTCTACTGCAGCTGGTAATGTTCTGAAGAAACATCTTTCCAATGTCCGTTAAGATTTGCGCGACATGAAACTGGAACACTGGTGTTTACAGAGAGAGATACTTTGTGGAATGGAGCTTACATGATGAATGAAAAAAGACCGTTAAAAAGTACTAGCCGTTGTTTACAAATAACTACCAGGTAAACAAAGAAATCACTTTCTTTCCCCTTTCTAAGGATAAGGGAGAATAAAATAATCACCAAGAGGCATGGAGTTTGAAAAGTATATAACAGATTTCTTTATTATTATTTACAATCAAGTTCTGTTGGCCAACATAATGAAATAAATAAAAGATGTGCCCTGGCCTGTGAATTTCAACTCTCCTTGACTTAAGTTCTCTGAAGGGCAAATTGGAAAGCGGTGATCAGGCAGGGAAGAGAGGGCAGGTGGAGGCCAGGACCATCGGTGGGAAGGCCACCTGACTCCTCTCTCACCAGCTCTAACACTCACATCCCCAAATGTCCAGAGAACAAGCATGGAAGAAAAAAAATAAAGTGCAAATTTAAAAGTGATAAAAAGGGTGTTTCGCACACCCAATGAACTAAAACTTTATACGTAGGTAAAATAGTAAAGATAAATGTTTTTCCTTGGCCTTCATCACAACCCCTGAAACGGAAAGATGGCGCTGCTGTGCTTCTGAGCCTAGGCTTCTTGCACTAAAGCACCAAGGGCATCGCACACAGGCTTGGCAGAGGGGCCATGGCCAGAATCACCACCTTCAGACAAGTATGTTGGAGGTCTCGAATCCCTTGGCACCCCCAAGCATGCAGTGTGCACCCACCTTCTGGGTGTCTGCAGATCGATACAGGAACACATCCTTACCTCTGCAGCGAACCCATTTCCCTGGAAAAGATTTTCACACATCCTCTCCCACCTCAAAAAAACAAAAAAACAAAAAACCATTTTTTAAAGCCACACGGAGATTTTTAAATATGTCGAATTTTGTGGGGGAAAGAGAGCCAGAAAGCTCTGAAGAACAGTGAAAGAGATGTGAGGACATTTCAGCAGTAATGAGACACATTCATGCAACCCACCAGGGAGGGGTCTGTAGTTCGGGAGTTTCCGTTAATCCAATGCTTAAAGTGAGTTCACCGGGCAAATGAACCCAAGGTGTTGGGACATGCGTTAGGCCAGAACCGACTTTGGAAGGACGAGAGAAAGCACAGAGAACACCACCTTGATGTGGGGGCTGATTTTGGCACTGCCGTTGGTGAGGAGGCCCAGCGGGGCCCTGTGCTCCCCCAAGTGAGGTATGGAAGGTCAGAGCTAGTAGTGTTTCCCAAGGCAAGAACCTGAGCCTCTGCTAAGTGACCGCAGCGTCAGGTTTTTTCAGTGTTATTCTTCCAGGCCAAGAGAGACCTCAGTCAAATCTTCAGAAATCCCATTCACGGCAAAGCTACAGTGCCACATAGCTTGAGCTTCTCTGGGAGGTCCATGCTATACCCAGCACATCACCTGCCAGGACAGGGCTGCAGGAGCCCATGTGCTTCTTCTGAGGAGGGCACTGGGGTCCTCCCAGCCCTGAGAGCCCCGTCAGTACTGTGCCCACAGCACAGCTTTGCATCCTTTGTCCACACTGACAACGTGCGAGCCAGAGGGCGACCACGCCACCGCATTGATGGATGAGCTTCAAAGGAGAGATCAGAAAAGCACCAAGTTTCAGAACATTTGGGATGAGATCTTGGTAAACCAAACACCAGAAGCTTGTGCATTCAGGGAGTCCTAATTTTTCCAACTTCCATTTTACTCTCTGGCACTGTGCCCGCGACAAGGCAGGAGCTCACTAACATGCAAAAGACCTCAGAAAAAATCCAGTGGTGTACTTAATTAAGTCATGCTGGGATGAAGGGAGTTTGGCCCCTCTGGCAGTCAGGCCTTATCACACTCTCCCTAAGAGAGGAGCTCTGAGTGAGCTGGAAAGACAGTACACATGCCTCTGAAGAGCCGGGCAGTGGTGGTCAGCACTGGTTAGGTCTGGGAGCAGTTGCTGCTGCCCAAGGACAGGGAGAGAGGTTCTGAAGGAAAATGGTATCTGGGTTCCAACTAGCAGGTGGGCTTGTGTGGGCAGAACAAAGCTAGGAAAAAAGGGGGTCTGGGGCCTGCCTATCAGGTGGAAGATAAAAGAAGGTGTGTGGAGATCAGTGTTTAGGACACGTCAATGCACTGAAATGCACTGACAACAGGGACTTCCAAGGGAGACAGGGAGGCGGAAAGGAAGGAGAGTAGGGAAGGGGAAGGAGACACAGAGGACGTGGACATAACCAAAGAGTCAGGGATGTGTTTCTATAACCCTTTCTCCAGCGGCTGCCACTCTAACCGCTCTACCTGGCGTACTCTGTAGACTGTGGCCTGCTGTGCTGTGTGAGTGGCCCCAGCTTCTCTCCACTGACCTAGCTCAGCCAGCCGAGCAGGTGGGCGGACAGTGCCCTCACAGCGCCGACTGAGGTCTAAACCGGATGACCCCTGAGATGAAGTCAAAGGCCTTGCTCACAACGCAACGGGGGGCTGAGACAGGGTTCATCTTACCTGTGCTGCTTTGAAAGAACCTTTTCCACTTTCCCTGTGAGCACACTCCAGATATACAGAGAGCCCTCAGCAGAGCCTGCCGCCACGTAACTGCCATCAGGGCTACAGAAGACAGTAAGAAAAGAAAGGTTGTCAATTCCCCACCCCCAATTCAGCATCTCTGTGGCCTTTTTCCCAAGAAGGAATGTTTGTTCTTCACTGATGACCACTCCTGTGTACCCAGACCTCAGAATGTGTGCTAGTCATGGCCCTTCCAGCCAAATCTGCTTTTCCCCAGTATTTCAGCCCCGTCCGGCTAATGAACAGTGGCATCACATTGCTTCTTGGGGCTCCAAGTCCTTAACCATCTACAGACTTCAACAAAACAACATATAGGGAGATCAAAGCCAACCTCCACATAGCTAAGGGTTTCAGCCCATGGACTGCCTTGTTACATGCCTCAAAGAGAGGAGGGAAGAAAAGAAACATCTTAGCAACTGAGCCTGGAAAGGTATTTGGAAGAAGCAGGATACATGGAAGAAGGGAACAAGGAGCAGAAAACTGCAGACCACCTGCACACCCTTCTCCAAAAAGCCTTTTCAGTCCCGCCCCAGGCCCACGGCCACTCCTGCCCTTTTCTAAAGGCTCTCCAACAGCTCTTGCGTGAATGAGTGATGAGAAGTGAACCTAATGGGCTCACCCACAACAAAGCAACCAGCCAACTGTTATTTTTTGGTACAACACGTTAGGTTCATGTAATCACAAAAGGAACACTGGAAAGGAAGAGACAATAATGGTGGCCTGCAATTATGAACTTACAGGCACACTCCTGGAAACATAGGTTGGGCACTGAACAAAATTTAGCTCTATATCCCCAGTGGGAAAATGCCCATGCAGGACTCTTTGTGATGAACCAAATTGGCGGGGGGTGGGTCACTACTAACCTGAAGACAACTCTGGTCCAGTCAGAGCCGCACTTGAACCCAGGTGCACTGAAACAAACAACAGGGCACTGTCACTGAGGGAGCTCAGGCCACGCAGCACGTTAAGAGAGCAGGGCTGGGCCTCTGGTCTTCATGCAACCAGCACATCTTCAGTTACCTGAATGTCTGCTTGATAGCATTTGTTCGGAGATCAATAACTTTTAGCAAGTCATCACGGGAGCAGCTCAGGAGCTCAGTCCTTTCTGGGTTTAAGTCCAGGGCAGTAATCTTTCCCAACAGCTCCATCTCTCGAACTATGCTCTCTGATCTAAGAGGGAGAACAGATCTGAGAAATGTAACGTAGGCCAGAACTACTTCACATCATGCCGTGGAGGAAAAAAAAGGCACTGCAATTCAACTAGCATGCAACGCTCTGCCAGCGCAGTCAATGTGTTCCCAGTCTTCTAATAACCTGTGACTGCTTTTCTTACTTTCCCATCAACAGACCCTAAGACAGTCATTCCCAGACTAGAACTCTGAAGTTGGTAAGAATTTCCTCATCCATTTTTGGAATGACAACAATCGCCCATCGGTTTCTGATCAGCATGAGCTAACTAGGGCTACTACCCAATTCGTATTATTTTCAGTGATGTGATTTCAACTTTTGGATAAAGTTGGCAAAGAAACCTGCATTAGTGGGCCTGGGCTGCCTTGTAAGTGTAACTCTAGCCTCTTGCAGGTTTTCTGCCCTATTCACTGTGGCTCTGTGGCCCTCCACCTCCAGATATGGGGCCAGGAAAGCCAGGGCAGAGCCACGGCCCTACGCACCTCCCTCTTCTTCTCTGTGCTGTGGCCCATGTCCAGGGTGGCTAACAGCCACCCTGGGCAGGGCCCTGTTGGTGACATTCATAGCCAAAGGGGGTGCTGACCTGTTCTGTGATGATTTTGTTGTAGGCTTTCAATGAAACCTTTTCCTACCTCCCACCTTAACTAAGCAAGAATTTATCTTATTGTTGCTAAATATGCAGCTTGAAGCAAGCTACTCCACTTCCTTGGGACTCAGGGTCTTCACCTGTCAAATTATGGGATGGACTAAGAGACTTCGAACATCCAACTTAACTCTCAAATTCCATCTTTCAAGTTCCAATTTCAGGTTTTAAAAGCAAACTAAAGATTATGAATAAAATGTGAAGTGGTGTCCAGGAACCATGAGCATTGTCAGGACTTTCTGGTGCCATGCTGTGTTTCAAAGCATCATCTATCACCACAGGCCCTGTACCCCCACCCTCTCTACAACCCTGCTGGGAGGCTGTCCTCATTTACTCTCCATCCTGTCTTCCCCTTCCTCCAACCTGTCAATAAGCCCTGTCCAAATTCTCCTTCAAATAGATTCTCTCCTCCACATGTTCCTCTACTGACTTGAACTTAGGTCCTTATCAACTCTATTGGTTTCCTATTCCCTAATATGCCCTCTCAAAATGCCACCAAAGTCGTCTACTAGACTCCTGCAAAGCAACCATTTCCTTGCTAAACACCCAACGACTTACAAGATCGAGTGATTTGACAATGGCTTATCAAGCCTGTGGCAACCTGATTTCAACCCCTCATAGCCCCCTCACTGGCTTCTGCCCTGTTTCCTGCTCACTTGCCATGTATCAGCCACCAGACACACACTCAAAAGTTTGAGTGGCTTTCCTGCCGTGTGAATCCTACTCACGTCTCCGGAGAAATCTGGAGAGGCATTCTTTAACACACTGGAACAAACGTAGCTGCCTCCACTTCAACACACTAGTCACTGACTTTTGCGTTCTGCCTTCCCTACTACAGTTTAAATTACCTAAAGGTAGAAAGAGTATCCTGTTTGCCTTTTCTTACCTGCCAGCTGGTGAAGGGCCTAGCACTCACTGCATGCTCAATAAATGATTGCTAAGCTCCACAGTCTACTTCATGGGAAAGAACAGCCAAGTGTTAATAAGCTAACACTATACGTGTACCGAAACTCATTTCTGCCATGTCCTGAGATCTTAAAAGCACAACCCATGTACAGAACCATTACTGTGGAGACTCTTATGTGCCTCCAGTCAGGAGCTTGGGTATCATACCGAATGTCCCAGAAACGAATTTTCTTGTCAAAATGTCCACTCATTACACATTGCTCTGTGCAGACAATATCATTGCAACTGGATCCTGCAAACACTGTCTTTATGCCTGAAAGAAATGCAAACATCATTAATCAAGCAGAGGCACCAACGTGGCTGTTTACATAATGCTGCCACCCTCTAACCACTGACTTGTCAGAGTTACTCACTTAAATGAAGCTTTAAACAAGAAAAACTATCACTATCCTCAGTGCCCCTCTAAACATGAAGCCAGATCTGAAATTCAAACTATATTACATAAATGCAGGCTCTGACGTGCAAACACACACCTCCACGCTAACATCTAAGCATATACACAGACAGAGAGACTGAATTTCCTCACAGACTTTGCTGCGTAGATCCCAGAGTTTGAGAGTCCGGTCGTGACTTCCTGAGACAATCCGCGCATTGTCCAGCAGGAACTTAGCAGACAGCACTTTCCCACTGTGTCCCGTGAGTGTGTGCTAGGAGAGAGAACACAGCCAGGGTGAGCCTCAGGGCGCCAGGCCCTGCCTATGCTGGCAAAGTATCCACAGCATCCTTACCTCCAGAGTCAGAGTGTCAGACCACCCTGAGATCCGGCCAGGAACACTCAAAGCGATAAGACAGCAAAGGAAAAAGAAACAGGTCAGGCACAGTGACTCACGCCTGCAATCCCAGCACACTGGGAGGCCAAGGTGTGAGGACTGCTTGAGCCCAGGAGTTCAAGAACAGCTTGGGCAACACAGTGAAACCCCCATCTCTACAAAAAAATTTTTTTAAAAATTTGCAGGGAGTGGTGGCATGCGCCTGGGGTCCCAGCTACTTGGGAAGCTGAGGCAAGAGGATTGCTTGAGCCTGGGAGGTTGAGGTTGCAGTGAACTATGATAGTGCCATTGTACTCCACCTGAGTGATAGCAAGATCCTGTCACACACACACACACACACACACACACACACATCCCAAACAGGACAAGAAGCAACAATTTCATTCACTGAGTCTTATCCAGGGGCCATGTATCTCATAGGAAGCCTATCTTTGAGTGTTGGCCAAAGGTGAGGTATCAAGACCAAAAGGATAAAACTCCCACTAAAAATAACATTAAAAACAAAAATTCAACATCACTAGCACCAAGCTTCACGTGCTCCCCATCCTCAATCTTGAATTTGAAATCAGCTCTACCACAGATACCTGCTGTACTGTTTTTGTAATTTTTCTATGTCTGAATTATATCAAATTAAAGAATTTTTAAAGCCTCGATGTTGCGCCATGCTGCTGAAAGTCAGTTCCATATTTAAAGTCAGACTAGACAAGGTCACCACAGGCATAATTTACAAAAGGAAACATCAGGACTCCTTATGTAAACAATTAAAACCCCTGGGGGATTTTCAATCAGAGGTCTCAGCTTGAACAAGGCAGATCATAGCCACAGATACCAGCACTCCCAACAATCAAATCCCTTTGTGACTAAGCTGTTGGATGCCAACCAGTGTCTTCCCTGAGCTCACGGAGGAACACAGAATGAGGGACATCACGGAGTGTCAGCTGCCCTTCTGCCCATCGCAGCACTTCTGAAGTGCGATGGAGGAGAGGCAGCTGGGGATAACTGGGATGCCGGGAGGGGATCTGAGGACTCAGACCTTTTACCATTCATCATTGACCTCTATGCAGTGCATGATCAACATTTTTCTATGTGTAAAACACCAGAGGTTCAGAAGGTATTCACTGATGTTTTCTTTCTAATTAGAAAATGCAAGGGTTGGCAAAGTGGCTCACACTGGTAATCCTAGCACTTTGGGAAGCCAAGGTGGGAGGATTGCTTGAGCCCAGGAGTTTGAGACCAGCCTGGGGAAATTAGTGAGACCCTCATCTCTACAAAAAAATTCGAATTAGCTGGGTGTGGTGGGTACTTATAGTCTCAGCTGTTACAGGGGAGGCTGAGGTGAGAGGACTGCTTGAGCCCAGAAGGTCGAGGCTGCAAGGAGCCCAGATCATGCCACTGCACTCCAAACCTTAGTTCCCAAAGATGAGACCTCATGGTTCAGGGTTAGATTTTTTTTGTGTTAACATTTTTGAAACCAATCCTTCCTCTATTTTCAGTGGGGTTAACTCCACTTTAGCACAGAAGCGAAAACTTCGGACCACATATACTCCCCTCTCAGCTTCAATGAGGGAAGCTTGTATGAGTTCTCAGACTGCCTTATCCCACATTCAAACCTCTGAAACTGGGACAGCATCTTACAACTGCTGCCAGTCGGGTGCCGGCTGTGCTGCGGTTGTGTGAAAACCTCCCACTGATCCTTCCGTAAGATCAAGAAAGCTCCAGTAACAAAGCCTACACTAGATACAGTCCATGAATAATGATTCCATTCAATATAAAACATCCACTCTGCACAAATCATGGGCAGAGACAAAACTTGGGTAGGCTACTTCTTAAATTCTATCTTTTTTTCTTTTTTGAGACAGAGTTTCACTCTTGTCACCCAAGCTGGAGTGCAGTGGCGTGATCTCAGCTCACTGCAACCTCCGCCTCCCAGGTTTAAGTGATTCTCCTGCCTCAGCCTCCTGAGTAGCTGGGACTATAGGCGTGTGCCACCACATCCAGCTAATTTTTGTATTTTTAGTAGAGACGGGGTTTTACCATGTTGGCCAGGCTAGTCTTGAATTCCTGACTTCAAGTGATCCGCCTGCCTCGGCTTCCCAAAGTGCTAAGATTACAGGCATGAACCACTGTGCCCGGCCTTACATTAAATTCTGAATAACTATTTTATCAAAATTTCAAATTTGTATTTATATTCACTATCTGTTTCTTTCTTAATGTTAAGAGTAAAATCACATTTCACAAACACAGGGTAGAAAAAGACATTGTTCATAAGTGGGATATGGCAAGTACAGATGATCCTCAACTTATGATGGGGCCAGTCTTGACAAACACATTGTAAGATGAAAATACCCTACATTGGGGACCATCTGTATATTCATTTTTACATACTTCACAGGAACATGTTAATCTTTACACAATTATACTCTTCCTAAAAATTTATCCATTACTCTTTTAAGCTTATAGCGTAAGCATTTTTTCATGTGATAGCTGAAAATTCATGGGCTTTGGGGTTCCACTGATTTGAACACCCTGGGTCTCTGTAACATCTGTGAACAGGAAACATCCTTGTGCTATCTTAGTACGGACTCAGCAAGATGAATGGGATCAAATCTCTTCCTTGTTGCACCTCCCTTTCTTTAAGAGTCTGTCACAGATGCTGTTGCAGTGAACATCTATGAGCACACAGCTTTCTTCTCTTGACTTATTTCCAGGAATGAAACTGCTGAACTAATGGAATAAGGGAAAGGGACGTTTTGTTTCTTGGCTCCTCGTACGTATTGTCACCTTGCTCTTTACAATGTTTGGGCTTGGCCAGGCGCGGTGGCTCATGCCTGTAATCCCAGCACTTTGGGAGGCCGAGGTGAGCGGATCACAAGGTCAGGAGATCGAGACCATCCTGGCTAACACGGTGAAATCTCGTCTCTACTAAAAATACAAAAACTTAGCTGGACGTGGTGGCGGGCGCCTGTAGTCCCAGCTACTCGGGAGGCTGAGGCAGGAGAATGGTGTGAACCCAGGAGGCAGAGCTTGCAGCGAGCAGAGATCACGCCACTGCACTCCAGCCTGGGTGACTGAGCGAGACACTGTCTCAAAAAAAAAAAAAAAAAAAAAAGTTTGGGCTTCTGCTCACCTTATTCTCAGTGAGAATAAGCTGGAGCTGCCTGAGGCTGACTCACTGTCTCGGTGCTTCCAATGGTATAGAGCTGGGCCTCCTACAGGCATTCATTCACCTCTATCATTTATAGAGTCCTTTGAAATGGATCAGATTTAAAATTCTTCTATCTGTTAGGTGTTTCTGAAATTCATTTTTATGATTAACAACACTTTTAGGTTTCATCTTCTACTTTTAAACAGGGATTAACAATAGCGGGGCAGCGGGTTTAGATGTCATCAAGGCCGGGGCCTCAAAGTGGGGAGGCTTCAAGATTTCTCTGCTCCACTGGGCTCTGCACAGACTATCTCTGTGCCTCATGGCAGATAACGAGTGCCGACCCCTATTTCTAAACACAAAATTGCTCATTCAGGTAACAACTTAATCATGCAGCTAACATAACACCAACCAAAGACAGCCGATTCCAGAAGAATGCAGAACTCAAAGAGGAACATTCCAAACAGAAACCATCACCTAGCAGCCATAGCCAATCCTCACTGTGGCCACTTCACCACACCACGAGAGAAGTGGGCAGGGGGGTTCTCAAGCAAGTTTCTCAAGTCAAATCTTACCAAGCAGCCAGGCAGTTTTGTACTGACTTTAGATTTTTAACGGAGGCATCACAGAGGACTCCTTTCAATGCCAGGTTGTTTCTAGGGTGCATTTACAAAAAGGATGTTAAAGCAAGCACTCAACCAGCTGCTTCTTGTTTGCCAGTCTCTCCCAACACCATTCCCTTGTCGTAAGAGCAAAGGAGACACCGAACAGGGCATGGATGTCTGTGAGTTTCACAACATAGATGAATGGATTCCTGTCCTCCAGTACCATCTGTTAACTGGGGTCTAAAAAAAAGCCAGCACTCCCTAGAATAAGGAGCCTATTTTACTTTCTGGAACCTGGTAAGGTTTTCGGGAGACTTCTCTGGGTGCAGGGAATCTGCTGAAACAGGCCTCCCAATCTTCACACATTTACCAAGTAACAGGACAAGGTTATGAGCAGGCCAGAAACTCAAAAGCCAACTAGTCCAGCACAGGAGGCTCCTGCCCCAGCACGGCATCATCAGAAGCAGCAGCCCAGCAGCCTGCGCCCTGCTCCAGCATACTGAGAACATTTCCCCAGTGAGACCTGTGTGCCAGCTCAATGTTATGACCTTCATCTGTCAGTCTAGCTCCCTGCTCTAGGTCCCCTTCTTGTTATTTCTGACCCAAAGGCTGATGCCCACCTGTATAGGACTCCTCTATTACCAATTAAAAAATATCCTGCACTACTGGTTGACTCAACTTCTTCCTCTTCTCCTCTAAGGGACTATCATAAAAAAAAGGCTGTAGGCCCCTCTTCAATAATTGGTCAGTTTTACTGTATCTCAGTCTAGAATAAAAGATCAATGGATAGATAAATCACAGTATACCACAGGATGGATTAGAACGTAGCCATGAGTACCGGCTAGGCCATCTTTTCCATGTGTACAGTACAGAACTACAGGGCTTCAAATGACCCTATTCAAGCATCTGAATTGGTGTGCCCCATGGCAGGCTCTCTAGCAGTGCACTTCCCTAGTCCGTCATTAAGACAAGAACATAGGCTCCTCAGCTCTCACAACATGTCCTTGTCATCGTCAGGGCTCGTTATTTTGCATGTTCGGACCTGGATCTTCTTTAAATTGTGAATTAAGAATGACCACCCCTGAGGTATTGGCTAGCATCTAATACTAATAATCTATACAACCCTCTCAAGAAAATCACCAGAAACCCACCTAATATACCATTCTACTACAGCTCCTCCACCTCCCTTGTAGATTTAAGAAATTCATCTGGGCCAGGCGTGGTGGTGCATGCCTGTAATCCCAGCACTTTGGGAGGCCGAGGCAGACGGATCACTTGAGGTCAGGAGTTCGAGACCAGCCTAGCCAACATGGGGAAACCCCGTCTCTACTAAAAAAATACAAAAATTGGGCTAGGCGCAGTGGCTCAGGCCTGTAATCCCAACACTTTGGGAGGCTGAGGCAGGTGGATCACGAGGTCAGGAGATCGAGAACGTCCTGGTTAACATGGTGAAACCCCATCTCCATTAAAAATACAAAAAAATTAGCCAGGTGTGGTGGCACGTGCCTGTAGTCCCACCTACTCAGGAGGCTGAGGCAGGAGACTGGCGTGAACCTGGCAGGTGGAGCTTGCAGTGAACCGAGATCATGCCACTGCACTCTAGCCTGGGCGACAGAGCAAGACTCCATCTCAAAATAATAAATAAATTTAAAAAACGAAACAAAAATTAGCCGGGCGTGGTGGAGGATGCATGTAATCCCAGCTGCTTGGGAGGCTGAGGAAGGAGATCACTTGAACCTGGGAGGCAGAGGTTGCAGTGAGCCGAGATCACGTCATTGCACTCCAGCCTGGGCAACAGGCTCCATCTCAGAAAAAAAAAAAAGAAAAAAGAAATTTAGGCTGGGCACGGTGGCTCACGCCTGTAATCCCAGCACTTTGGGAGGCCGAGGTGGGTGGATCATGAGGTCAGTTCAAGACCAGCCTGTCCAAGATGGTGAAACCCCATCTCTACTAAAAAAAAATACAAAAATTAGCTGGGCGTGGTGGCGGGCGCCTGTAATCCCAGCTACTCGGGAGGCTGAGGCAGGAGAATTGCTTGAACCCAGGAGGCAGAGTTTGCAGTGAGCCAAGATTGCGCCATTGCACTCTAGCCTGGATGACAGAGCAAGACTCTGCCTTCAAAAAACAAAAAAAGAAATGTATCTTGCTGGGCACAGTGGCTCACGCCTGTAATCCCAGCACTTTGGGAGGCCAAGGTGGGCAGATCCCTTGAGGTCAGAAGTTCAAGACCAGCCTGGCCAACATGGTGAAACCCCATCTCTACTAAAAATATAAAAATTAGCCATGCCTGTAATCCTAGCTACTCAGGAGGCTGAGGCAGGAGAATTGCTTGAACCCAGAAGGCGGAGGTTGCAGTGAGCTGAGATCACACTACTGTACCCCACACAAGAGCAAAACTCCATCTCAAAAGAAAAAAAAAAAGAAAAAAAATTCATCTTAACATTACTTCCTCTGTTTTTGGTGTGGGTTGACACACACAAACGGCTTGTGTTAACTTTTTAAAAAAAAATTTTTTTTTTTTTTAGTAAAATGCCTACTAATGCCAAATTCATCCTCCATTATATCTTTCAATAGCTTGTATTTAATAAGCTTATGTGATGATTCCTTCAGGCTTATGGGGAAAAAAAATGTCTGCAAATTAAGTTACATGCTTCGCCCTCCGCCCCCTGCCCCAATCAAAAATGATACAACCAAGTTTTGGTCTCTCTGTCAGATGCCAAGAGAATTCTTGGCAAGTTTTGGTTCAAATGCAGCTTTCCTCAACATCCAATCATTTCTCCCTGCTCTGACACCTGTCCCCTCTTTCTCAGCTTGGAGTTTTTGTTTCAGAATTGTCTTATCCCTATGATACATCCATTTGTACTTCTATATCCCACTTTAGGTAATTAGGTTTTAGAGCCCACAGGAATCACAATTCACATGCTGTTGCTAAGTTCTGTGCCATTAAGCCAAAATTGCTATCTACCAAAGTATTTAGTCCTTATGAAGAGTATTCCAAGGTTTTCATGCAAATGTGAGGGTCCCATTGCAAATATTTTGAAACTGAGTTTTGGACAAAGAGTATAAAGTGGAAACACAGATTTCCCCAAGGAGGAAAGGAAGGGCAGGGTGAATCAAGCATGATTTTTGGGAAAACAAAGTCCCCTAATTAAGCACCTGCCAGTTTGTGCCTTGATAACACCACATGAAGTTTGGAGATTGCACTAACTTTCTTAACTGGGTCTTACCCGTAATCGATAATCATCCACAGTCCAGATTCGGCTTGCAAAATCATTTGAAGCTGCTAAGAGGTAAGATCCCTGTGGGAATAAAGAAGAGGAAAACCAATTTTTAGCCAAATCAGAGGAATTCAGTTCACACGATATAAATTCCCCAATAATCAAGTACAAGAAGGTTTAGATGCTTCACCCTATACAACCAGCCTGAATACCAGCTACTGTCGTGAGTGTGCTTCAACTCGCCAGTCTCCTTCGAGTTCAGACCTTTTTTTTTCTGAGCTTGCTCAATTTCATCAGAATATTGCAGACACCTCAAGCTCCAAATGGAACCCAGCCTTCCCTACTCACTTTTCCCTTGGCAACCTTCACTAGCAGCAAATATTAACAAGTCAGAAACCTCAGAGGCACCCTTGACTCTCTCCTTGCCTAATCTCCCAACTCTCACTCTGAGAACTGTTCATCTTCAATGTGTCGAGCCTGGTCCTCTCCTTTCTCCCCTATTTCCTCAGCCCCCACCTGGGCCTTCTGCATCTCTGCAGAAGCACTGAACGCACGGGCCACTGCAGACCTGCTTCCTCCAAGCCAGTCTTCAGCACTGTCACAGTTCCACCACAACTTAACACCATACCCATTTCTAAAAATCTCTCAAGTCTCCACATGGCTTTACAAAAGTCTAAACCTTTCAATACAACATACCCTCATTTTCCAACCTTATTTCCTTATCATTCCCCAATTAAATTCAAGGAGTGGTTATTTAGAACCTAATAGGCACTGTGCCAGGTGCTGGGGGTACAAAGATGATTAACGCCCAGACACTTGTCCTCAGGTAGTCAGCTCTCAGCTTAGTAAAAGAAACAGATATAGACCACCACCGTGCCATAGAATAGGTTTGCACAAGATGCTGGGAACATAGACACTCAGCCCACCCAGGAATGTGAACAAGGCTCCCCAGAGATGACAATCAAGATAAGGACTCTTGGTAGATGAGGACGCTACCTTGGCCTCACCCAGTCATCACCTCCACCCAAGCTCCTGCACTCGCCCAGCCCAACCTCCTCTGCTCCCTCTGCCTGTGGTGTCCGTCCCTGGCTTTTTGCCTCTGACCTTTGATTATCTTTAGATCTGCTTTAAATGCCTTACTATGGCCCCTAACCCTTGCCCCAGAATGAGCTACTCTCTCATCAGTATTTCCTTTCTACTCCACACACATCTCAGCCATAACTCAGCACAACGCTTTGCAGTTTAATGCTTTCCCATCACTCTCATTTAGATGGCGAATCTCGGAGGGTAGAGACCACGCTGGCCCCTGGAGTACAGCATCTATACACTCAAAATACAACTATTAAGTGAAATTATACAAAGTACTGAGTAACATCACAAGCCTAATGCATGAAGCAGAACCCAAGGGTTTATCAGAGTTGATACAGCAATTAACCCTATAATCTATTTCCATCTTTCTTTAACATGGATTTGGCTTAAGATACAGAGAATGGCAGAGAAATCGGGTAAGTTATGTTATAATTTCAAGAACCTAATGTCTTAAATTATTTCTAAAAACCTTTAAAATCATAGCTATTCAATACTTACAGCACTATCAAATTCAATGCTTGTAATTCCTGCATTACTGCCAGATAGGGAACCCTTGAACTCACATTTTTCTGTATAAAAAGAAAAAATTAGGATGATGGGAAGTTAAATAAAGCCAATAAATACATTAAAACAGGGCACTGAAATACAATGGAAGCCAATTACACTGCTAAAACAATAGCTATCCTGTACCTTTACAGAATCAAACAAAATAGCAGGACAAAGAGAACATGAGAGATAAAAGATACTGCTAGTTTCTAAGAGGAATGCAAGTCTAAGTGGACACTGACCCCAGCATCTTGGATGTGTGTTCTGTTCTTTAAGAAATGTAGTTATTCATTCTCTTTAGAAAAACAAAGTGTAGGAATTTATAAACCATGTCAATCAAACTAGAGACTGGGTTTATTCAGTTCCACTATTTCTCAGTACATTTTAAAAACTTACATACATAAATATTTGGGTTGATCAGCATTTGTGCCAACTTAACTACCACTTTTGTAGAAACTGGCAGTCAATTTCTGGACCCATGGTGTGGTAATTTTCATTAAGGTGTGAAAAGAAATTGTGTTAGTTACATTTAAATGACTACTCATATAGAATACCAGTCAAGCTAGTTTGGAGTTTCTGGAATTTGCCCTCATACTTTATCTCCATGAATCTAAGATCCTGGCAAGCGAACTAAGTGCCAGCACCTCCCATCCCTCTACACAGCTCTCCCTCACCAACAGAGCCACTGTCCACTTTATCTACTCTGCTTCCAGACAGCCTGGCCACCCACACGGAAATTTCAGTAACGGGCAATCCCAAACTGAGAAGAGCAAAAATCTCAATGATTTGATTAAATTCCTTTTAAAAGGGTAACTTAAGGATGATCCACACAGATAAGCTAGAAATTAAGGAACCATTGTAATCATATTTGTAAAAGAGGAACACAGAACAGAAAACATTTCAACACATTTTTATCTTATTCAGTACTTCTAAGTAGTAAAAATAATGATTGGAGCCAGATATCAAGGTGACACGAATACTGGTTTGAAGCTGTCATGTACATTCAGGCCACAGACTGTTAACCTGGTTGATGAACCTCTCCTCTGAACTCACTTGCAAAATACAGCATATTTAATGGCTTTTTCTGGATCCTAGCTTTCTTAAGATTTTCAAAAGGGTTGAAAAAGGCTAATATTCGCTAAGATTTTCCTTTAGATGAAATCTTCACAGATAAAAATATTACTGCAAATTCTAAGAAATATCTCTTTGGCTTATGCTTAAAATACTGGTCTATTTGCTTGGCACTTAACACAGTGCCGAAATGTAGGAAGTGACCAAAAAATTAATGCTATTCAATATGAGAGATTGATCTCAAAAGAACAAAGACCGTATTAAAACTCTTAATTATCTACAAGATACGGGGTTGGGGGCGGGGGGTGCTATGTCAACAGCATTTGTATAATTCCCAGTGGAACTTCTGCTTTGGAGAAAATGAGCAAAAACAGATGTTCCCACTGGGTAGAAAGTGTGATTCTTCTGATAATCTAAAAGGATGAAAAAACAGGACCCCCAAACTATTTCAGAAAAGGTCTCTTGAACTTGGCCTCTTCCAAGATTCAGTAAATAAATATTTGCCAAGACGAAAAATCTTGTAGACTGAAACAGCTGTTTGTAGAAGAAAGGCCCTACACAAAACTGTAAGAAATGCCGCCACACATTCTGCTATTTCTGTAGATTAGGTAGAAACTTGATTTTATTAACACAAATTATGTGCTGGCACAGATTATGTCAGTATTAACTTCAACTGATGTTCGTTTCTTTTCAGCCGCAAAAAGGTTACTAGAATTAAAGGTTGGTACCTCTAATTTTCTTATAGGTGTTTTTACTGACCAAGGAGTAAAACGAAAATATTTCTAGTGTTATTTTTATTTAAATCTCAATGGCATACTCAAAACAGACTGTTTACTTTGATTTTGCAAATCAAATTCCCTAAAATTTCCTTTTTTAAAAGACACAGGGTCTTGCTCTGCTGCCCATGCTGGAGTGCAGTGATGCGATCAGAGCTCACAGCAGCCTCTCACTCCTGGGCTCAATTGATCTTCCCACTTCAGCTTCCCAGGAAGCTGGGACTGCAAGTGCATGCCAACACACCCAGCTACTTTTTAATATTTTTTTTGTAGAGGCAGGGTCTCATTTTGTTGCCCAGGCTGGTCTTGAACTCCTGGCCTCAAGCAATCCTCTTGCCCCAGCCTCACAAAGTGAAAATTTCTTATGATTTGTTTTTATTATTGTTTTCTAATTGCTTCAGCCATTATCATTCATAAGCTAAATGTTTCTGGGCAAAATAGTAAATTTTAGTATGCTTCAATGGGCTCTAACTGCTGAGTCCCTTTCCTGAAAATCAAAGGCCGGGGCAGATAGGAGGGGTGCTTTACTAATAACCTATTCTAATAAGTTGCTCCTGCTCTGATAAACCTTAAAAGCAGTACCCCTAAGATTTTTCAGTTGCTAGAGAAGGCTACAGTAAGAGCATGGAATTTCAGGTCTTCTGGCCTGCATTAGTCCTAGTTCCACCACTCCCTCACCACAGAAATCATTCACTAGCCATGTAAATCACGTAGTATCTGAGTTTTATTCCCTTTATCTGTGAAATGGCGCAATCTCTACCATTCTAACCACACAGGGCTGTTGTGATGATCAGGGGAATTAACAGACAAAATCACTTTGGAGCTATTTATTGCTCGACAGGGATAATGTGTGTGTCGCAGCTACAGACACTTGGCAAAGTGGTTCCCGTTAAAAACCTTAAGCCTTATTCTTCGGCCTTACTTTAGTAAAAATACACGCATATTTAACTGAATCTCGAAAACGTCAAAACTGGGAAATGCCCGGCTTCAGACTTCTAAGAGATGGTTTCATTAACTTCCATTTTCTGTTTTAATGCCATCCATCTCTGAGCATCCTAAAAGTCCAAAGAGACTGAGTCTTGATCTAAGGGCCCTCGTCTGATACACTGTTAAATACATCTTTTCTAGGTAGTACGCCTCTGTTTCCTCAAGCTTAGACATGACTCCAGTCATTTTTTCCCTAGGCTATTGCAATTGTCATTAAATGCATCAACCACAGCTTAATGTATAGTTTAATTGTAGAATCCATGATCATAAGACTTATTTTCCTCATAAAAACGGTACTATTTTGCAAGATGCTCTGATTGGTATATACTTGAGAAAAACTACAGAAACCTTACTAACATAAACATATCCATAACTTAACAGTATTTTCTGATCACTACTTAGAAAATGAGAGCAAACATCCACTCGGAAGTAAAGAATAACTGAGATGTATGATGCTTTGGTCAAACGATCCCTTACATAAAATGTATGTTTTGAGAAAATGAACAATTCACAGTGCCTGAAAGCAAGGTCAACCAGATGCCAGCAACACAGCTTCTTTCTGCAGTGCAAGGGTGCATCATCTCAAGTTTTCAGTCTGAGAACATGCAGCAGGCTCTCACCTCCAAATACTTCCCAAAGCTTAACCCTGCGGTCCATGCCTCCAGTGGCCAGTAACCGGGAACCTGGACTGAACTGCACAGCGTTGACTTCCCCATCATGTGCATCCTGCAAGACAAGCACCCTGTGTCAAACCCAGTCATTCTCATCCCAAGAGCTCAAGATGCGCGAACACTCCAAATGCCTAATTCATGGGGAAACACTCATCCTTAAAGACAGGTGGAGCCAATCATAAACTAAACTGGACTCCTAGCCCAGGTCAACTAAGATTCTATTATCATTTTATTCTTCTAGTTACAGTTGCATTAGAGTGCAGTGCAACCTTCTCAAAAAGTACTCAAAATCTGTGTAGACTGCTTAAAGTTGGTCCTTGCATTAATTTCATCTGTTCTAACAATAATGGCCTATATTTATCTTAATAGTTTAAAAGTAAACCTAGAATTAATTTTGGTCCAGACTGAGTTAATACTACTTATTGATCTACTAGTAATTACTAATTTACTAATAATATTAAATACTACATATTTAAATAATGTATAGCACATGGCCTCTCATAATACAGCTTTCGCAATGAGTCCTAATATAAGTAGATGGCAAAAACATCAATCTGTGTTATAATGGAATTCTATGTAGTTCTTTCTGGAAACATTATGGGACTAGTGTGTACTGGCAGTGTGACCTCTGCCAAGTTTCTGAAATCTCAGTTTGCTCAGCTCCAGAAAGGTTTTTGCAACCCAGAATGGTGCCTGTTAATGCATAAGCCTTAGATAAAAATGACAGTCGTTATTTTAAGAGAATTTATATTCTTCACAGGGAAATTTCTAATACTGGCATAAACACTGGCAAAAGATGGTACTTATGTTCAGGATAAGAAAGAAAACCAAGTAAAAAAGCATCCTGGCTGGGTGCAGTGGCACACATCTGTGATCCCAGCACTTCGGGAGACCGAGGTGGGCAGATCGCATGAGCTCAGGAGTTCAAGACCAGCCTGGGCAACGTGGCGAAACCTCGTCTCTTAAAAACTAAAAAACAAAAATTAGCCAGGTGTGGTAGCGCATACCTATTGTTCCAGCTACTCAAGAGGCTGAGGTGGGAGGATTGCTTCAGCCCAAGGTTGAGACTGCACTGAGCTGAGATTGTGCTACTGTACTCCCGCCTGGATAACAGAGTGAGACTCAGCATCCCATTCTAGAATGGGAAAAGGGAATAATCGAAAAATTCACTATACTCTCTTAAGAAGATTATGGGCAGTAAAATATTTTTGGATGAAATATAATGCCTAGAATTGGCTTCAAATTGCTCCAGCATAAGTGTGGGGGGGAAGAGATACTGCGTATGTTTGGAAATTTCTATAATAGAGAAGGAAAAGAAAGACTAGAAAACATAGACTATCAATATGAGATTGTTAAGTAGATAATCACTTGTCTAAAAGGTCACTTGGGGAAGAGAATATGTGATATTTACATTTGCTTGGGACTAAAAAAAAATAAAATGCTTGAAGTATCACGGAGGGAGTGACTATTAACAGGCTGGGCAACAGGCATCACTTTGGTAACTTCATTTTCCACTTTGCCTCCCTCTTGTGACCCACTGCTGAAAAGTATGACAGGTGACCAAACCTTTTACCCCCATGAAATTTCCTTTTCTTTTTTATGGTTTCTTTCTCCTTAGGAGGTCTCAGATTGAAAACTTGAGATCATGCACCATCACACCCATGACTGCCACTCGTCAGTCTCCTGTGTAACTGGTTTTGTTGGATACTCGTCAGCTGTGAGCCGATCACTCTCAGAAACACACACTGACAGAATCCCAAATTATCAGCTGCTCCATGATCCCATACACATGACTTAAATGTGACGGGAGGGAAAAAATGGGCTGCTGGGAGTTGAGGGCAACAAAGGGACCGTGACATTCAGTGCAATCAGACCTTTTACCAATCATCATCGACCTCTGCAGGTGCCCGGTGCATCATGGAATCACAGGAGTGGAGTGGGACTGGGAAGGGGCGTTGATGCGCCCCATCCCAACTCCTCCTCCAAAGCGGAACTCTCTTTACAACAGTCAAGGCAGTTCATCACTCAGCCAGTCCACTGTGTAACTAGCTAAGTCCCTCCTTATACCTGGAACCCAAAGCTCCCACCATATAAATTCCATCCCATTTTTACGGCAAAATCTTCCCTGCTTTGAAAGCTGGCTCCTTTCACTTACCCGCTGCCAGTTATTAGGCCAGTACTGGAGTCAGTCCAACTCTCCAGGTTCTGTTCTTTGTGCTCTGTTTCCTACCCTCCTCATGCTTTGACAGTTCTGAGCCAGGTACTGAATGTTTCCCCAGGCTGGTTCAATTTCTGCTCAACTACCCCAGCTGGGATGCAAACTACCTGCTAGTACTAGGACCCAGCTCTGAACTCCGGGTGACAGCCCTGGTATCCATCACCGTGGCTTCTGCCCAGGACTGCTTCCAGTCATAGACCCCTAATGGCTGGGAGTCATACAGATAGGGATATAATTCATGAAACCAACAGCTGTCCTACTGAACTTCCATAATACACCACTGACTGGCAACTCACTCTAAACTGGAGCCAATTGGTGACAATAATTATATAAATCCCTCTCCCATTTTTCACAATCCCTAATTACTTTTCCTTTGCCCCATCCCTCATGCTAGCAATCCTTTCTCAGTCAGCTCTGCCATTACAGAGGATGGTTGTAACAAATTTTGTCCTCTGAAACTAAGCAAAATATATCAATTTCTCACAGCTGACAGAGCCAAAAGGTGGAAAGGCTTGATATAAGTAAAACAATGGAATGCTTAGCTGCAGGCCTAGAAAGGACCCTTTAATTGCCAGGCTCTGTCACCATATCAAGCGTGGTAGGGTTCGGGGCTGAAGCATACTTACGAAGACACACAAGGCAGTAGCTGGTACCCTCACTTCTTTACCAGAACCAGGATGAGTATCCACATTGTCCTGGGGGACTGGGAAGGAAGAGACAGAGCGTCTCCTAAGAAATAACATAAAGACAAATATTAGACAGGATTGCAGAGGTTTACTGCTCATCAAATTGTTAGAAAGGACTCCAAGACGACCTTGCTTAAGCAGACTGCCTCTGTTGATAGCCTGTCCTTCTAGATTCTTCAAACTACAGAACAATTCACAAAAAAATCAAAAGCACCCTCACTCAAATGAGAAAGAGAGCCAGCACATGCCTTACTCTCCTGCACACTAACCTGTGGACTCCAAAACCCAACAATGAAAAGCAATCCTGAACAACTGCTTACCCAGTCAATAAGCTGCTGGGAAACTTTCTCAACTTAATGTAACAGCTAGCTCAGAGGTAGCTCTTTGGTCTTTTTTGCAAAACTATTTTATTTCTATGCCTAGTTAGAATCAACCTCATCACTTGTGATCAATGTGGAGTCTAACGCATGCCAAAAGAAAGCAACAAGAGCATGAGTACTGTACAAAGTGTTCAACCTGGCAGCCCTGCTCTGAGGGCTCCCGGCATTCCTAGGAACATGCAAAGCATCCTCGTTAGCACGTGAACATCTGATGACTGAGGGCAGTGAAGCGGTGATTGGCATAATTGTTAAGGACCCACACTCACATGCTGGACTAAGAGAGGATAATAGTTTCACCTGGCAGCATCAGAAGAAGAATGATGTCCCAAAAGGGGAGACTCGGACAGACTAAAGGGAAAGGCCAGAGATCAGCACGCAGCGAGATTAAGAGGAAAGGAAGTTGAGGAAAAAAGGAAGAAGCTAAATGAAAAGCTGATATTAAGGCATATGTATACTCTGCATCACTGACACCTGGTGTACATTTAAAGAATAAAAATAAGTCATGTACATATACTTAGGTATACTTATACACATTTAAAAAGGAAAGGTCTTCTAACCTACCCAAAGATATTAGTGATAGAATCCAGAAGGCCTCCAGCAGGCTGCGAGAGTCGCTTACTAAAGAGGAGGGGAGGATAGGTTTAAACCTTAGAAACATTTTGCCCAAATAATCAATCAATAAACAGCCCACAAAAACAGGTAACTGGGAATATGTTTCCCACTTAGTTCCCAAACCCCAGCCAAGAGAAACCCAACACAGTACCAAACTGCCAGAAAACAGTGGGAAGGGAAAGGGAAAACCCAGCCTAGAAGTTTCAAAAGAAACAAGGTTCCCTAGTATTAAATTAATTTCCCTGGAAATAAAGCATTAGACAACTAACCTCACAATTCCTGGCTAACTAACTTCACAATTTCTGACTGTTAGTAACCAATCCCCACTCTTGAAGGGCGGTGCGGGCGGGGGGAAGCCCTAGTAAGAATGAAACAGGATGATCAAACCTAAACAATCATTCTGCTTAATAAGGTTTCACTGTCCATATTTGAGTAAGCCACTACATTTTTTTGTATTTAGAAGCATTTGAAGCCACCCGTGTTCTGCTTCCCTCCCATTAAGCAGAGGTGAACTGAGAAAGACTGGACACCTCTGTGGTGTGTTCGACGCTGGGTGTCCCAGAAAAGGGGTAAGGGGTTGGGTGCATCTGACTGCATTCTTTGTCATGTCCACAGATGTGCCTTCATATTGCTCCTCAAGCTGTCTTTTCCCTGGCCCAAACCTGCCTACTTACGTGGCTGCTCTGCTGATGGCTCGCACAGGAGAGGTCTCTTCTGTGTGATCAGAAGTTTCATCCACAATGACCTCAATGTCATCATCCCTGGAAAGAAAGGCAAGACATTCTTTGATTCTCCTGAACAGTTCTGTGATTAATCGGTTCCGCAAATGCTAATGTCATTTTCTAGTTAGATCCTAAACCACTTGGCTATGACAGCAATGCGTTAAAGATTCTTTGGAGAAAAAGGAAGAGCTGCCATGTTCTGAACAACACTACAATAAACATTTAACCTGTTCAAATCAAATCCAGAATTTCAACTGAGAATAAATTTAAAAGTGAGCTTTTGATCCTTTTAGGTATAAACACAGTTCCCACTTGAAGCAATAAAATATGATCTGTTGAGTCTATAACCACATAACCAGTGCCAAAGTAGGGCATTCCATCAACAGTCAGCATCACTGTTGAAGGGCTGCAGTACTCACCAAGCACAGTTCCCATGACACAAGGGCTGAGGGGTACCTAGGGTAGTTAGGGGCAGCAGCTATGGAATATAAAACAACAGTGTAGGGAGAATTCAGGGAAAGAAGGGATGGCTAAATGGGCCATGAAATCAACAGCCAACTTAACCCAGTTTCAAATATTACTTTAAAAAATAGAAAAGCAAAATTTAAACACTATGCATTTTTGACTCTGCGCATTTTATGCTTAAATACATAGTGTCTCTGACATTAGGAGAGCCCATCACACTTCAAATGACATAATCAAGTCATAGGACATGCTCCCTTTGTTGCTGTTTATCCCAGCGGATGCAAAGTACCTCTGGAATCCCCCTTCCTCATTTTTCTGGGCCACGTCTTTCCTACTTGGAGGAGGGCAAGTAATTATTTTGGTCTTAATGACCTCCTACTGAGATGCAACCTTCATGGAGAAGATAATTAAATGTAATAACCCAAGATTTCATCACCTACTGTTTGGATTCATAAGAACTTGACAGAAAGATTTTTCCTTTTCAATAAATAATTATCTGGATTAGGTAAATATATACTTAAGAACCTGTTACTAAGCAAGTTAAACCTGGTCAAAGTAAATTTATTTTCCTTAGCTATTTATTCCAGGACTATGTGTAATTATTGCACCACATTCTTGGCCAGGATGTAGAAGGGAATAAAAGGCAGGTCGAAAGAAAAAGGACAAGGCTGTGCTTTATTTTCTTGATTGGCTTTCCCAGGGATCTAGGTTTGCGAGAGTCACCTGTGCCCATACAAGGAAGAGAGGAGAACTGCAAAGACAGGAACTGCAAATATGAGCTGAGCCTTTGACAATGTCCTGTTGAAAATAGAATTTTATGGTTTTAAGTACTTGCAACTGTGCTTAGGCCCGGGACCACAAGAAAACACTAGCATTTGCTAAGTTATCAAAACCTTTCAAAGATGTATGTCCTCTGACCCAGAAACTCCTTAGGGAAGCATAGAGATTAAGGAGAGGCCTTAGGCCGGGCTCGGTGGCTCATGCCTGTAATTTCAGCACTTTGGGAGGCCAAGGCGGGCAGATCACCTGAAGTCAGGAGTTCGAGACCAGCCTGACCAACATGGAGAAACCCCATCTCTACTAAAAATACAAAATTAGCTGGGCGTGGTGGCGCATGCCTGTAATCCCAGCTACTTGGGAGGCTGAGGCAGGAGAGTCGCTTAAACCTGGGAGGCGGAGGTTGCAGTGAGCTGAGATTGCACCATTGCACTCCAGCCTGGGCCACAAGAGTGAAACTCCATCTCAAAATAAAATAAAATACAAAATAAAATAACAGGCTTTTACAGCCCTGTGTTTGCATCCTACCTCGGCCCCTTCCTGTATGATCTTGGGCAGGATGCTCAACCTGTCTAAATTATCCCAGTCAACCCGGTTATGCAAATGACACTTTTATAAGCTGTTATTCTGAAGAAACCAAATCTCATTTCCAGGTCAACTATTTATTTACTTTGTGGCTTGGGAAAATACAACTGAGATTAATCTTCCACATCTGAGAGTGCAGACACACACGTACCCTACATATCTAAAGCAAAGGCATGATATGGGAACCTTTGTTTCTTTGTAAATTAAGACGTTAGTTGGTGAATGACTCCTAGTTGAATTTAAACCCCTCCACTTACAGGGAAGCAACCAACATTTTAAAAAATAGTGGATCAAAACTCTAAAACTATATTCCAAAACACATTTCAATAGAAAAGAAACATCCTAGAGCGAAGGAAACTCTTTTCTACCACTATGAAAGCTTCAAATCTCAGAGAAGATACCCCACCTTAACTTGTAGGCAGATTAGGAAAAGCTCCAGAACTAGTTTGATTCCTTTTGTTCCAAGAGATCTTAGTTTTCGCTTAAGTTTCCACTTTAAGTTACAAACCAAAGGGAGCAAGGAGGGAAAAAACAAACAAAACAACAACAACAAAAACCCCACCGCATTACATGGCAGGCACAATTAAGAGGCAGAAAACTGATCGTTCAAAGTGTCAACAGGAAACAGTGAGGCAGTAACGGGTACTGAGTGCAGGAAGTTAGAATTCACATTCACAGCTGATGAACACAAACTTTTTGGAAGGTTATTTGGTGATGTTCCAAAAGCTTTGACCCATCAAATTTTATTTTCAATAATCTATCTCAAGTAAGTAATCAGAAATAGGGTCAAAGGCCGTATCAGTACATGATTTGTGAGAAATTAGAAGCCAGCAAAATACAATTAAAATGATATATGGATGTTAGTTCTGAGTGGTGGAAGAACTGTATGTTTTCATTTTCTTCCTTTAACATTTTTCTTTCTAAAATCTGTAAGATGATTTTACAGAAATAAAAACATTAGAAGCTATGATCACACCACTGCACTCCAGCCTGGGCAACAGAGCAAGACCCTGTCTCAAAAAAAACCAAACAAAAAAAAAAATAAAAACAAAACTTTTAAGAGAGCCAAATTTTCAGAAACACAGTTTTGATTCATTTATCTTTACTTACTGTTCGACTGGTAGAGGTTCCTTTGCTGCTTCTGCAAGCTCTTTCTGCAGCCGGGCTTGCCGCCTCCTGTTGGGAAAAAAAAAAAAAAAGCCCACCATTTATGTCTGCTTAAGAAAGCACGGGGTTTGGGCTCTCTAGAAGCCACCAGTTCTAATAACACATTCAGTGCATGTAAAATAACAACTACCCTGAGCAAAATACTCAAAAGTCACAAGCCCAAACTCATAACATCAGTAAGGCTCCCCTTTTAAAGGGTTTCAGAGTAAAGCCTAGAAGAGAGATAGGCCACATTATTAGAGAAAGCAGTGAACTGGCAAAGGAGGAGGCCTGCCTTCTGGGACCAAGGGTATCTTAGGATAGACACATGCCTCAGGCTCACTGAGGGTTAGTCATGGTTGTGACTTAAGTTTTCTGCAGCAAATAGTCTTACACGGGTTGAGCATCCATTACTCGAAATGTTTGGGACTACCAGTGTTTCAGATTTCGAATTTTCTCAGATTTTGAAGTTTTGCATAAACATGATATAAATCTTGAGGACAGGATCCAGGTCTAAATATGAAATTCAGTTGAAATTAATGGTAAATCGGAAATCTGAAGTGCTCCAATGAGTACTTCCTTTGAGTGTCATGTTGGCACTCAAGAAGTTTCAGATTCTGGAGCATTGTGGAGTTTGGGATATGGGATGCTCAACCTGCATTAACACACCCACAGCCTGATTACTAACAGTGAAGATTTACTTAGGACTTCCCCTTACCTGACATTGTTAATTACTTTACAGACTTTAACTCATTTAAGCCTTATAACAACCTTTTGAGGTAAATATCATTATTGCCATTTATAAATGAGGAAACTGAGGTATAGTGAGATTCTTGAAATGTCAAAGTTTACATAACATTAGTAACTTTAATTTACTAAAGCTTGACATAGAAGTCTTGGCTGTGACAAATTTTTAACATGGTCAAAGTCTCATCCACTAACTCCCCTTCTCAGAATCATTTTTGTCTCTCATTCAAGTCCTAAATTCAGAAACTCCCTAACTCCTAACCCTGACCTTACTCTCTCTTCTTTGATAAATTTCACTTCTAACTATGGCTATGCCTGCTAGGTGGAGGACCCCTAATGTAGAACTCTAGCAATGCTACTGAGCTGCAATCAAGAATTCTGCTGAAATTTCTCGTAAGTTTTTACCACGGTGGTAATTCTCAAAATGAAGGAAAGTCCTCTAGGCAGTATAGCAGAATCTTGGGAAGGGATGTGGGTATAGCTTAAAAAGTGCATTACACTCTTGATTTTATACCTGGAAGATGAAAAATAAGTTTTACAGGGCAAATTACCAAAAATACAATTTATCCAAATTGTCTTAGCTGGTAGAGACAACTGTGAACTAACTCTCTTTGAGGAAAAACCAGAATCTCGGTATAAGGTGTGTGAGTACCACTACTCTATGATTAAAGCACTTGTTGACTGTCTGAAATCTACTTTCTATAACTTCAGGTCCCAGTTCTGCAAGGTGGAGATAAAAACTTGACTTAGGGTCACAGGGAGAGGAAAACACCACCTGTTATCAGGGATTCATCACTATAGCTGAAAGGAAAGGTCTTTAATAGCTCAAACAGAGTCTCTCTCTGTCACCCAGGCTGGAGGGCAGTGACATCATCTCGGCTCACTGCAATCTCCGCTTCCTGTGTTCAAGCGATTCTCCTGTCTCAGCCTCCTGAGTAGCCGGGATTACAGCCACCTGCCACTACATCCAGCTAATTTTTGTGTTTTTAGTAGTAGAGACAGGGTTTTGCCATGTTGGCCAGGCTGATCTTGAACTCCTGACCTCAGGTGATCCACCTGCCTTGGCCTCCCAAAGTGCTGGGATTACAGGCAGCAGCCACCGTGCCCAGCCCTGAGTGCATCTTATGAAGCAGCCACTGTGCCTGACCACAGGGACACGTGGCAGCATAAGGGAAGGAGGCAGAGTGTGAAGAGCTATCTCAAAACAGTGTGCTACATATGGCCCAGGTAAACCACAGCTGCCTGAAGCAGGAAGATGAGGGACATCTAAGCTGGGGAGGCAGGAAGTGGGTAATGACGCAGGAAGGCTTCTAGGAGGAGAGGCTACCTAAGCAAAGTAATGAAGACTCCTCAGGTCCCACATCTGCAATCACATGATACCTCCAAGTGCACAGCCCTAGGAAGATGCTTCAAAGGGTGGGCTAGGGAATGAGGACAGCATTTTCACTAGGAAATGTGCATTACCCCCCGTCCACTGCACTGCTCAGGGGCTCTTCCTTGGCATCACCACACATCTCCCCAACTTCTCCCTCCAGCAGCCTCTCAGCTGACGTGAACATGCAACCTAGCAGCATCCAGCTCACCTGGGGCCCCCAACACCCTCACACTGCTGTCAAGCTCCATGGCATAAGCCAAACAATTCTGCTTAAAGTAAATGTGAGACAGAAACAATACAAAAAGGACAGCTTATTTTTTCTTAATAGAAACCGGAAAATTAGAAAATACAGGTAAGTATAAAATGAGAAATCAAAAACCATAATCTCACCACCCCCAAAAATAAACACCAGTAACAGTACATATAATTCCTTCCAGTCATTTTTTTAAAAAAGTATACAAAATTGGGATCATCTGTATGAAAACATTTTGTGTCCTATTTTCGGTTATATTAATTTTAGGCATTTTCCACAGCACTAAGTATTCTTTTCGTTTTGCTTTTGAGGCAGAGTCTTGCTCTGCTGCCCAGGCTAGAGCCTAGTGGCATGATATTGGCTCACTGCAACTTCCACCTCCCGGGTTCAAGCGATTCTCCTGCCTCAGCCTCCTGAGTAGCTGGGATTACAGGCATCCGCTACCACACCCGGCTAATTTTCGTATTTTTATTAGAGACGGGGTTTCACCATGTTGGCCAGGCTGGTCTCGAATTCCTAACCTCAAGTGATTCACCTTCCTTGGCCTCCCAAAGTGCTAGGATTACAGTGTGCGCCACCACACCAGGCCAATCTTACACCTTCTAACAGTATTTTTATATCCATTTACAGTATTTTTGTATCCATTAAGTAATCTCTCTTTAACCTCCTTCCCCACTACTCTTCCCATGCTCTAGTAACCACAGTTATACTCTGTATCTCTAGGAGAACATTTTTCTTTTAGCCCCACATGTAGAAGCACGCAGTATCTGCCTTCCTGTGCCTGGCTTATTTCACTTAATATACTGTCCTCCAGTTCCATCCAAGTGGTTGTAAATAACATGATTTAATTCATTTTTATAGCGAATAATATTCCATTGTGTGTGTGTACAGCACATTTTCTTTATCCATTAAGCCAATGATGAATATGTAGATTGATCCGTATCTTGGCTATTGTGAATGGTGCTGCCACAAACATGATGGTAGTGCAGATTATCTCTTTGATATGCTAACTTGTTTTTCCATCATCACCCTTTAAAAGACTCTTTCCTATCGTCATTTATTCCCTTTAAAAGACTCTTTCCTATTGTCATTTATTCACTTTTAAATTAACTGGAATAATCTCTTCAAACTCGAAACTACTGATATGGGGATTTAAAAATATGTATGTTCTAATCTGTAGAGCTTTTTTGTTTGTTTCTGGATGGGGTCTCGCTCTGTCACTCAGGCTGGAATGCAGTGGCACAACTTTGGCTCACTGTTGCTTTAACCTACTGGGCTCAAGCAACTCTCCCGCAGCAGCCTCCTGAGTAGCTGAGGCCACAAGCACATACCACCATGCTCAGCTTTTGTTTTTGTTTTTTGTACAGATGGAGTCTCACTATGTTGCTCAGGCTGCTCTTGAAACTCCTGGTTTCAAGCGATCCTCCCGCCTCCGCCTCCGCCTCCGCCTCCGCCTCCCAAAGTGCTGGGATTACAGGCATGAGCTACTTACTGCACCTGGCATCTGCTGAACTTGTGTTAACAGCTTTTCAGCTCATTTTCTTAGGTTTCTAGGTGGGTGATCACTCCTTCTTTTCAATGGTTGGTTGGCCAGAACATCCAGATCGGTGTTCTCTGTGAGTTGTGAGAGTGAACCTCTCCTTGTTCTCTTGCAGGTTTTAGTAAGAGTGTATATAGACGGTTGATCAGTGGACCTTGACCAGGGGATGACTGGGCTCTCTGGGGCAGCTTTTAAACACGCACATTTTCCACAACAGAGATTCAAATTCCTAACGTAATTGATTTCTTGATAATCCATCTTTTAATTCCCATGTCTCAGTAGGTTTCAGATTTATCTTAAATAAATAGACTTAGCAGGATTGCAGGGAATTCTTAAAAAATCTATCAATGGCCAGGCGGTGGGGCTCACACCTCTAATCCCAGCACTTTGGGAGGCCGAGGCGGGTGGATCCTGAGGTCAGGAGTTTGAGATCAGCCTGGCCAACATGGTGAAACTCCACCTCTACTAAAAATACAAAAATTAGCCAGGCGTGGTGGTGTATGCCTGTAATCCCAGCTACTTAGGAGGCTGAGGCAGGAGAATCACTTGACCCCGGGAGGTGGAGGTTGCAGTGAGCCAACATCATGCCACTGCACTCCAGCCTGGGCAACAGAGCGAGACTCTGTCTCAAAAAATAAATAAAAATCTATCAATGAGTCTGATTTAGGAATTTCACATCTATATTCATATAAGGTTGGATTATAGTCTTCTTGTGCATTAGCAAGATCAGAATTTTTATATGGATACAAAAAGCTTCACAAAATTATGGGGAAGAATTCTAATTGTGGTGTATTTCCTTTTTCTAACTCTGGTTTAATTTATATTGTTCAGAATTAGCTTTTCTCCTTGAAACACTGAAAGAATTCCCTGGTAAACCTCCTGTAGTAACTGCCAGGTTTATCTCTTTCTTTTCAAAGACCTAGGTTCTACTCTACTAAGGATGGAAACCACTAACTGTGGATTGATAGCCCACCTGGAGTCTTTTTCATTCTCTGCATTAAGCCGATTGGCTTCCTGGGCTTTCTCAGCCATCCATCTGGTGACCAGCTCCTGGTTCTCTTCCGTAGTTTTCCTCAGTTTTCCCTCCAAGGCAGTAAAAGTGATCTGCAGGGCATCATATTCATCCTTCAGGGTCTGGTTGGCTCTTTCAAGGTCACAAAGCTTAGTGCGCAGGTCTAGGCACTCCGTCTCCAGGTCAGAGATAGTCTGCAAACATTCTGCAATTCTGGAAGCATGACATCAGAGGACGAATAGTACCTCGCCAGAGCCCTGTGCCAGAGCCAGACGGACCTGGCTGAGTGCTTAACACTTTGTGTCTGTTACAACATCTTTTAGCCAGGCCCATCCCCATGGTTTACAGGATAATCCATTAGGAGAGGAAACACCTAAGGTGAAATTCATCCTATTAATGACTAGGAAAAACACGATGTGAAGGAAGAGAAACTTTCGATGCTTAGATTGGTAAAGGGGATTTAAAAGGAGGCTGGAAACCGTATATATTTCACCAGCTCTGACATTTCCTGAGCAAAAGCCTGAGCAAGCGCCCTGCCTTTCCAAGCCTCTAGACCCCTTTCCACATATTAAGGAAACCCAAGCACACGCTACCCCAGCTCCAAGGTCTCAGGATTCAGAGTCCCCATTTATCTTGTCTGCCAGGCTTCTCCCTGGTCAGCAACAGTTTTGCTCACAAACTCATTTCCCTTTTCCCAAGGGCCATGCGCTCAGCTATCCTGGCCCTACCACCTCCACCACAGGAACATACCAGCTCCCACACACAGCGGCCACAGGAGAGCTGCTAGTGTCTCTGGGCCACTTGCAAGAGCCAAGGTGACATCCCTAGGAGGATGCTAGAAGCCTGTGGGCACTGTCCTTGCTTTTTCCTTCTCAGAGCTGGTAGAAAAGGATCCCAGAGTGTGTATGCACTGAAAATCAAACTCTCGCTAAGTGCACTGTGGCCACTCACTGCCACTGGCCCTGCTCACAAGAGGTCAGCAGAACAAAGGACATGGGACCCAATGACCAGGCTCCAAGGAGGCGGGGTCTCTACTCACTTTGCTTCATTCATCTGCATCTCCCTGTCCTTCCGCTGCATTTGGTTATTCAGGTCAATCACCAGTTGAGCTAACTGGGAGATAAAGAAGAATACTTTCATAAATAAAAATTTTAGGACCTCATTTGGAAACTACACAGTGGGTGGCGATTTATTTTTAAGAAAGAATAAATGAGCTGGGTGACAGCAAGGAGCCGAGGCGCCTATGGGGACACAAAGGGGAACTATCCCTGCCACTCCCTGTTGAAGGACAGCTTGGCTGGAATGAGAAGTGTTCCAGGTGACTGCCAGGGGCTTGCTGAGGACAGCTGTCTACTCCTCAACTTCAGCTACCTTTTTGGAGACTCATTTCTGCTGAAAAGATAATCAATTCAGCTGTACTGATGGTGAACTGTATTTTCCCAACTGGAGCTTTGCCGTAAGACCACCATCCAGGCGAACACAGCCTAGGACTTGATTCTTTCTCACGAATGTCTCTGAAATTTCAGGGTTTGTACTGAAAAGCTTTATGAAACCATCAGTGAGGCCTTCAGCGCACCAGGTAGCAGGCTTTTTTGTTCTTTAAAGCCTCTCCACTCTTGCCTCTCATGCTGATTTTGGAGCATGGTAACTGGCAGCGCTCTCACAGGATTGCCCTTCTGGTGATGGGCCTCAATCTGCCTGGTCTTTTCATTCTGTTTTCCTCACCCTTTTATTCCTATGGAGGGGACTTTTGATGCCACATATGGCTAAGGCTGCTGCCAATTCTGGTGAGAAGTGACTGAGCTCCCCCGCTCCCCACAGGACTCTCATAGAGGGCAGAAGACAGATGAGGAAAAGGGCTAGCTTTACCTCCCCACGTTTCTTGTGTAATTCAGTCAGTTCCTCTTGGTGCTTAATCCTCAGTTGGGCCATTTCTTGTAGCTGATTGTCATTCCATGTGCCATCATGTCCGGGACTAAATTGGCAAACCAGGCAGATGAAGAGAATGTGCAAAAAACGGAGGGGGAAAAATGAGACTCCAAACCTTTCCAATTAGGCAATGAAACCATAACTCCAGAAACATGTTCACAAAGCCAATAAACCATTCGGGTGTCTCCAGCAGCTGCGGTTACAGGCACTATGAGTGGAAAGGAGGAGACATGAAACACATGGAAAAAAGCAAAGCAACTGTGACCATCAGGCACATCAGGAATAAAGGGTGGAAAGTTCCTGAATGAAGTCCCAGTAACAGGCACCAACAGGGCCCACTGGCTCAGCAAGGACCTGAGTGCCGATGACGCAGCAGTGAGTGCAGGGCTCTGCTTCCACACAGCTGACAGTCAACTGAGAGCACGTGTGAGGTCAGCAGTCACATGTGCTTGCAGAAAACTCAAGCACAAGAAGGGGAACAGAGGGAGGGGGTCCTATTTTAACGTAATTGAGGAGGGTTTCTCCTACGTGACACATGACTAGAGACTGTAAGGAAGTGAGGAATAAGCCATGTGGACCCTTGAGGGAAGGGCCCTCTGGGCAGAAGGAGCAGCAGCAGCAGAGCCTGGAGAGGTGTACAGCAGGTGGTGTATTTGGAGGAAGGGTGACTGAAGCCCAGGCACAGGGGGACAGAGGAGGTGCGGTCAAGGACGAGGTGGGGAAATGATGCAGAGCCTTGTGGGCACCTCCGAGGGCTGTGAGGTTTACTAGGCGTGAAGGGAAGCTGCTGGAGGGCTCTGAGCAGCTGAATGACTTAGGTTTTAAAAGGAGAGCAGATTGCAGTGGGGTAAGGGCCGAAACAGGAAGACCAGCCAGCAGGCTACTGTGAAGTGCAAACATGGGACAGTGCGGCTCAGACCAGGGTGGGAGCAGTGAGGTGAGATACGGTCTGATTCTAGATCCATTCCAAAGACAGCGCTAACAGGACTTGACTTTGAATTGGCTATGGGGCATGAAGACAGATAGGAGTCAAGGATGAATCAAGGCTTTTGGCCTGAGCAACTGGTAGAAGGTAGGTGTCACCCACTGAAATGGGCAAGACTGTGGGAGGAGCAGGTTTTGGAGGAGACCTAAAGAGTTCGTTTGTGGCCATTCAAGTGAAAACTGAGTACTGTCAAATGGAAACTGAGTATTAAGAGTCTGAACCTCAAGAAGAAGTCCAAGCTGGAGGCTAACATGTAGACACTGTCAGCAAACAGATGTGCCTAAAGCCACAGGAGTGAGTTCAGATCACCTCCAGAGTCAATGCAGTTTTGGAATCTTTGCCAAGTGTTTGCATAATATCTCAGATACAGCAGAAGACAACTAGAACTGTGGATTTATAGTTCGAGAGAAAGCTGGTGTCACAGGTGAGAATTATCAGACTATAGTGAGCAGCTGAAACCACTGTCTAGGGAAAGCTTGTAGATGGAGAAAAGGAACAAGGCTGGACACTTGTTCCTCTCATCCAACATCCGATGAGAGCGGAAAGAACTGCCCCCTCCATATGACCCAGAATAAAATAAAAAGAGGGGGATAAAGGTGGTAGTATAGCAGTCCTTCCATCTCTATATGTATTGTTATTACATAGCTAAGCACAAACTAATACCTTATCTTGAGGCAACCTGGCACTTCCCCAATCTTAACCCAAGAAGTAATGCCAAGAGATTAGACAGTGGAACACACTTTACATGAAACCATCCTAAATCAGGCAGAATAATTATCAAATCTCCCCCACCTTTTAAAAAATTATTGAGATGGTATCTCACTATGTTGCCCTGGCTGGCCTCGAACTCCTGGACTCAAGCATGTAAGATGTGGACCCACCTTCCAAGGAGCTGGCTAGCTATAGAACAGATTCATGAAATAAAAACTAACAACAGGCCGGGAGCGGTGGCTCAAGCCTGTAACCCCAGCACTTTGGGAGGCCGAGGCGGGCGGATCACGAGGTCAGGAGATCGAGATCATCCTGGCTAACACGGTGAAATCCCGTCTCTACTAAAAATACAAAAAATTAGCTGGGCGTGGTGGCGGGCACCTGTAGTCCCAGCTATTCGGGAGGCTGAGGCAGGAGAATGGCATGAACCCGGAAGGCGGAGGTTGCAGTGAGCTGAGACTGCGCCACTGCCCTCCAGCCTGGGCGACAGAGCAACAAAAAAACAAAGCAAAACAAAACAAAAACTAACAACACAAAGAAAAACAAAAGTGTATCAAAGAGTGACGATGGAAAGTGTTAATCATGTTCAGAGGCAAAGATTTCCCCAGACAAGGATGGTTTCATTTTGGGAGGGGTTTCCAAAGAGGAACTAAAGTAGGAATCTCCTAGGAAGGGCAAAATGGAGGCAAGATCATCAGGCAGAGGAGCCTCAGGATTAGATGCTTAAACTTCAAAGTCTACCAAGACACAGAACACAACAGAAATGCTAGGAGAGACTAAGGCAAGCAGGATACAGCTCTTTCCATGACCCAAAGCCTCCAAGGACTTCTTATTTTACTTACAATGAATATCAGCCCCCTAAAGTGCTTCGGCAAGTAGAAAAAACAATCACTCCGAGGGCATGTTTCAAGCACAGATTCCTGGAGCCCACTAACAGGTGACCTGCTTTCCTGGCAAGGCCCAGCCATCTGCATTTCTGACTTTCTGCGCTCTGGTGATGGGAATGTTGCTGGTTCCAGGAAGTCTGAGTAGCAGTAAAGGTGGTAGTGCTCAAACTTCAGAGGTCACTACAATCAGCTAAAGCATTTCTGAAAACACAGATTACCAGGCCCCACCCCCAGAGTTTCTAATAGAGTAGGTCTGAGGTGGGGCCCAAGAATCTTCGTTTCTAACAGTTTCCCAGAAGATGTCACTAGTCCAGGAACCGTGCTTAGAATAAACAATTTCGAGGCTGAAGAGTTTGATTTTAAACTGTAGGCAAAGTGATGAAAATACTTAAGAGAAAGTCTGATAACTGATGCAGATCACTATTTAAGCACAGTGTGCAGTGTTTTACGGTTAATTAGGATGAGACAGGCAGGAACTTTGGAGAGACAGGAAGGAGGGGAAAGGAAACCAACAAAGTGCCCAGCTTCTGTGAACACCCTTACATTCTCTAGCAAATGTCCCTTTGAGTTGGTCTCCCCCACTAGACTCTATTCCTCCTCAGAGCAGGGACTCTGGCTTACTCATCTCTACAGCCCTAATGCCCAGCCCACACTACGGTCACAGGAGTCTTTTGAGTGAATGAGGCTCTCACCACAGTCTGGGAATAAGAAGATAAATAAACAAAGGAGGTGGCAAAATAAATGCAAACCAAAGGATGCAAGAGGCTAGGGGGTGGAGAACCAATGGGCTTGGTGAATATGGGGAATATGAGGAATAAAGGAATATGGAGATGGGAAGATCTAGAGGGAAGAAGGAACCATAGATGACTAGTGGAAAACAACGATACTGTGAATGGAAACAAAGAAGTCAGGAGGGCAGGCTTATTATGGATAATGTTTGTGGAAATGGAAAGACTGAACAAGGGGTAACCTGATGAAGCCCACCGTTCAACCTGCCTTGCCTGCTTTTCATCACTTTTTTCTAGTTCCAAACTCCCACTAGCAAGTCGAGTTGCCAAACAACACATAACTAAACTCCCAATAGCTTCCTTATAAATAATAACTGACTGTGGCTCACTACAATAACTGGTGCTTAAAGTTTTTCTCCAGGAACTAGGAGGCAGCTCTTGCTCATTAAAGCTGGTTGAGACCCCCAACCCTTCAACTGGGCCTGTGTGAATGCCCAAGAGGTGATCTTTTGACATCAGAGGGCCAAAACACTCCTCCCTCAGATGGTGCTGACGCCACCATTTTCTGCATGTGTCCTATGAGGAACCACAAAGCTAGATTATGCTTGCGTGGAAGCCCCAATTACCTCATCTTTCCTACCCACCAATCACCTCTTCCCACACTTTAGACCACCCTGCTTTCTACTGCCTAAGTACCCCCAATCCCTGTTTTCAAGGAGGTGGATTTGAGACCTGTTCTCCTGCCTCCTTGCTTGGCCACGTTATGAATAAACTCTCACAAAACCCATCATCTCAGTGATTAACTTGCTGTGTGTGGGCTGAATGAACCTGGTTTATAACAAGACCTCCAACTAAATGACCATCCCCCTGGGTGTGGTGGCTCATGCCTGTAAACCCAACACTAATGGAAGGTTGAGGAGGGAGGATCACTTAAGCCCAGGAGTAAAGACCAGCCTGGGTAACACAGTGAGACCCCTATCTCTACAAAAAATTAAAAAATTAGACTGGCATGGTGGTGCACACCTATAGTCTCCCAGCTACTCAGAAGGCTAAGGCAGGAGGATTGCTTGAGCCCTGGAAGTTGAGGCCGCAGTAAGCCATGATCATGCCACTGCACTCCAGCCTGGGCAACAGAGAGAGACCCTGCCTCAAAAAAGTCTATCCCAGTGAAATTTAGCCAAAAGAACGGCTGCATATTCCAAGCACATGAGTTTGGCTAACAGATAAAGAATACAAGAATATAGTCATCAAGGGTTTAATCAGATAGAAATGTTTTTAGTTTTCAATTGGATGAATTTAGACGAAAATGGTGAAACAGCATTATCTACACCTAAAATTAACCAAAATACTAAAACTAATATCTTAAGTACTACAGAAGGCCTCCCAGGGCCACAGCCAGGCAGGATCTCCTGAACTGTTACAAAGCAAGGATGGAAGCTAGGCCCTGCCAAGCCATCTGTTCTCTGGTATCTTTCCCACTCTGTCCTCTATCAGGAGACCATCGTGCCAGATGAGGAGACATGAGAGCAGCTACAGCTCTAGGAGTAAATACATCAGGCTACAGCTACCATTTCTAGACACCATAAATCACCAACCTTGTTTTTACAATTGCTAAATGTGTGGAGATTTCAGAGCAATAATGGCTACTGTCCCCATACCAAATTTAACATGCAAACACAATGAATATTACAGAAGAGGATAATAAGACTTCAAATATACATAAATGCACACCAGTGACCCAGTAAACACAAATACCCCGCCATGAACAAATATGTATTTCATGAAATATTCTATCAATACACACCAAGAGATAGATATAGATATATAGATATATAGATATATAGATATTTTTTTTTTTTTTTTGAGACGGAGTCTCGCTCTGTCACCCAGGCTGGAGTGCAGTGGTGTAATCTTGGCTCACTGCAACTTCCGCCTCCCAGGTTCAAGCAATTCTGTCTCAACCTCCCGGGTAGCTGGGATTACAGGCGCCCGCCACCATGCCCGGCTAATTTTTGTATTTTTAGTAGAGATGGGGTTTCACCATCAGGGCCAGGCTGGTCTTGAACTCCTGACCCTGTGATCCACCCGCCTTGGCCTCCCAAAGTGCTGGGATTACAGGTGTGAGCCACCAAGCCCAGCACACACTGATATTTTTCTAATCTAGTTCTTAAAGAAAAATAAGAGCTTACTGCAATCTGCTAATTTGATTTCACAATCTACTAATACTGATGTTCCTCTACTTACTGAGGCTATGTCTCTTTAAACCCATCAGAAGTTGAAAATATATAGTAGGTTGAAAATACATTCAATACATCTCACCTACTGAGTATCATAGGTTACACTTACATTAGCCTACAGTTGGGCAAAATCATCTAACACAAAGCCTATTTTATAATAAGTTGTTGAATATCTCATGCAATTTATTGAATACTAAACTGAAGGGGAAAAACAGACTGGTTGGATGGATACTCAAAGCACAGTCCTACTGAAAGTGTATCGCTTCTGCACCATTATAAAGGTTAAAAATTGTAAGCTGGGCTGGGCGCGGTGGCTCAAGCCTGTAATCCCACCTCTCTGGGAGGCCGAGGCGGGCGGATCACGAGGTCAGGATATCAAGACCATCCTGGCTAACACGGTGAAACCCCGTCTCTACCAGAAATACAAAAAATTAGCCAAGCGTGGTGGCGGGTGCCTGTGGTCCCAGCTACTCGGGAGGCTGAGGCAGGAGAATGGCTTGAACCCAGGAGGCGGAGCTTGCACTGAGCCCAGAACGCGCCACTGCACTCTAGCCTGGGCGACAGAGCGAGACCCCATCTCAAAACAAAACAAAACAAAACAAAACAAAACAAAAAAAATTGTAAGCTGGCCAGTGCGGTGGCTCACGCCTGTAATCCCAACACTTTCGGAAGCTGAGGTAGGTGGATCATTTGAGGTCAAGAGTTCGAGACCAGCCTGGCCAACATGGTGAAACCCTGCCTCTACTAAAAATACAAAAACTAGCCAGGTGTGGTGGTGGGTTCCTGTAGACCCAGCTATTTGGGAGGCTGAGGCAGGAGAATTGCTTGAACCCAGGAGGTAGAGGTTGCAGGTTGCAGTGAGCTGAGATCGTGCCACTGTACTCCGGCCTGGGTGACAGAGTGAGACTGTCTCAAAAAAGAAAAAAAAAAAAAAGAAAAAGAAAAATTATAAGTCGAACCACTGCAAGTTGGGGACCATTTGTATGTTGAAAAAAACACCAACCTAAAAAGGATCAAATAGACCCATACTGCAGGAAAGCAATTTTTACGTATGTGCCAATCAATCCTACATTAACAGGATCTACACAAACCCGCTCAGAAATACTTGTCTGTGATTATTTAAAAACAAAGAAACAAAAAAACATGAATCCTGGCAGGTTAGATGAGAAACTGACCTAGGGTTACCACGTGAACCTGCCTTAAGAAATTTCTCAAGCTCAGAGCACTGTACTGATAATAACCTTTCTAGGTATGACATACCTTCTAAAAAACAATTGTAATTACATGGTTTTAGTTCTTATTTGAAAGGAGCTGACAAAAACTGGAACACAGAAATAGTACTTGATTTGCTTTTAAATTAGAGAAGTGACAACTGAACTGAGATAAATTTCCTTAGAGGAGACATAAATAATACAAGTTAGTTTCAAAATACCTTATCTCGTGCCTGTTTGGTACGTCATGCTTTTCAGCCTGTAGTTTCTGGGCCAACACTGAATGAAGATCTGACTTTTCCAGCAATTTGTTATCTATTAAAATAAAAAAGTCAGAAACTAAGTTATTTATTACAACGTATGTACACTTGCTAGGTACCTACCTTGTCATGTATTGAAGGATGCAATACAGGAACATACATTCCTCAGCCACAGTAACCTACAGAATCACCTGCAAGAATGTCTTCCCTATTAAAGGGAGCTGAAAATGCTTTCTACCCCAGAAGTTATTTGTTTCTACCTTGGGAGGAAAAAAGAAAAACACACTAAACACAATGGCAAAGTGAAATGCTATGTACCTTTAAGTAAGACAGGAGAACTTTACCATAAGTTGACATATCTAATTACTTTTTAGGTCAGGGAACTAGAAATACAAATGACAGTCTCCAACATGGAGTTAACATTTAATTCAGTCAAGTATAAAAAGGTACAGAGAATACACTCTGTACTCATTTTTATGAATGGTGTCACAGGAGGTGATATATGAGTTAAGTCTTAAAAGAAGATGATGGGCCATGCAGAAGGAATAACAGAGTCTTTTGGTAAGTGGCTGGAAATAAAGGTTGGAGCCAACACAGGAAAAAGCAGGATCAGAAATTTAGACTTCTTACTGGCAATGATTAAATAAAAGATTATAAAAGCAGGCCGTTACGCTAACAGATCTGTATTGGTAAAAAGTCAAGGATTATTCTGAGGCTCCTCGCTCAAGCAACTGGGCGGAGGATGCTAACGTGTGAGAGAACACAAGAGGGGAGAGCTTAGAGAGGAAATGAGTTCTCTTTCCAAACATAATAAATTTGACAGGAGACAGAGTACAGAAATTCAAAACACAAGATTAGAAAGAACACGTAGTTAAGTGTAATAGGCACACAGGCCTATTACTGTGGCTCACGCCTGTAATCGCAGCACTTTGGAAGGCCAAGGAAGGCAAACTACCTGAGGTCAGGAGTTCGAGAACAGCCTGGCCAACACGGCGAAACTACTAAAAATACAAAAATTAGCCAGGCACGGTGGCACTTGCCCACAGTCCCAGCTACTAGGGAGACTGAGGCACAAGAATCGCTTGAACTCGGGAGGCAGAGGTTGCAGTGAGCTGAGATCGCGCCACTGCACTCCAGCCTGGGCGACAGAGTGAGACTGTCTCTAAATAAATAAATAAATAAATAAACAAATGAAATGAAATAAAAAATAAGAGTAATAGGTACACAGGCACCAGTAAGATCAGATGTGGGTACCTGTTCTGCAGGTACCAAGCAGAACAAGACAGGGTTTATGCTAGTGACTATTCCTGTTAAAAGAGCTTGTTTCTCCTTTTAAAGAGTTTTGAGTCCCACTTTTTGATACCTGAAAAGAGAACTCCTGGGTAGAAACACTCTCATCTATTGGTCAAACGAATTAGCCAAACTGGACATTGGTTTCAACCTGGGAAATTATGGTTTAAAATCCACCAGTGTCAAAGGGCTCTAGTAAGACCTTCAGATGTTAAACCAAAGCTTAGTGCCCTGTGATAATTTTAGGTTCTTTCAAAAAACACAGGCGTTCAAAAGGAGTCCTTCCCAAAGGTTCCTCCCTGAAGAGAAGGCTGGAGATGGAGGGAAGCCTTTCCCTCCCCCTACGGCTTCTTTCCACCTTTCTCTTCAGACTCAAAGGCACGGACTGAACAGAGAATAGACTCCAGGCTGATGGAGGGTCAGAGCTTGACTGGCCTGGGAAGGCTGGAATGAGTGGAATGAAGGTGTTTCACAAACTATAATAGAAATGATCTCCCTAAATGTCAATCCCTCTGCCTAAACAGAAGATCTTAACATGCAAAGCCTGTCTCACTCTCCTGCCTCTTGTTAGCTTCTCATCCCGGTCTCCTGTCCTGGTCCCTCAGGCAGGTATTACTCGCTACTCTAGCACCCTTTAAAGCTATCTGCTCTCCACAAGTGACCTCTTATTCTGACTGTTCTACATGCTCCTGCCCCATCAAGATGCCATTTTCAAAGTGCAGGAAAACATTCCATTTGTGTCAAAGAGATAACGCTTTACAATTACAAGCTATTATACAGATGGCTTTGAAAGCACTTATATGCACAGCACTGTTTTTATGAAGTGGGCAGGGCAAGCTTCATCCCCATTTTATAGATGAGGCAAAACAGACTCAGAAAGTAAGTGAAAATGTTCAGTGAGGGGTGAGTCAAGCCTCCCACCCAATTTGACTTTCAAAGGATATTAGCTTTTAAAGCATAAGCACCTAATAAGCACCTAATGAACTGATTTATGTCATCTGTCAGGGAATCATGTTTTGAGGAAGAGGGACTTCTTGTGCTTCTGGCTTTCTGAAACAGCACTGTTCTTCAGGGCCTCCTAGAACAGCAAAGCATCCTCTTTCTTCTTAGTTTTGTTAAAACAATGGGTGCAGTGAAAGCAAAGAACCATTTGCTGGGGGAGCCAGTGAGAAAAGCAAATGCAAAAGTTAGTCATCAAGCCTAAGTTCAAATTCCAGTCCCGGCTGGTCACTGTGGCTCATGCCTGTAATCCTAGCACTTTGGGTGGCTGAGGCAGGTACATCACCTGAGGTCAGAAGTTCAAGATCCGCCTGGCCAACATGGTGAAACCCTGTCTCTACTAAAAATACAAAAATTAGCTGGGCGTGGCGGTGCTTGCCTATAGTTCCAGCTACTAGGGAGGCTGAGGCAGGAGGATCTCTTGAACCTGGGAGGTGGAGGTTGCAGTGAGCTGAGATCACGCCACTTGCACTCCAGCCTAGGTGACAGAGCAAGACTCTGTCTCCAAAAAAAAAAAAAAAAAAAAACAAAAAAACCCAGTCTCACCATTAACCTGCTGTGCAACCTCAGAAGTTACCTAATCTCTCTTGGCCTCAGTTCCATGTGTGAAAATGGCAATAACAGTTCCTGCTTCATACACAGAATTTTGGGAAAGATAAAATAACACATGCAAATACTTACCACAGTACTAAAATTTGTCTGCACAGTAGTCATTTGGGAAGCATCAAAAAACACTGATAACTTGGCATGCAGTTCTAGGCTTAATCTCACACAAACACAAACACACACACACTGATACTTGTGTACTGTGATACTTGTGATTTAGTTGGTCTGGGGTGTGGCTTGGGATTTGTAATTTTTTAAAGATCCATAGGTGATTCTAATGTGGAGCTAAGTTTGAGAACTACTGATTTTGCACAATCAGAATGCAATATAAGGTAGCAATTATTATTCTGAATATCATCAACAGCATAACTTGAGAAAGTCGTCAGGTTTACTTTCAGACGCAGATGGAACCACCTTAGGACCATTATAATTTAGGTAAAGGTACAAACATTTTTGTACCCTTAAGCTGCAAGCAGTAAGGGGAAAGAAAACCACCTCTTTCATACTGAAGATTTCAGTAACAGTAAAGGTTCTGTCCCGCCTAAAAGATATTACGATATTAACACCAAGGTGGGGCCGGGCTCGGTGGCTCACGCCTATAATCCCAGCACTTTGGGAGGCCGAGGTGGGAAGATCGTTTGAGCGCAGGAGTTGGAGACCAGCCTGGGAAACACAGTGAGACCTCGTTCCAAAAAATTTTTTTTTAAAAAAATTAGCCGACCGTGGTGAAGCGCGTCTGTAATCCCAGCTACTCGGGAGGCTTAGGTGGGAGGATCACTTGATCCTGGGAGTTTGAGACTGCAGTGAGCCGTGATCTCCGCCACTGCACTCCAGGCTCGGCGACACAGCAAGACCCTGATCCCCTATCCCGTTTCCCCGCAAAAAAAACCACCAAGGTGGAGTAAGGGAAGTAAGTTTGAGGAATCAAAGGCCACCCGTTCCAGTGCATTGAGAAGGCAATGTTAATTCTGCGACTGAAAGTCAACGACCGTTTCATTAACATGACCCCATAGATGGGATGTTTCTGGGACCTATTTAAGTGCATAAGCATTGTATGAGCTACTGGGATTTACAAATACAAACACGAACTGTGCCTCCCCACAAAGATCGTACAATTTAATAGGGAAAATCCTCCAAAGATAAAACGCAGGTTAGAAAAAACATTTAAAAGGCGTGCGGCGTCCCAAGCGCGGGTTACCCGGGGCGGCCGCCATGCGTGCGGGCGGCGCCAGGGACTCGGCCTCAGGTTCCCGCTGACGCCCCGCATGCCTCCGCGGGGCCCGCCCGCCCCACTCCCAGCCCGCACCGGCGCCGCTCACACTGCAGGATGATCTCCTCGAACGCCTGTCTCTGCAGCCGGTCCCGGCGCCTCAGTTGCTCCGAGATGTGGCGCTTCCAGCGGGGGAAGTCAGCGGCGCGGAGGCCCGACGACATGTCACTTGCTGCCCCGGCACCTCAGCGCCACCAATGCGAGCGAGGGCTGACGGCCGCAGCCTGCAGCATGAAGCAACCAGCAGAAGCGGGAATGCCGGCAATCCCGGAGCTCACCTCCACACACTGGCAGTCCCCGAGGCCATCCGGGACGGTCTTCCGGCTCATGCCGGAAATGATTTTCGAGAGGGCCGGAAGACCCGCCCCCTCACCCGAAGCACGGGCTCAGGAGCCGGTGCCTACGCAGGGCGCTCGCTAGTGACGCCAGCCTGTAGCCGGAAGCGTCAGCTGCAGAGAGGTGGCCGCTTGGGGGCGTCCGGGCCCTGCGCAAGGCCCAGCGCCGGGCGGGAAGGAGGCAGGAAAGGGGCCGTTTCCGCCTGACTGCTTACTTTTCTTTTGCTGCTTTTCAACCCTTTTCGTGTTTTTTTTCTTGGCCTGTCTCCCCCCACTTTTATTTTTAATCGCAGTTTAGGAACAAATGGGGTTCCCTCCATAGTAGCTCTGTGGCTGTGGATGAGTGACAGCCTACCTAAGCCTCAGTTGTCTCATCTGTAAATGGGGACAGTAATGATACCTACCTCAGAAGGTTGTCACGAATAGTAAAAAGAAAAACCCATGTAATGCAGTCAGCACTGTGCTTGGTACAGGGGAAACCTAAGTTTACAAAGACACCTGGTGTCTTCCCAAGGCCTACCCTGACAGCAGGAGCATTGCCATCTTGGACAACTGCCACCATTTTAAGTTCCCCTTGATTAAGAAACTGCCTAAATCCAACCCAAAAACATCAGCCTAATGGCTAATGTCAGCATAACCAGAAACATTCCAACCCTAAGATAAACCCACTTCCAACCAGAAACATGCCAACCCAGAGATAGCCTCCCCTCCGGCCAGAGACTTTCCAACCCTGCAATAAACTTTCCCTCATACAGAAACATTACGAACCTGCAATAAGCTCACCGCTTCGTAAACCCTTAAACACCCTTAGTGTGTAAGAGAAAACGCTCCTGACCAAAATCGACAAGAAGCCCCTCTCAGGTTTATTCTCCAAAATAAACCTGTCTTTGATTGTTAAGCTGCTTTTCGTGTTTCTTTCTTGTTTCTTAACTCTTACATACCTGAAGTCAGGGTGCGTTGGGAAGAGTGTCCCACTGAACTTGGAAACAGGTTTTGTGGTTTGTTTGGGGTTTTTGTTTTTGTTTGCAATGGAGAAGAGAACTGGAAACGGGAGCTAAGAAAGATGTGAATTGTGTATCAGAGTTTGTCTTCATTGTTAGAATCCTAGAAATTGTGGCCTGACAATAAATGGAGCCTTAGAAGGTAATCTGAGGCTGTAGATGTTGAAAGGGGGAGATGAAGACACACTGGCTCCTGAGAAAGTTGTGTCTGTGAACAAGCTCAGTAGAATGGAAAACCCAGTTCTGTAATAGAGTTGCTGGAGCTCCATCTGCCTTTAACAATTAGTGAATTTACTGCATGAAAATGGAGCCAGACAAAGTAGTTGGCCAAAAGAGGAAAGGAATATCAGAAACTACCTTCTCTTCCAGTGTGTCTCAAGTCCAGAGGAAGGTCCTTCAGAGACAGATAAGAAGAACTTAGGCTGAGGAGAGGAGGACAGTCAGGCTTCTAGCACTGTAGTTGAAGATGGTTCACTGGTAGTCAGTATTGAGTGGACCTGAAGTCGTTGGAAGGATCCAATGGGATCAGAAATAGAAGTGACTTCCTCACACGCTGAAGAAAATGAAAAAGTTCTGAAAGTGACCGAGAATGCCTTCAAATGCAGCAGTGGCACCACCCTTAAAAGACCATTACACCAAATCTTGACAGTTGAGCATGTTAATTTCCCACATTTATGATTAAAATATGTTTCCAAGGTTGGGCATGGTGGCTCACACCTGTAATCCCAACACTTTGGGAGGCCAAGGTGAGAGGATCACTTGAGCTCAGGAATTTGAGACCAACCAGCCTGGGCAACATGACACAACCTGTCTCTACAACAATACAAAAAATTAGTTGAGTGTGGTGGCGTGTGCCTGTAATCCTAGCTACTGGGATGGGGCTGAGGTGGGAGCATCGCTCGAGCCTAGGAGGTCAAGGCTGCAGTGAGCTGTGATAGCACCACTGTGTTCCAGCAGCCTGGTCAACAGAGCAAGACCCTGACTCTCTCTCTATATATATAAAAATATGTTTACAAATTTGCAGTTTGCCTAACCAGCAATTCCACTTGCAGGAATTTATGCCAAGAAATATTTGGACACATGTCCACATACAAAAATCTTTGTTGCAGAATTGTTTTTAGGTTGGTGTAAAAGTAATTGCGGTTTATAATAATGATGAGAAGTTGGAGAAAAAAATCTACATTTCCAACAATAAGAGATTGGTTAAATTACTGTACATTTATTGCTGGAAATTGTTGATAGTAACAGCAGTATATGTCATAATTTATGTAAAATGAGTATGTCCCTAGCTCATCATAGACAAATATTTGTTGAACACATGAAGAATAATTTCTAAAGAAAGAATATGAAGCTCTGCTAGTCCTGCCCTCCTCCTAACTCACCAGCTTTATCTAGCACACAACCACAGCCACGCTGAAGCCTCTTACTTCCTTCTGCTTACCGTGCTCCCTCTCGTTGCAGGGCCTTTGGATTTACTGTGTTGGGCACATCTTCCCTTCTGACTTCTCCAAATTAATTTCTGTGTGTTCGTTCTCATTTCAGTAGTCACTTCCTCGCAACAGTAGGATGAGAGACCTTCACAACCTGTTACAGATCTTATCTCCCTGTTACGCGTGTACCTCTCCTTTATAGCATTGATCCCAGTTATAGGTTCACATGTATTTGTATCATTACTTGATAAAGGTCTGTCTCCCCCAGTAGACTGTAAACTCCATGAGACAAGAGCTGTGTCTGTTTTTGCACATCATTATATCTCCAGCAAGAGCATGAAGCCCTTTATGTATTAGGTGCTCAGTAAATGTTATTTAATTAATGAATGGAATATGTGAAAATACTGATAATAGTATTATCTGTAGGCAGTGGTGTTGCTGGGTTTTTTTCTTATATGTGTATTTTATATGCATTTTCTAATAGGTAGACATTATATATATATATACTACATATGCATGAAAAAGTTGGGCCGGGCGCGGTGGCTCACACCTGTAATCCCAGCACTTTGGGAGGCTGAGGCAGGTGGATCACCTGAGGTCAGGAGTTCATGACCGGCCTGTCTAACATGGCAAAACCCCATCTCTACTAAAAATACAAAAAATTAGCTGGACGTGGTGTCAGGCGCCTGTAATCTCAGCTACTTGGGAGGCTGAGGCAGGAGAATCGCTTGAACCCGGGAGGTGGAGGTTGCAGTGAGCCGAGATTGTGCCATTGTACTCCAGCCTGGGCGACAGAGTGAGACTCTGTCTCAAAAAAAAAAAAAAGTTATAGAAATAAACACATATTTATTGATGAAACCACTTATGTCAAAGCATGGTAGACTCTGGGAGATCACAAATAAGCAGGAACACTTCTACAGTGCTACGGGCTGTGCATTCTTCTGAGTAGTATTTCACATATTATAACTCATTTCCTCCTCACAATAATCCTGCTCAGTAGCATCTTCATCCTTATTTACAGACGAGGAATCTGAGGCACAGGGAGGTTAAGTAACTTGCATGAGGATACCTGGCTAGTAAAGTGGCAAGACCTGGGTTCAAATACAGGCAATTTAATTCTAGCATCTGTGCCTTTAACCACTGCACTCCATCATCCAGTCTCTGTTCTGGCTGTCACTGCAGTATGACTGGACTAGAATACATGAAACAGAATAATTTTTAAGTAATATGTGACTCACTCCTAAATTAGCCAATAGGGAGGGCAACCTGGTGAAGAGCAAAGTCAGTGATGGGGAGGCTTCAGGTGTGTTCACAGGCCCTGAGGGGAATGACTGGCTGGAGGGTGAGTAATACAGGGGATGAGTAATAGGAAGGAGGAGGAAATAGGTTGTCTGAATACTCTGGTGACAAATAACAGATCTTGAGAGTTTTTATATTTGTTCTGGTAAATAGTGATTGTCTAAAGGATTCAGCATGCTTTGCTGGGAAGCAGCATCTGTGAAATGGAGTCTGACTGCCTATAATGGATGTAAGATAAATGTAAAATATCCCAAGATTCTTGTAGCAATATGTTAAGCCTCACGAATTTGCTCACAGGAAGTAGAAAAGGCGTCACTTATCAAAGGACTTTTTTTGTGGAAAGTCTAGTTTCACTGAACCAAAGTTCCACCAGCTTTAACATAACAGCACCTCTGTGGCAGCATTTCCACTGCTAAAAACTTCCAAGAGATTCTCACCTCCATCATTGATGCCTACACATCTCATCTGTGAGATCCTCTAGTTATGCTCCAATTCAGAGGAATTCAAGGGCCAACCTTCAAACTATTGTCCTATTTACTCTTTTCTCTGCCCTTTGGGTCTTCCTGATTTCCTTTACCTTCCACTCAGCAGGTTAAAAAAACAGTGCAATTCCAGTGTGGGTTGGGCATAGGGATGGGCATCCTGACTTCAAAGAATTCACTCTAGGAAGGGAGATTGGAACACGTATCAGTTATGGGTGCAAGGAACATAAAGTACAAAGAGCCGGCCTGATGGCAGTACCAAAGGGATTCAATTATCTTCTGTTGGTTTTTCTCTAGCTTTTATTCTTAAAATCTCATTTCCTATTATTCTTTTAAAAAATTATCTTAGTCTTTCTTTATTTCCACTCCTTTTCAGCTCTTCCCAAAATTATATTACTCAAAGTGAAAATAAACTAAGTTAACTGTGTTACTGTGTTAACTGCTGTATAAACCCGATAGCTGCTAGAGTAAACCAAAGGATAGTCAAGAAACCAACTAACACAGGTTTCCAGACACACCACTGAGCCTTCCAAACCTTATTTATTTATTTATTTATTTATTTTTATTTTTTGAGATAAGGTCTCACTCTGTCACCCAGGCTGGAGTGCAGTGGCATCATCTTGGCTCACTGCAACCTTCGTCTCCTGGGTTCAAGCAATTCTCATGCCTCAGCCTCCCGAGTAGCCGGGATTACAGGCATCTGCCACCATGCCCAGCTAATTTTTTGTATTTTCAGTAGAGACAGGGTTTCACTATGTTGGCCAGGCTGGTCTCGAACTCCTGACCTCAAGGGACCCGCCCATCTCGGCCTCCCAAAGTGCTGGGATTACAGGCGTGAACCACTGTGCCGGGTCCAAACCTCATTTCTTAATATGATAATAACAATGCCCCCTTATAGGCATATGTTACTTGGCTCTTTTGCTCCTTGTTTTTCTTTGTTTTTTTTTTTAGGGTCGTTGCTTTTGTGTATACACATATATGCACACGGCAGGAAATTTTCATTATAAAGAATCTCTGTGTACATAGATTAAACCACATGCAGGTCATGTCCTTCACTCCGTATATATGTTGACACTCAGATTTCATATTATTTTATTTCATTTTTTGAGACAGGGTCTTGATCTGTCACCCAGGCTGGAGTGCAGTGGCGCGATCACGGCTCACTGCAGCCTCAAACTCTCAGGCTCAAGCGATCCTCCCACCTCAGCCTCTCAAATAGCTGGGACTAATTTTTGTTTTGTTTTGTTTTGTTTTTTTGTAGAGACCGGGTCTTACTAAGTTGCCCAGGCTGGCCTCAAACTCCTGGGCTCAAGTAATCCTCCTGCCTCAGCTTCCCAAAGTGCTAGGATTACAGGCATGAGCCACCTTGCCTGGCAGATTTCATATTATTTATTTATTTTTTATTTTGTTATTTTTTTAGATGGAGTCTTAGTCTGTTGCCCAGACTGGAGTGCAGTGACTCGATCTCAGCTCACTGCAACCCTCTGCCTCCCAGGTTCAAGCAATTCTCCTGCCTCAGCCTCCTGAGTAGCTGGGACTACAGGTGCCTGCCACCAGGCCTGGCTAATTTTTGTATTTTTAGTAGAAACGGGGTTTTACCATGTTGGCCAGGCTGGTCTAGAACTCCTGGCCTCAAGTGATCCACCCGCCTCGGCCTCCCAAAGTGCTGGAATTACAGGTGTGAGCCACCATGCCTGGCCAAATTTCATACTTTTAAAATGATGTCTGAGGAAGTGTTATTATCCTTATACTACAGTACAAGCATTTTAGTAACATTTCAACTTTCTTGGAGATCTTTATCTCCTCTGCATATTGGCAGCCGGTGTCTGGAATGCCGGCCAGAGGATTCAACATGACACCTCTAGCAAGCTGGGAATGTGATCCGTGGTGGAGGTGGGGAGGCTATCTTCCTTGGTTTGTTTCTTTGATCTTTAAAGAGATGATAAAATTTCTCCTAGGCACTACTGCAATCTCCCACTACAAATAATAGTTAATGTTATGGAGTGATTTTTACATGTCAGGCACTGTGTTACGTGGATCAACTTATTTAATTCTCACAACACGATAATGTAGGTATATTAATATTTCCTTTTTGGAGATGAAGAAATAGACATATAGAAGTTAAATAACTTGGCCAGGCATGGTGGCTCATGCCTGTAATCCCAGCATTTTGGGAGGGTGAGGCGGGCAGATCACCTGAGGTCAGGAGTTCAAGACCAGCCTGGCCAACGTGGTGAAACCCCGTCTCTACTAATAATACAAAAAAATTAGCCGGGCATGATAGCAGACGCCTGTAATCCCAGCTACTCAGGAGGCTGAGGCAGGAGAATCACTTGAACCTGGGAGGCAAAGTTTGCAGTGAGTCAAGATTGTGTCATTGCACTCCAGCCTGGGAGACAAGAGTGAAATTCCATCCAAAAAAAAAAAGTAACTTGTCTGGTGTCACAAGTTAGGAAGAAGCAGAGCAACGTGTCTGGTGTCACAAGTTAGGAAGAAGCAGAACTAAGATACAGTCAAGGAAGCCTGGTGCCAGAACTCACCTGCTTCACCATGCTACTGGCTGTGTGTCAGGCTATGAGGGCTGAGACTGTTTTAGGTTGAGATTGTGTATCAGTTAGAATGTTTTTGATAGCAAGCAAAAGAAGTGCAATATGAGCTACCTTAAGGGAAAAAGGGGGGTTATTGTCTGGATTCAGTGTGCTGCAGAGACTGGCAGCAGAGATGTGGCTGGATCCCAGGAATCACTGCAACCAGGATGCAGATCAGCCAGCGTGCTCAGCCCTTTGCATCCGCTTCTCCATGGCTTGCTGCTTCCTTCTTCTCTTGTCTTGTGGCCCAGCCATTTGTGTTTCGCGGTTCTCCCATCCTCGAGGTAAAGAAATAGCTCCTCTGAAAGCTCCTCAGTACACACAAGCAGCCAAACAGAGCTGGCGCCTCTGAGCTCCAGTTCTCAATTCCTGGGAGAAGACTCTGATGGACCAGCAGGTGCCCGTATCTAAGAATCCTTGTGGCAAAGGGGCAGGCCAGTCTTCCAGGACAGCTTCCTTTGGATGGAGGGGAAGGGGCAGCTCCCAGAAGGGACAGGCAGAACACATCTTCTGTTTGGCCTGGCTAGCTCGCTCTTTCTTTCTCTCTCTTTCTCAATCTCCCTCTCCCTCCCTCCCTCCCCGCTCCTTCCTTCCTTCCTTCTTTCTCTTTCTTTCTTTTCTTTTCTTTTTTTTTTTTTTTTTGAGACAGAGTCTCGCTCTGTTGCCCAGGCTGTCGCCAGTGCGGTGGTGAGATCTTGGCTCACTGCAGCCTCCACCTCCCGGGTTCAAGCGATTCTTATGCCTCGGCCTTCTGAGTAGCTGGAATTACTGGCATGCGTGCCACCTGACTGGCTAATTTTGGTATTTTTAGTGGAGACAAGGTTTCACCATGTTGGCCAGACTGGTTTCAAACTCCTAACCTAAAGTGATCCACCCGCCTTGGCCTCCCAAAGTGCTAGGATTACAGGCATGAGCCACCGGGCCCAGCCTTCCACCTTTCTTTTGGTAACAGATTATACCCTCCTGCTAGTTAATGGTATTTCTCCATCCCTTCCTGCAACAAATTGGCCCCAGGGGTAGGCATAGGAACGCTTCTCAGTCACCATCCTCCACAGGAATTTTTAAAGTGGATCCAGGGGAGAGGGTCCCTTTTCTTCTTTGGTTGTGAAGTCTAAGGATCTAGATCTAGATCTGCTAGTGGCTGTGTCCCCTGTCTCATGAAAAGGCCAGTCTGAAAACAATGGAACAATCCTACAGAGAGAAGTAGAGATGAGAAGCCAGGAGCCCTGATGGAGTTAGAGTCCCTGGTTCCAGCCAGTCCTGCAACTAGCCCAGCCCTATTCTCCCCACCAGGACTTGAGCCAACACAGTCCCGCAGGTCACTTAAGCTAGTTTACACTGAGCTATTATCTTCACTCGCCACCCAAGACTAATACAAGCAGGCAAGCCTAAGAAAAGACCAGGGCTGCGCAGACAAAATGACAGTCACTAAGTCAAGCTTTTCCACTTTAAGATATTGACAAGGGGGAGTCAACCGGCTGCTCTGCCCTCCATGCAGTTTTTGTGTTTACCAGCAATCCATGTCCAAGCTTCTTGGGAAAAGTTTCTGGATCTGAGATCTCATGAACTTCTGAGTAAGTTAAGCTCTGCTCTAAATAATAGTATCTGCAGGTGGGAGAAATTTCGAATTAAAAAAATCATAACCCCCAAAAAAATCATAGCCCCCCCCCAAAAAATCATAACTCCAAAATTACAATTAGAAATATTAGAATAGGCAGGGCATGGTGGCTCATGCTTGTAATCCCAGCATTTTGGGAGGCCGGGGCAGGCGATCACTTGAGGTCAGGAGTTCAAGACCAGCGTGGCCAACATGGCGAAACCCTGTCTCTACTAAAAATACAAAAATTAGCTGGGCATGGTGGTGGGTGCCTGTAATCCCAGCTACTTGGGAGGCTGAGGCAGGAGAATTGCTTGAACCCGGGAGGCGGAGGTTGCAGTGAGCCGATATTGCACCACTGCACTCCAGCCTGGGTGACAGAGCAAGACTCTGTCTAAAAAAAATAAATAAATAAAAAATTAGAATAAACCTAGAATATTAGAAAATACTGCTGTTGTCATAGAACTATTTCCTCTTTTCCCCCTAAACAGAAAGTGAAGGGACACCATTTCAAAACGCACTGTTCCAATGACTCACGAGATATGAATAGCTCTGCAGCATATCTAACCACTACTGCGTTCTCGTACAGCAGAACCAGACAGTATGCAGCAGTGGAATCTGATTTTGATTCAATCAATAAATAAATATCGTATGCCATGAGATATGGGTCTTTGCTTTAGTATCAAGTTGACATTTTGTCTTTATAAGGGCCAAAAATGGGAACACCGATTTGTCTAACTTTCTAACTTGCTCTGCAAATCTGAACGCCCAGGCACTTTGCCTTTGAGAGGCTGGTCCCCAAATCAGGAGAAGCCACCCAGGGACACAGCTTCCTGCAGAGATGGGGCTCCAGGACTGGCACCTCTGCGTGGCACGTGACATTCCACGCACTCCGGCTTTTTGTCTCCGAGCCTCTTCTTTTCAATAAGGAAATATTTCGATCCCAAAGTGCACACTGGACCTCAGTTTCTATGAAGCTTCCCCACAGCTAAAATTTCCTCAGAAATCCTTGCATATCTCCCTTCATTTTGTCAAATTGTCTGCATGGATAAATGGCTTCTCCAAACACCAGGGAGACCCCAGAGCATGGGGTTCTCCTGGAAGTGTGGGACAGTCCAGTCCAGGGCAGAACGGTCTAGCCTGTGAAGCACAGGAAGGACCTTGGAAAATGTTCAGTTGTCCTTTGCTTCAGGCTTAAGAGATCTGGCCCAGCCCTTACAGAGTCCACATTGAGGTGGAGATTCAGGAGTGGCTTCCATGGTCTTTTCAACTTACCCCTGAGCTTTCCCTAGGGCCTGGATCTGCCCAGACCATGGAGGTACATTCCTTAATCACACCCTGGTGGGCGGAGTAGGCCACACCCTCTCCCTTACACAGTCTCTCCCTCCCCACCTGTTTTATTTTCTTTTCTTCTTTTTCTTTTTTTTTTGAGATAGTTTCGTTCTGTCACCCAGGCTGGAGTGCAGTGGCATGACCTTGGCTCACTGCAACCTCCACCTTCCGGGTTCAAGTGATTCTTATGCCTCAGCCTCCTGAGTAGCTAGGATTACAGGCGTGTGCCACCATGCCCGGATGATTTTTTTTTTTTTTTAATCTGTAGTAGACACAGGGTTTTGCCATGTTGACCAGGGTGTTCTTGAACTCCTGGCCTCAAGTGATCTACTTGCCTTGGCCTCCCAAAATGCTGGGATTACAGGCATGAGCCGCCACGCTTGGCCTTCTTTACTTCTTCTTCTTCTTTTTTTTTTTTTTAAGACAGAGTTTTGCTCTTGTTGCCCAGGCTGGAGTGCAATGGCATGATCTCAGCTCACTGCAACCTCTGCCTCCTGGGTTCAAGTGATTCTCCTGCCTCAGCCTCCCAAGTAGCTGGGATTACAGGCATGCGCCACCATGCCCGGCTAATTTTGTATTTTTAGTAGAGACAGGGTTTCTCCATGTTGGTCAGGCTGGTCTTGAACTCCTGAGCTCAGGTGATCTGCCTGCCTCGGTCTCCCAAAGTGCTGGGATTACAGGTATGAGCTACCATGCCCAGACTTCTTTACTTCTTTTTATCTCTCTTCCCTCAAGGTCCCATCTCCTTGGTGACCAACATGATCCCCACCCCGATTAAGGTTTCTCAGTTAAAGGTGTGTGTATTGGAGGCAAGAGGAAGTGACCTTTGTGGTTTGGTCAGGAAGTGGGGTACTGGGGAAGTATCTAAAAGGCAATAAGCACTTTGATTCTTGCTAGTGACTCTCCTTTGCCTTATTAAGCTGTAAGAATATTTTTCTCCTTACAAGTCTTGACTTCTCTTACAGAAGCCCAGCACCCACCTCACACCCATTACCTTAATCTTAAAAGTTACCATCTTTTAAGCTTAAGGTAAACTCATCCTCTCACTCAAGCAAGAATTAAATTAAGTTACAATCTGCAGATTTGCGAACCTGAGCATCAGTGGATAATTATAATGATAATTTACAGTGGGGATTAGAGGGACAAGCAGCCTTAAGTCAGCATCTTGTGTCAGCAGTATTTACTCCTTGACATTTTAAACCAGGGATCAGCGAAATATGGCCCGCAGGCCAAATTCAGACAGCCATCTACTGTACAGCCCTCTGTGCATAGGAGAGCTAAGGGGTGGCTGAGGTGGGATCATTTGAGCCCAGGAGCTTGAGGCTGCAGTGAGTTGTGATAACACCACTGCACTCCAGCCTGAGTGATATATATATCTATATATATATAGATACATATCTATCTATATATATATGATATATCTCTATATATATCATACATATCTATATATCTATATATATCATATATATGCACATATATATCACTCATATATATGTACACACATATATATTACTCATATATATCATATATGTATGTGTGTATATATATGAGTGATATATATGTATATATATACACACACATATATGTATGTATGTGTATATATGTATACACATACACACACATATATATAGAGAGAGAGAGACGTGGTCTTGGCTTATTTCAGATAACAGAGAGTCCCAAAGTAGGGTGGGCTTCAGGGTTGGCTGTGGATGGGCTACACTGTGGCATCCAGGGCCCTGGGTCTTTCCACCTGTCTGCTCTGCCCTTCTTAGGGATGGTGTCATCCTCAGGCTGATGGAAAATGCCCAGGGCAGCTCCAGAAAACTTATTCAAATCCGAGCATGACCTGAGGAAGAAGACTCTCTCTTAGGAATGTGAAAACTTCCCCAGAAGCCCAGCAGACATCCCCCTTATATCTCATTGACCAAAACAGGGTCACATGCTCATTCTTGGCAAGGGGAAGGCATCACCTTTAGACCCATCTTGTTCACCCTCAGGCTGGAGGGTGAGGCTGGCTGCCCCAGAGGCCTGTGGCTGAGTGGGAAAGGGGTATCCATGGTAGTTCCTCTCCAAAGCTCCCCTTACTCCCAGTCTGCCACACCATGCCTCCTGGTAATCCCTGGACTGAGTCTGGGCTGCTTCTATGTAACTAATAAAATGCGGAGGAAGCGTCTTTGCACAAGGTTCAAAACTGGGTTACAAGAAGCCTTGCAGCTCCTTCTCAGTCTCTTGGAATGCTTGCTCTGTGATAAACCAGCCAGCATCTACAGAGCCCGACTGCAGGGAGGCCACCATGCTGTGAGGAAGCCCAAGATAGTCATGTGGAGAGGCTGTGTGGAGAGCCAGCAAGTGAGTGAGAGAGAGAGAGAGAGCAAGAAGAGAGAGAAAGACACACACACACACACACACACACACACACACACACACACGACACGGGATGGGGGGAGGGAGAGAAAGAGAGAGAGTTACCGAGATACCGAGATACTGAGCCAGTTTCCACTGTTCTGGACTCGTGAATGAAGAGGCCACCCGGGATGTCCAGCTCAGTGGAGGCTTCTGATGACCCCAGCCCCAGCTGCCATCTGACTGCAACCACATGAGAAACCCCAAGCAAGAACCACCCTTCTGAGCCCAGTCAGCCACGGAATTGTGAGACAGGATAATGAATTGTTGTTTTCAGTTTTGGGGATGGTTCGTGATGCAGCAATAGATAACCAGAATAATATCTAAAGGAAACTGGGTCTCTCTCAGGAAGGAAGAAGCAGGAAATGGCTGCTGGGTAGGCTATCAATGGTGTGTCCCCTTTACCCTGTTGGGAGTGTGCACAGAACACCACGTTATCCTCAGAAGACATCTGATGAGCGTAGAGCCAAAGCAAGGCAAATGTCTGCAGGTGGGATCACTTTACATTGTCACAGTGGGATCCATTTTCCCCACCATATGAAGGAAACTAGTTATTGTCAGAAGAGACCATTGGGATGAAAAGTGTGTATCTTCGAAACCACTAAAGAAAAACTCACACTTTGGGAGGCCGAGGCGGGTGGATCATGAGGTCAGGAGATCAAGACCATCCTGGCTAACAAGGTGAAACCCTGTCTCTACTAAAAATACAAAAAATTAGCCGGGCGCGGTGGCGGGCGCCTGTAGTCCCAGCTACTCGGGAGGCTGAGGCAGGAGAATGGCGTGAACCCGGGAAGCGAAGCTTGCAGTGAGCCGAGATTGCACCACTGCAGTCCGCAGTCCGGCCTGGGCGACAGAGCGAGACTCCGTCTCAAAAAAAAAAAAAAGAAAAAAAGAAAGAAAAACTCAGTCTGTACCTTCTATAATAATAATTAGTAATGCCAGTAACAGCAGGTAACATTTATTGAATGTATACAGTGTGTGAGGCTAAATGCTTTACAATTGTTCTCTTCTCAGTTTTCACAACAGCATAGTCGTGTTGGTGCTATTGCTGGCTCTACTTCACAAAGACAATGTAGCCTGGGTTCTGGGTTCAAATTCTGATGCTAGCACTTATCACCTCTGATATCTTAGGCAAGTTGCTTAAACTCTGTGCCCCAGGATTAAATGAATTAATACTGACAACGGTGTCTTGCACACAGTAAGTGCTTTATAGGTATGGCCATTATTATTATTTCAGAGGAAGAAAGTGAGGCTCAGGGAGACAGGTAACTTGTCCAGGTGCACATGATGGGTAAGAGGTAGGCAGATTCCAACCCAGCCTGTGGACTCCATAGCCTGCAAGCTTACCAATCTGTGCCTTCCTTCTCCTGCCTCATAAAAAAGAGCCTGTGTGTTGACCTTGAACTTGTATCTCTCAGATCTCCTGCTGGGGGAAATACAATCACCTGACAGCCCTTGATGCTGTGCTCTAAATCCACCACCACATTCAAGCTGTGTCCACATTTCTTACCACTGCTCCCAACCAATGACGAAGCACAGCAGGGCTGCTAAGGCAGAATGACTCCTGTGACACGTGGGACTCCTCTGATGAACTTTGCCTCAAGGATGCTGCTATGGACCGAATGTTTGTGCCCCTGCCCCAAATTCATATCTTGAAGCCATAATCCCCAGTGTGATGGTATTTGGAAGTGGGACCTTTGGGAGGTGCTTAGGTCACAAGGGAAGAGCCCCCATGAATGGGATCAGCACCCATTCATGAGGTGAGGACCTTATAAAAGAGGCCCCAGAGAGCTGCCTTGCTCCTCCTACCATGTGAGGACACAGTGAGAAGTCTACTATCTGCAAACCAGGAAGAAGGTTCTCACCAGATACTGGATCTGCCAGCACCTTGACCTTGGACTTCCCAGGCTCCAGAACTGTGGAAAATACATTTCTGTTGTTTATAAGCCACCCAGTATATGGTATCTTATTATAGTAGACTGAACTGACTTAGACAGATGTCTATCAACCCTGCCCAAACTTTGTTAGAATGTGCGGCAGGCTGAGAGTCTTCCTACCTCACCTTCCTTCCCTCTCTCCTTCACCAGGGTCAGACCTGCATCATGGCCTGACAGCTCTCCCAGCCTCCTCCTGTAATCTCCCCATCTTCCTGCACAGACACTTCCTTCAATAAATCTCTCATGTCTAACCCTGCCCTAGAACGTACTTCTCTGAGAACCAGAGAGGTTTGGATGAAACCCAAGTAATAGAAGAAAGTGGGAATGAAAGGAGCTGCCACCAACACTGCTGTTGATGTTTTGGAGGTCCTGACCCTTGCCAAGTCCACTTGTCTTTCTCTCTAATCAAGTCATGTGCCTGGGTGGCTGTGTTTCTATCCCATGACTGAAGCTTTCCGGCCAAGAACTTTTTGGACCAGCCGTGGACACCTAACTGGGCCTAAATCCTCTCTTAAGGGAGAGTGAGGAGCCGGGCCTCTGGGTCTGGAGCAGTCAAGGGCTGAGTCAGCACCATGGCAAGACAAAGCCAAGGAGAACCAGGAATAGGCAGAGGACGCTGGGCAGAGAAAGAAACAGGTGAGCAGAAGGAAACGTCCAGAGAGGACCAGGGCCCAGAGAAGAGCCACCCTCTGCCTGACAACCTTGTTCCCAGCTCCATGTGGCTGAGGCCTGGCTAGCTAGACTCTTCATCAGTGCTCCTTTTTTTTTTTTTTTTTTTTTTTTTTTGAGGCAGAGTCTTGCTCTGTCGCCCAGGCTGGAATGCAATGGCACGATCTTGGCTCACCACAACCTCCGCCTTCCAGGGTCAAGTGATTCTCCTGCCTCGGCCTCCCGAGTAGCTGGGATTACAGGCATGTGCCACCACACCTGGCTAATTTTTATATTTTTAGTAGAGACAGGGTTTCACCATGTTGGCCAGGCTGGTCTCAAACTCCTGACCTCAAGTGATTCACCCGCCTCAGCCTCTCAAAATGCTGGGATTACAGCGTGAGCCACTCTGCCTGGCTGAGCTCTCCTTAGGGTTAGGTTACTCTGTCTCTGCTTGGAGCTAGTTTCTCTTCCCCATAAGCAGAAAGCCTTGACTGAAATGGAAATTTAGAATTTTAGAGCAGGAAGACCCCTTAGACATCATTTTATGGCAAAGACGCAAAAGCAGGACATTTCCACCCTCTCCTGCTGCCTTTACCAAGATCTGAGGACGGGAACTCCTGTGTGTCCTGGGAAGAGGCCCGAGAGCTGCTCCCCGAGTCCTAGGTGGGAGCGGGAGAAGGGCCCCTAGCAGGAGGAGGGCGGCCTTGCAGAGCCCTTCTCGGGTCCTGGTGGATGACACTGCAGTGTGAGGGATCCGCCCACCCTCTCTGCCACCCCTGGCGGTGGCCTCTCATGCCACAGCTGGGAGGGCAGGTCTCCTGCATCCAGGCCTAGGATGGAATCTTCTCCAATCCTCCCAACAATCTTGCCTCCCCATGGGATGTGATTTCACAGCTTCTCCAAGGTTGATGGGTGGGAATTTGCTTTACCTTTGGGTAACTAGAAAGCCCGTTTCTGTTAACTTTCCCAGAGTAAATAAAGTCAGCTCCAAAGAGGCCACCTCCAGAAACGGAAAGCTATTAGCAACCTTCTAAGCAGCTTTCCCGCTAAAAATTAAAAAGGAAAAACCTAAATCCCATTTGGGGTGAGCCCTTGTTTTACAGGTAGAAGTTATTATTTTTTTATTTTTCATTTTTATTTATTTATCTATTTATGAGACAGAGTCTCGCTCTGTTGCCTAGGCTGGAATGCAGTGGTGCGATCTCGGCTCACTGCAACCCCCATCTCCTGGGTTCAGGCAATTCTCATGCCTCAGCCTCCCGAGTAGCTAGGATTACAGGCACACACCACCACTCCCGGCTAATTTTTTTTTTGTATTTTTAGTAGAGATGGGGTTTCACCATGTTGGTCAGGCTGGTCTCGAACTCCTGACCTCAGGTAATCTGCCTACCTCGGCCTCTCAAAGTGCTGGGATTATAGGCGTGAGCGTGTGAGCCACTGCACCCGGCCAGTTTTTTTTTTTTTTTTTTTAACGAGTGAATATCTTACCTGAAAAATATTCGTAAATGTGGGTTTTATTCTAGTTGAGGTAGAAAAAAACACTGTACTTTGTCCTGATTTTTAGTGAGTGAAGTTCAAGGAGAAAAAGTAACAAGAGAATTCAGAGAATTTTGAAAATGATTGTTTTGAATGTTGAGTTTTTGAATTTGGGAAATAAGATAGCTGTTACCATGGCTTTATGTTAACAGCTAAAGAATCCAGCAAGGAGTAAATGATGGCCCTGCATCCCCAGGCACAGGGGAAATTTTTGGAACATGAAAATATGAGTTTTAGAAACATGATTCAACTGTCAAAACACGACAAATCAGCAATTCCAATTATGAAACTAAATGCCAGTATTCTGTTTGTTGGGCCACAGAGTGTATGTGACAAGAGTTATCCTTGTGATAAAAAGTTAAACCAGGCCGGGAGCCGTGGCTCACACTTGTAAACCCAGCACTTTGGGAGGCCGAGACGGGTGGATCACGTTAGGTCAGGAGTTTGAGACCAGCCTGACCAACAGGGTGAAACCCCGTCTCTACTAAAAATACAAAAATTAGCTGGGCGTGGTGGCGCATGCCTGTAATCCCAGCTACTTGAGAGGCTGAGGCAGGAGAATCGCTTGAACCCTGGAGGTAGAGGTTGCAGTGAGCCTAGATCGCGCCACTGCACTCCAGCCTGGGCAACAGAGCAAGACTCTGTCTCATAAATAGATAAATAAATAAATAAACTCCATCTCAAAAACAAAAAACCAAAAAAACATTAAACCAAAGAAAAACTTTGAGAGAATCTGTTGCTAGCTTACCTAAGTAACCTCTCCCTCTCCCTCTTCCTGCCATGTGAGTCCTGCGTAAAATCTTTATGGCTGGGTTCAAAGGCTTTTTCCCCCTGCATTTCAGATTTTTTGGTAGGATAAGGTCCTAGCAGGGACTCTAGAAGAAAGGTCAAAGATGATGAAGATATCAAAGCATCTCAGGATCTAGCCTTGTAGCTTTCCACAAGGGTTTACCACTTCACATTTCCACCCACATTGCAGAATGTGCACCCTAACCACAGCTTTACCAGTTTTGGTATTACAACGACAAGAAATTCTTGTTGGTTTGATAGATTGTGATAATATCTGACTGTTGTTTGAATTTGCATTTTATGGGTAAAATTGTGGATTTTCTCACATATTTGTTATTTTCTGTTTTTTTCTCTTGGGGTAATATCTGTCTAAATACTTTGCCCATTTTGTATAGGCAAAGAATAAAAAATTACCTGTGAGTTATTTGGGGGGAAAGCTAGCAAGATATAATATTTTTGGTATGAGTTTTCAGGATTTGTCTAAGAGACATTCTTTGCAAGGCAGACAGGAGGTGGGTGTGGATGGGGTCACTCAACTTTTGAGTGTTAGGAAGCCTCTTATAGGAAGTTATAAAAATTCGTCCCTTAGTACTTATGAAACATTGTGGTATCTGAGTGTTTCCATATGTTGGCATTTCCGTATTTTTGGATGAAAAGTTCTGCTAACTAAGGTATTATCATAGGGGTGGGTGGTCACTACTTGCCCAAGCTGAGACTTCTGTGGGAGGATAAGGCAGAATTATTTTAGAAGGTCAAGGAAAACCTTAGTAAGTCCTCAAGTAGAGCAGCTGTGCAGGGCAGGACGGCTTCTGAACAGCCACACCAAGCACAGTGTAATGACACCCTTGCATTCACTGGTCCAAAAATTATATTATACCTCGAGGTAGTGGTGCCCCTCCTGCAGGCCCCAAGTCATGCCTAATGGCTTGGCTAGTAACCTTTTATGTAATCTATTTCTCTGAGTTCTTGACCTACTCCCTTCTTTGAGTCAGGGCCCCTTTGAGACTTAATTCAACAAGTATTCATGGTGTGCTTATGATATCTCAGCTACTATTCTGGGTGATAAGCCTATATCAGTATCTCTGCCCTCAGTGAGCTTTCATTCTAAGGGGGAAGAAACAGATGATATTAAAAAAAAAAAAAAAAAAACAGACAAAAAACAAAACAAAACAAAAAAAACACACCGGCCAGGTGTGGTGGCTCATGCCTGTAATCCCAGCACTTTGGGAGACTGATGCAGGCAGATAACGAGGTCAAGAGATTGAGACCATTCTGGCCAACATGGTGAAACCCTGTCTCTACTAAAAATACAAAAATTAGCCGGATGTGGTGGAGGGGGCCTGTAATCCCGGCTACTCAGGAGGCTGAGGCAACAGAATCGCTTGAACTTGGGAGGCGGAAGTTGCAGTGAGCCGAGATTGTGCCATTGCACTCCAGCCTGGCGATACAGCGAGACTCTGTCTCAAAAAAACAAACAACAACAACAATGCCCGCCCCCCAAAAAAAAACATACGAAAGAAATAAATAGTCTGTGTTGGAAGGTGATGAGTTCTATGGAAAAAAGAAGCAGAGCCGGGTGACGGTAATGGGGAGTGGGTGGGGGTGCAGTTTCTGCATCAACAAGGTGGCCAAGATGGGCCCATTGAGAAGGTGCGATTTTAAGGCCAGGCGCGGTGGCTCACGCCTGTGATCCCAGCACTTTGGGAGGTTGAGGCGGGCAGATCACTTGAGGTCAGGAGTTTGAGACCAGCCTGGCCAACATGGTGAAACCCCGTCTCTGCTAAAAATACAAAACTTAGCCGAGCATGGTGGCACGTGCCTGTAGTCCCAGCTACTCGGGAGACTGAGGCATGAGGATCACTTGAACCCGGGAGGTGGAGGTTGCAGTGAGTTGAGATCATGCCACTGCACCCCAACCAACCTGAGTTACAGAGTGAGACTCTGTCTAAAAAAAAAAGGAAGAAGGTGAGATTTTAGCAAAGCTCTGAGGAGGTGAGGGAGTTGGCCATGAGGTCATCTGGGGGAGAACATCCCAGGCAGAGGGATCAGCTAGAGCAACAGCTCCTCCATAGTAGGTGCAACTGGGCCCCGCTGAGCTCCTCTGTAGCAGCGCTGGCACCCTCCCTCTGTTGTTGGGGTCGGGGGTGTTGTCCGCTAAAGCTTCACACCTGTCCCCCTCTCCAGAGGATAGCCCTTGGCTGACCTGACCTGCTTCCTGTCCTGGACATGCCTGGGAGGGGACCAATGCCTGACTGATGGGGGCAGGGACAAGTGTCCAATCCCCTTTCCCCTGAGAGGGACCATCTCTGGAAGTAATGTATGTTCCAGAGCTCCCCCTGGGATCAGGCTGAGACTAGACTTCTCCCAAAAGAATCTTTGCACAAAAACCCCAGGCTCAGGCTCTGCTTCCAGGGAACCAAGTCTAAGTCAGTCCTAAGGCCAGAGCTCGCCTGACATGTCCCCAAAACAGCAGGGGAGCCATCGTGGCTACAGCGTGTCTCCCCGGGCAGTGTGCACATACATACAACCGTGTGTACAGCTCTGCCTGAGCGCTGTGGAACCAGGTTCAGCAGCGTGGAATCTCCTGGGCCCCCACCTATGATTGGTAATCACACATGTTAACTTCCTGATAAAGCATCCATTTCTCCCCAAAAGAGAAAAGGGTTGGAAGGGCATCTTCTCAGATAGAACTTTCTGTCTTTAGTTAAGAAAAGCTGCCTATTTGCCTCTGTCCAAAGCTGCTTTCCTGGAAAATAAGTGGACCCATCTGCTATGGATTGAATTTTGGGTCCCCACCAAATTAATATTTTGTAGCCCCAGCTCCCATTATGATGGTATTTGGAGATCGGGCTTCTAGGAGGTAATTAAGGTTAAATGAAGCCATAAGGGTGGGTGGCTTTATAAGAAGAGGAAGAAAGGTGCCTGGGCTCGGTGGCTCACGCCTGTAATCCTAGCACTTTGGGAGGCCGAGGTGTGCGGATTACCTGAGGTCAGGAGTTCGAGACCAGCCTGGCCAACATGGCAAAACCCCATCGCTACTAAAAATACAAAAATTAGCCGGGTGTGGTGGCACACGTCTGTAATCCCAGCTACTCGGGAGGCTGAGGAAGGAGAATCGCTTGAACCCAGGAGGCAGAGGTTGTAGTGAGCCGAGATCGTGCCATTGCACTCCAGCTCGGGTGATGGGAACAAGACTCCATCTCAAAAAAAAAAAAAAAAAAAAAAAAAAAAAAAAAGAAGAGGAAGAAAGGGAAAGAGAAAGCAGAAATTTCTTTCCTGCTATCTCTGCCGTGTGAGGACACAGTGAGATGACAGGCGTTCATCAGCCTGGAAGGGAGGCCTTATCAGAAACTGAACTTGCTGGTACCTTGATCTTGGACTTCAGCCTCCAGAAACGTGAGAAATAAATTTCTGTTGTTTAAGCCACCCACTCTGTGGCTTTTTGTTGTGGCAGGCTGAATAGACTCATACATTACCAAAAGCACAAAAAGCAGTTTCGAAAATTCTAGAGTGAGGTTTGCGAAGATCACTTTTCTAATCCTGTTGGTAAATAGTCCTTGCAATGCCACCACCCAGCTCCAGGGAGGCCAGCGACAGAGGGTGTGAGAACCAGGCCCCAGATTACTTTTCTACTTTCATACCTAACCATAAGATGGAAGCATTGTCTGAAGACAGACTGAGGGAGAGTGTTCTCAGAATTTTAATCATTGCCTGTGTAGTTGCTGTTCTGCGAACACTGAGATCATCTCCTCTTGTATAGAAAATTAATACCAAGAGGTAATGTGTTGTCGTTTTTTTTAATGTAAAATGCTTAACCCATCTCTGCATATTCTGGCAATATAACCAAACTCTTGACAAGGAGTTGAAAAGAACAAGCTTAGAGACTGGAGACACAATTTTGGGGACTTGGTTCCCTACCTTTCTTTCTTCTTTCTTTCTTTCTTTCTTCTTCTTCTTTTTTTTTTTTTTTTTTGAGACAGAGTCTCTCTCTGTCTCCTAGCAGTTGCACAATCTCAGCTCACTGCGACCTCCGCCTCCCAGGTTCAAGCGATTCTCCTGCCTTAGCCTCCCAACTAGCTGAGACTACAGGCGCACACCACCACTCCTGGCTAATTTTTGTATTTTTGGTGGAGACAGGGTTTCACCATGTTGGCCAGGCTGGTTTCGAACTCGTGACCTCAGGTGATCCACCTGCTTCAGCCTCCCAAAGTGCTGGGATGACAGGCTTGAGCCACCAGGCCTGGCCTTTACCTTTCTTATATGACCTTTGCCAGTGCCCTGACCTCCCTGAACCTCAGTTTCTTCCTCTATAAAATACACATAGGCCCCACCCTATAGAGCAGTGAGGATCAAGTAGAGAACCCATGAGATAGTGCATTTTATCTTAGCCCAGAGGCATCCATCTCTTCAACCAGTACTAGCAATTCCTGAGATAGGTAACTTGCTGGATTGGAGTGGGTTTACCTTATTCCTGAGTAGATTGTCATGTGGCCTTAGCCCAAGAGAAGTCCAAGAGCTCAACAAAATTTCATAATCTTGGGTGCACACCTGTGTCTGCTCACAGGTAAGAGAATGGATGGGTACAAATAAGGAAGAAAGAGCCTCTGTAGGGAGAATGGGCTAGCCAGTGCTCAATTAGCTACATCAGCATGACCTGGGGCAGGGGGGGTAGTGTTCAAAATGTATGTTCCTAGGTTTTGCGAACTCCCCTGGCTCCTGTGTCCCCCAGCCACTGTATCAGATTCTTTATGAATGGTCCCAAGCCAGGCACTTTTTAAAATTTTATTTATAGAGACAGGGTCCCACTATGTTGCCCAGGCTGGCCTTGAACTCCTGAGCTCAAGCAATCCTCCCACCTCAGCCTTCCAAATTACAGGCGTGAACCACTGCACCTGGCCAAGGACCTGCATTTTTAAAACAGGCACCTCACATATTTCTTATGTACACCTAAGTTTGAGAAGCAAAGGTCTGGTAACTAGATTAGATTTTGCAGTCACTAACAGGTTACTATAAATTTTATACCCCTAAGTTATAAGTACATGTTTTGAATAGCCTGCTTGGAACACCTTGCAGCTAAAATTTATTCTCCGTAACAATCAGTTTTTTTTTTTTTTCTGGGACAGAGTCTCGCTCTGGCACCCAGGCTGGAGTGCAGTGGTGCCATCGCGTCTCACTGCAACCTCTGTCTCCTGGGTTCAAGCGATTCTCCTTCCTCAGCCTCCCGAGTAGCTGGGACTACAGGCATGCTCAACCATGCCTGGCTAATTTTTGTATTTTTAGTAGAGATGGGGTTTCACCATGTTGGCCAGGCTGGTCTCAAACTCCTGACCTCAAGTGATCCGCCCACCTCAGCCTCCCAAAGTGCTGGGATTACAGGTGTGAGTCACAGCCTCAATCAGTATTTTTATGCTACTTATTGACCAAAAAAAAAAAAAAAAAAAAAAAAAATTGCAAGCTAATTATATGCCACCTAGGATTAGTACTTACATTATGTAAAATATTCCTCCAGTCATACATTATCACTCTTATGTTCAATTAGGGTGATTTAAGAGGAACAATTGGAGACTCTTTTTACATTTATTCACTGAAAATCAAGTGAGTAACAAATTAGGAAAGACATGCAGTGGTCTTTAGAATCTGGGCATAATCAAAACTATTGAATTATGAGGTCTGAGTTTTGTTTTGCTGTGTGGGACCTGATGCCAAGATGCACAGCAAATTCAATGGAAACATGATGTATTTTGCAATGAACAAAGAGCAAAGGTTCCATTAAATTTAGCATTCTGACTTCATTAAAAATTTTTATTCCAGCACATAGAACATGCTGTGAAAAAGAAATCGCAGAATGACATAAAACAACCTCTTGTCATTTGAGAGTCTATATTTACAGTCATTTCTAAGTGTTTCCGCACCACTGGGACTGTGGGAAAGATTTTCCTTTTCATTATGCAACATTATGAACCAGAACCAAAAATTTAAGACAGCTAGTTTTAATATTTTTTGTTAACACCATATTGTTGAATGGTATCCTGCCAACGGCAAGAGAGAATGGGTAAAAAACCTGTTGTCCATATGCTGCAGGATGAATAATAATTTCACAAGTAGAAACAAGGAAAGAGTGAGCCTGAAAAACATGAAATCTATGAAATACAGTGTCTCAGGATGGCACTCAGTGACTGCAAGGAAACAGTGCTAAGATGGTACCAGACCAGCTGATCTTACAGGTGCCATCCTCATGGGTCTTCCAAGGTAGGATTCTCAGAGCCCAGTTACCTTGAGAAAGGCTCACCCGAGAACCCTCTGGGTACAAATAGTGAAAGCCACTATGTTTTCACCCAATTTTTATTTTTCATTTGCTACCTCCAGTTTTCCTAATGACTCCGATGTCTATGTATTAGCCTTCTTGCAAATGATTATCAGAGAAGGTAAGCTGCCTCAATGAATTCACGGCAAAATTGGGATTGGAACCCAGCTCTGGCTCTTAATCATTCCCCCACTTCATCTGTTACAGCACTTTGCCTCCTTTGAGTATGAATCCATGTGTCTAATGTTTTCAGTGGTGTTTCTCCAAATGTGATGGCCCAAACACCAGCATGAGAAGGACCTGGAGTGCTTGCTGAAATTCAGATTCCTAGGCATCACCCAGACCAACAGAATCAATCATCCTGGCAGGGCCCAGGAGTTTGCATTTTAACAAGTTCCCCAGGTGATTTTTATGCATAGCAAAGTTTGAGTATTATTATCTTTGAGGAATCGAGAGGAAGCATGAGATACAGTAGCTGCCCTTAATGCTTTTACAAATGAGTTGGAGAGAGCAGCCCCCACACATCAAAAGCAAAAACTTCCAGATACTTTTGCATCGTCTGCAGCAAATTGTGAAATCCCAGCCTGGCTTCCACCTGGTGCTCAGTGCACTTCTGAGCCATCCTGCTTTGTGAGCAGGTGGTATTTACTTGGGGAGTCAAACCCTCATATTAACATAAGTAAAACATAATTAGAAAAATCTGTTATAAAAACCATTCTGTTTTCCAAGCCAAATATAAATTACTTTGGGGTAAGTCATGCCAGGAATTCCACTTCATTAGCTCATGCAATTAAGAATTGGACTGTCATGCCAATTGCTGTCACTATTTTTCTTCATTGTTTGGGCATGCGGCCCCCCACCATCTTTTACTCCCAGTGTATGTAACAGTTTGAAAGAGCTGGCTGGGCGCAGGGGTTCACGCCTGTAATCGCAGCACTTTGGGAGGCTGAGGCGGGTGGATCACCTGAGGTCAGGAGTTTGAGACCAGCCTGAGCAACATGGTGAAACCTCGTCTCTACTAAAAATACAAAAATTAGCTGGGTGAGGTGGTACGCACCTATAATCCTAGCTACTCAGGAGGCTGAGACAGGAGAATCATTTGAACCTGGGAGGTGGATGTTGCAGTGAGCTGAGATCACGCCATTGCACTCCAGCCTGGCCAATGAGAGTGAAACTCTGTCTCAAAAAAAAAGAAAACAAAGAAGAAAGAGTTGCCATCAAAAGATGATCTTATTCATTTTTAAACAAGTTGTGCTGGGTACTCTCCATTTGCCCCTCTTCCTCCCTGTCCATTGTCTGTTCTTCTCACTGTGCTCTGGGCTGGAGGCTGAGCCCTGGAGGGCAATACCACCACCTGCCCTCTGGATTCTGGTTGGGTTTGACCAAAGGGAAGAATCAGCAGGGGACAAAAAGGCAGGAGAAAAGAGAGGTCAAAGTAACTTTAATCTACAACTTTCTAACCTCTCAGTTGTTCTTGGTTTCTTTTCTGACAGCAGCTTCTAGCAGGGGTCAGTCTCCTGGGGTCCGGCTACCACCACCTCAGGTAATGCCATACCCACCCCCCTTCAGATCTAAGGAAGGTGGTGGCTTCCTGCTGTTGCTAGTCCCTGACCGCCTCCACATCCCTGCTACTTCTCTTAACTCTGCCTGTACCTCTGTAAATGGACTCTTCATTAAGGTCTCTCTTAAGGGTGCCCTGTTTCCTGTACATTTAGGCACATCTCTTTATATTCATAGGTTATGTGCATATAAAAATATCTAGTCTATTCAAATTATGGGGTTAATTTGCAAATATAATTACTAAGTTAAAATGATTGGGTTTATTTTCAAACACATAGATGTGTTTATGTGTATACACACGCATACAGACACACACACACATGAAAAACGTTAGCATGGGAACCTACCTTCTCCCACCTTCCTAAGGAGGAGAGGCCTTGTTGGTTCATTTGAGGGAATCAATGGACAGGGACCATGGAGAAAAGAAAAAACGTATGAGTCTCAATGTCACTTTATAAACCTGGGAGGGTGTGAACTAGACCAGAAAGGAAAGTGAGGGAGAAGGGGTGCAGAGAGGAGAGTGGGGTGCCTGGGCTGCCCTGAAGTCCTTTGGGAGAAAAGTGGGTAATGAGGATTTTAGAGAAGCTTTCTCTAGATTGTACAGTATGATTTTCCTCTCATTACTGCCCATCAGGAAAACCTTCCGTTATGATCAACATTTCTCTTTAAGGCTGTGGGATTTTAAAACATACCTGCAAGGTCTTCGACATTTCACCCATCAAAAGGTGGAGTCTAATTCCCTCACCCTTGAATGTGGGCTTGCTTCAAGTAGAAAGCAGCAGAAATGATTCAGCACAACTTCAGAGGCTAGGTCATAAGAGGTGATATGGCTTCCAGCTGGTGCACTCTCTCATTTTCTCATTCTCTCTCTCTCTCATTTCTCTGTCTCTCTATCTCTCTCTGTCTCTCTCTCTCTCTCTCTCTCATTTCTCTCTCTCTCTCTCTCTCTCATTTCTCTTTCTATCTCTCTGTCTCTCTCTCTCTCTCATTTTTCTCTCTCTCTCTCTCTCCCCCCTGGCTCTTAGAACCCAGCCAAGGGTGTTGTGAAGAAGCCAGAGAGTCATCCAGGAAAACCATACATCAATGTCATTGGTGCTCCAGGCACAGCCCAGCTCAACTGAGGTCCCCAATGACGCCATCATTAACCACCAGACTTGGGAGTGAATGAAGCTTCAGATGGTTCCAGCCCCCAACTTTCAAGCACACCCAGTGATGCTGAGTGCAGCTGATACAAGCTGTCCCCAACAAGCCCTGCCCAAGTTACAGATTTGTGAGCAAAGTAAGTGTTGTCATTGTTTTAAGTTTTGGAGCTGTTTGTTATGCAGCAATAGGTGACTGGCACAAAGCTTTTACAATCAGCTTGGGTTTCTTAAACTAGCCTTAAAGGGGCCCGGTGTTAATCAGTGACAAGGAGATGATTTGGAAATGGTATTTTTTGTCCTCTTAGTGGCTTTCAGAAAAATCCATCTTAGTCTAACGTTTAAAAATAAAAATAAAAACAGCCAAGCGCAGTGGCTCATTCCTGTAATCCCAGTACTTTGAGAGGCCAAGACGGGCAGATTGCTTGAGGTCAGGAGTTCAAGACAAACCTGGGCAACATAGCAAGACCCTGTCTCTACGAAAACTACAAAAAACTCAGCCAAGTGTGTTGGCGTGAGTCTGTAGTCCCAGCTACTTGGGAGGCTAAAGTGGGAGGATCACTTGAGCCCAGAAGATGAGACTGTAGTGAGCTGTGATCACGCCACTGCCCTCCAGCCTGAGCAACAGAGTGAGACTCTGTCTCAAAAAAAAAAAAAAATCCTTCTTAGGGAGAGTTATATATATAATATTATGACAAGCACTGTGTAGGAGATGCTTAATAAATATATATTTTGGGTGAACACATAAGCCACTTGAGGTGGGGTGTGGGACTCCAGGAGGCACACTTGTATGACAGTAGCCATTGAGGGTGGGTTTGGATGCCTCCAAGGCTCTTGTTTGGCTTGGATGAGTGGACAAGTTTGGATCTGAGCTCATTTGCTCTGTTTAATAGAGAAGGGAGACAGAGATAGCTTGGTGGTATATCTATGTAGGAGGAAAGAAAAATGGGTTTGAAAGCTGGTAGTGGAATTTTTCAGAGAGAAAACTGTCTTTTTACAGCAGAGCATCTTAAGGGCCATGGCTGTTGTAAAGCAGTGGCACCTCCCCAGCACCAAAGCATGGCCAGGATGGGCTTTGAATAGACAGAAAGTCATGTTGCTCAAGAGGACAGGTAAGAAGATTGTGGAAAGTTCTTAAGAGAGAGGGGCAAATGCAAGGGGCAAGGTAGCGGGGGAGCTCAAATAAAGTAGATCAGAGAGAAATTTCTGATGGCCCGGTGACTGAAGAATTCTAAAAACAAAGATTTCTTTAGCTGGGTATGGTAGCATGCCTGTAGTCCTTGCTACTTGGGAGGCTGAGGGAGAAGAATCATTTGACCCCAGGAGTTTGAGGCTGCAGTGAGCTATGATCGCACAACTACCCTCCAGCCTGAGTGACAGTGAGACCCTGTCTTTATTATTATTATTATTATTTGCTTTGAGACAGGGTCTCACTGCCATCCAGACTGGGGGCAGTGGTGTGATCATAGCTCACTGCAACCTCGACCTCCCTGGGCTCAGGTGATCCTCCCAGCTCAGCCTCCTGAGTAGCTGGAACAACAAGCACGTGCCACCATGCTCAGCTAATTTTTTTTGTGTGGTTTTTGTAGAGACAGGGTTTTGCCATGTTGCCCAGGCTTCTCTTGAACTCCTGGGCTCAATTGATATGCCTGCTTTGGCCTCCCAAAGTGCTGGGATTACAGGTGTGAGCCACGGCACACAGCTGACTCTGTCTCTTAAAAAAAAAAGGAAAAGAAAAAGATTTCTAATTGTTGTTTGTACGTTGTTGACTGTGTGGTCTGTGATGAATCATCCATTGCCCCCCACTTTCAGTGAAGTCTGCCTTACACATAGCCTTTCGTTGGTGGTATTTTAGGGAGTAAAGGAATCAGGGCAGGGTCTAGCATGGGACAGAAAACGGTCAGACTAGAAATACGGATGTGAAACTAGAAGCTACTGAAAGACGCATAGCTCCCCCCAAAATCCCCTTTGAGTGGTTGCTCTAGAGATTTAAATATATATATCAGTCTATTTAGAGTTAATATTGTACCATTTTATGTAAAATGTATAAATCTTGGCTGGGCACGGTGGCTCACACTTATAATCCTAGCATTTTGGGAGGCTGAGGCGGGAGGATCACTTGAGGTCAGGAGTTCGAGATCAGCCTGGCCAACATGGTGAAACCCCATCTCTACTAGAAATACAAAAATTAGCTGGGCATGGTGATGCATGGCTGTAGTCCCAGCTACTGGGGAGGCTGAGGCAGGAGAATCACTTGAACCAGGGAGGTGGAGGTTGCAGTGAGCCAAGATCGTGCCACTGCACTCCAGGAGCCTGGGCGACAGAGCAAGACTCCATCTCAAAAACAAAAAAACAAAAAAACAACAAAAAATACGTGTAAATCTTGCAATCGTATAGCTCCATTTACCAGTCTCCCCGCTTCAATTGTCGTAAGTATTACATTGGTATCATTCTAAACTCTATAAGAAAATGTTATAATCATTTCTTCACACAGTTATATTTTAAAGAAATTAAGAAAATTAAGATAAAAAGTCTTTTATATTTACCCATGTATTTACCATTTTCAATCCTTTCCATTCCTTCCTGAAGATCTGAGTTTTCCCCTATTATCATATCCTATCAGCCTGAAGAAATTCCTTTAGGATTGTTTATAGTAGATCTGATAGCAACAAATTCTGTCAGTTTTCTTTAATCTGAAGATGTTTTCACTTCATTCTTAAGGAGATCATCACTGGTACTAGAATTCTGGGTTGACTTTTTAAAATGTCTATTTCTCTCTTGAGATTTATATCATTTTGCTTGTTTCAAGACTATTTTCTTGGCAGGGTGCGGTGGCTCACGCCTGTAATCCCAGCACTTTGGGAGGTCGAGGCAGGCGGATCATGAGGTCAGGAGATCGAGACCACGGTGAAACTCCGTCTCTACTAAAAATACAAAAAATTAGCCGGGCGTGATGGTGGGCGCCTGTAGTCCCAGCTATTGGGAAAGCTGAGACAGGAGAATGGCGTGAACCCGAGAGGCGGAGCTTGCAGTGAGCCAAGATTGCGCCACTGCACTCCAGCCTGGGTGACAGAGCGAGACTCCGTCTCAAAAAAAAAAAAAGAGTATTTTCTTTTATGCCCCTGAGTATAGTTATAGTAGCTGCTTCAACATCTTTGCTAATTCCAGCATCTGGAATGGGGTTGATCATGGCTGTTTGTTTTTTCTCTTGAGATGGGTCACGTTTTGTGGATTCTTGTTATGAAACAATTTTGAATGGTGTTTGGACATTAAGAAAGATTATGGATTTTCAGAATTCTATTGCATTCTTCTGAACATTATTGACTTATTAAGGGCAATTAATCTGGATCAACACAAATCGCAAATTCTGTCTTCTCTAAGATGTTAAATAATTTGTCCAGTCACAAAGTTAATAGATAACTAACTTCAGATAACTTATAGGTGAGACTTTGGCAGGAATTATTTACTTCTCTAAGTTTTCATCTAGGTTTAAAAATTTTGTGCTAAAAATGGGCACTCTCTCAGCTTCCACTGGGTTCTCGTTGATGTGAAGTCAGTACTTGCAGCCCTGTCTGCAGTCTGTGCTGTTTACTGTCATTGCTCCTTGCTTGCCTCAGGCTTGTATCTTATAGATCCTGAGTGGTAGTGGCTCATTTCAGCTGTGTCAACTTGATTAGATTGAAGGATGCAAAGTATTGTTCCTGGATGTGTCTGTGAGGGTGCTGCCAAAGGAGATTAGCATTTGAGTCAGTGGACTGAAGAGGTAGACCCACACTCACTGTGGGTGGGCACCAATTTAATCAACTGCCAGTACAGCTAGAATAAAGCAGGCAGAGGAGATGGGAGAAGGGGACTTGCTGAGTCTTCCAGTCTTCATCTTTCTCCCATGCTGGATGCTTCCTGCCCTCCAACATCAGACTCCACATTCTTTAGCCTTTGGACTCTTGGACATACACCAGTGGTTTGCCAGGGGCTCTTGGGCCTTCAGCCACAGACTGAAGGCTGCACTGTTGGCTTCCCTACTTTTCAAGTTTTGGGACTTGGACTGGCTTCCTTGTTTCTCCACTTGCAGACGGCTTATCGTGGGACTTCACCTTGTGATCTTGTGAGTCAGCTCTCCCTAATAAACTCCCCTTCATATATACATCTGTCCTATTAGGTCTTTTCCTCTAGAGAACCCTGACTAATGCAGCAGCCCTCCAACAGGGAATGGAGCCTTTTTCTACATCCTTAGATAGATAGAGCAGGGCTAGGGTTGCCAGATAAAATACAGGAAGTCCCGTCAAATTTGAATTTCAGATACAAACCTTGAATTTTCTTAGTATATTTTAGATATAATATTTGGGACTATACTTACACTAAAAATTATTGTTGCTTTGAAATTCAAACTTAACGAGGCATCTGATATTTTATTTTTTATTTTTAAAATTTGTTTTACTATTCATCTCATCAAGAAGCAAGGCATCTTAAATTTCTATTTGCTAAATCTTTGACAGTTGGGCCCTGAAGTATTATTGCTTGTGCTCCTGCTTGTGTCTGGCAAAGTTCATCCCAGAAGCTGCAGCAGCCCCTCTTCCCATGGGGCCCTGGGGGAGTGTTTGCCAGGCTCTTGTTCTGTGCCAAGCACCTGGGGACAGAGTGGAGAGGCCATGCCTTGCCATGGGCCTCGGTGGCCTCTCCTTTTCTTTTGTTACCCAACATAGCCTCTCACAAATACCCTCCCTCTTCCTTCAGCTATCGAAGTGCGGTGCCGCATCCCTATTACCTTCAATAGGGATGGTACCAGGTTCAAGAGTCTGAAGAAGAGATGCAGTGCCAGCAAATGGGACATAGGATTTACTGGGAACTTACATACAGGGATGGTCCATTTGGGCTCAAGACAGAGTGGCAGCAGGCAGACAGGAGAACTGCCACCACTTGCAAAAAGCATGCAGTTTATAGAACACCTTCACTTAGCAACTTCTACCTGGCAACCTTCCTTTAACCCAAAACAAAGGGCCTTCATGCTCTCTATGGACCACATTCCACAGGATGTGCTGGGGGCTCAGATGTTCCTCAGAGTTAAGGAATGAATCTTCAGATTGGCCATGCTGGAAACTCCAAACACACATTCAGGTGTGTCTGCCATGCAGGGTTGTTCTCACGGTATGCTTCAGTTATTGCTGTCAGGTGCAGCCACCATGCACAAGAGACATCATCAAGCAGATCAACTCTGGCTCATGGACTCCTCTCGGGCTCACCTACCACTTCATGGATTGTGTGACTCTCCATTTGGGCTCAAGACAGAGTGTCTGTCCTACTGAGGAGCCTGTGAATGTGTCTGCCCCGTGCCCCCACCCCACCACCCCTGGCCCCCTACTGCTCTAACTTCACCCTACTCACTCTCATTCATGTAACAGTGTACATGTAACTCTATTTTGCTGCTAACCCCTCACCCCTACTGCTATGGTATCTCTGCATATAGGCCAAGCTAACTATGGGAGAAATTTAGAGTTTAACCTTAAAGCAAGGATGATAAGAGCCACTTCCCAAAACTAGCCCCCAAAGAGATAAGGAGGGTGTGTACACAAGTAACAATATTATGTTAAAAATGTATAAGAGCACTGTGACCTGACCAGGGACAAAGAAGTTTACCCTTGCTGCCACTCAGTTGTCTGTAGTCATAGATCACCTTTTGATCTCAACCCCTCCCTCTCCCCTTTTTCCCTAATATAAAAGGATTCTGAAATTCATATTCGCTATAGATGTTACTTTCTTTTTTTTTTTTTTTCTTTGAGACAGAGTCTACCTCTGTTGCCCAAGCTGGAGGGCAGTGGCATGATCTTGGCTCACTGCAACTTCCACCTCCTAGGTTCAAGCAATTCTCGTGCCTCAGCCTCCCGAGTAGCTGGGGTTACAGGCGTGTGCCACCACGCCCGGCTAATTTTTGTATTTTTAGTAGAGACAGAGTTTCACCATGTTGGCCAGGCTTGTCTTGAACTCCCAACCTCCAGTAATCTGCCCACCTCAGCCTCCCAAATTGCTGGGATTACAGGCATGAGCCACTATGCCTGGCCCAAGATGGTTCTTTAGGGCATTAGTCCATTATCTTCTCTGTTTTGCTGGCTTTCTAAAATAGAGTCTTCTTCCTTGCCCCCATACCTTGTCTCTTGACTTACTGGCTGTTGTGTGGAGAACAGTACAAGCTTTGGCCTTGACTGCATTCCACCACACTCCAGCACACCAGTTCTTTCCCGTTTCTTGAACACACCAAGCTGTTTCTCCAGGCCTACACATCTCCTTCTGTCTGGAATGTTTTCTCCTCATTCTTTGACACTGGACCATCCCACATTACAGAACTCCCCCAAGTGAGGTGTCCCTCTTCAGCAATGACTCGCCGAGCACCCAGGAATGTCAACCCAAAGGCACAGAGTAGGCATCAGAGAGGCCAGGGGCCTGCAGGATGGCCGGGCAGTAGAACTCTGTCGGGTGTTGTGACCCATGTCATGCGCAGCAGTCTGCTCTCACCTGCCTGAAGGCTCTCTGGCCTTGGGAGTTGGCTTTGCTGCATAGGCCAGAAGAGCTAAGGTGTTAACGCCCCTCCCAGAGGCAGCCCTTCACTGTGACTCAGAGTTGGCCTGGTAGCACCCAACTTGCTCCTCTTTGGGTTTTTTAGAGACAGGTCTCCCTTTGTCACCCAGGCTGGAGTACAGTGGCACAATAATGTCTCACTACAAGCTTGAACTCCTGGGCTCAAGAGATCCTCCTTCCTCAGCTTCCCAAGTGGCTGGGATTACAGGTACACGCCACCACACCCAGCTAGTTTTTTTCTTTGTTTTTTTGTAGAGACGGGGTTTCACTATGTTGCCCAAGCTGGTCTTGAACTCTTGGCCTCACAGGATCCTCCTACCTCACCCTCCCAAATTGCTGGGATTACGGGCGTGAGCTACCATGCCTGGATCCTGCTTGCTCCTCTTTGCATGGGGTGACACAGGCATGTGTTCCCAACAGTGCCTGCAGGGTAAGCCCAGGTGGCCACAGTGGCTCCCTGCCCATAGAACGTTCTGAAGCAGCTATATTGTCTGGGGTAAATACCTGGGGTTCACTGTCTTGCCAGGAAAATTTAGGACATGGACACACACAAGGAGTTTAGGAGCGGAGGTTTAATAGATAAAAGAGAGACAGAAAGAGAAAGAAAAACAGCTCTCTCTCTAGTGAGAGAGATGGGACTTCCAAGAGGAAAAAGATAGGAGGCTGAGGCAGGAGAATGGCATGAACCCGGGAGGTGGAGTTTGCAGTGAGCCTAGATGGCACAGGTCACTGGGGGTATGATGGCTTAGCTTGGGCTCTGAGCCCTGACACTTAGGCAGATAGTGGGGATACGGAAGTCCCCGGTAAGGTTGTCCTTTTAATGAAGAGCAACCCCAAATTATTTTCCTTTCTAACAAAAAGCAGCCTGTAAAATCAAGCTGCAGACATAGACACCAGCTGTTGTGCCAATCATGTTCAAGATGGCAGCTCCATCTTCCCTTATCTCTGTCAGCCACGTGTACAGTAAGGAGCAGACAAGATGGCCGCCAGCCAAAGGGAAAGTTCATTGCATAATAAGATTAGGGTGGGGCAACCAGCGTTCCCCTTGCTATGTAAACGTCATACCTGATGGAACCAATCTGTGAGCCCTGTGTAAATCAGGAACTGCCTCCTCAAGCCTGACTATAAAGTCCGGTGCATCCCCCACTAGCCCATCTTTTTTTTTTTTTTTTTTTGAGATGGAGTCTCCCTCTGTCGCCCAGGCTGGAGTGCCGTGGTAATCCCATCAGTTTGCTGACTCCTTTTTTGGACTCAGCCCGCCTGCACCCAGGTGAAATAAACAGCCTTGTTGCTCACACAAAGCCTATTTGATGGTCTCTTCACACGGACATGTGAGACATTTGGTGCCCTCAAAATCACAAACTATGCTCAACTCACTCTCTACAGTTCTCATAACTTCCAAAATCTATTTTCTTCCTCACACCTGACACATACTTTCTGCTCCCCAGCTCCTTCAGCTATATTCACTCTTTGTTGAGTCTCCCACAATTACCATTGTTCCTGGCCCGGACTTCAATCTGGCCTTCCACGTTATTCCGGATACCACACCTGACCCCTATGACTGTATCTCTCTGATCCACCTGGCATTCATTCCATTTCCCCATATTTCCTTCTTTCCTGTTCCTCACTCTGATCACATTTGGTTTATTGATCACATTTGGTTTAGTCCATCAGGCCTAATCGCCACTCACTAGCAAAGGCAGGCTATGCTATAGAATCTTCCACATCTATCATTGAGGCTACCGCTCTGCCTCCCTCCACTACCTCTCAGGAAGCCGAACTCATTGCCTTAATTCGAGCCCTCACTCTTGCAAAGGGACTACACGTCAATATTTATACTGACCCCATATCCTGCACCACCATGATGTTTTATGGGCTGAAAAGTTTCCTCACCACACAAGGGTCCTCCATCATTAATGCCTCTTTAATAAAAACTCTTCTCAAGGCCGCTTTACTTCCAAAGGAAGCTGGAGTCATACACTGCAAGGGCCATCAAAAGGCATCAGATCCCATCGCTCAGGACAATGCTTATGCTGATAAGGTAGCTAAAAAAGCAGCTAGCTTTCAACTTCTATCCCTCACAGCAGTTTTTCTCCTTCTCATCTGGCCACTCCCACCTACTCCCCCACTGAAACTTCCACCTATCAATCTCTTCCCACACAAGGCAAATGGTTCTTGGACCAAGGAAAATATCTCCTTCCAGGCTTACAGGCCCATTCTATTCTATCGTCATTTCATAACCTCTTCCATGTAGGTTACAAGCCGCTAGCCCGCCTCTTAGAACCTCTCATTTCCTTTCCATCGTGGAAATCTATCCTCAAGAAAATAACTTCTCAATGTTCCACCTGCTATTCTACTACTCCTCAAGAATTTCTCAGGCCCCCTCTCTTCCCTACACCTCAAGCTCGGGGATTTGCCCCCGCTCAGGATTAGCAAATTGACTTTACTCACATGCCTCGAGTCAGGAAACTAAAATACCTCTTGGTCTGGGTAGACACTTTCACTGGGTGGGTAGAGGCCTTTCCCACAGGGTCTGAGAAGGCCACCGTGGTTATTTCTTCCCTTCTGTCAGACATAATTCCTCGGTTTGGCCTTCCCACCTCTATACAGTCAGATAATGGACCGGCCTTTACTAGTCAAATCACCTGAGCAGTTTCTCAGGCTCTTGGTATTCAGTGGCACCTGGTTTTACCTCAAACTGCCACCCTTAGGTCTCTCTTTAAGTGGATAGAAGATCTTCAGTGACAAAGTGCACTTCAATACTTTCACCCTGATGAAGTCCTATTCTTTGCTTTTATACTTACTCTTATTCTCGTTCCCGTTCTTATGCCACCCTCCACCTTTCCCCAGCTATCTCCACCACACTGTCAATCTCAGTCACTCTCTCCTAGCCGTTTCTAATCCTTCTTTAACAAACAGTTGCTGGCTTTGCATTTCTCTTTCCTCCAAAATCACTGAGGCCTTGATTTACTTACTGCTAAAAAAGAGGACTGTATATTTTTAAATGAAGAGTGTTGTTTTTACCTAAATCAATCTGGCCTGGTATATGACAACATAAAAAAACTCAAGGATAGAGCCCAAAAACTTGCCAACCAAGCAAACAATAACGTTGAACCCCCTTGGACACTCTCTAATTGGACATCCTGAGTCCTCCCAATTCTTAGTCCTTTCAACCTATCTTTCTCCTTCTTTTATTCGGACTTTGTGTCTTTCGTTTAGTTTCTCAATTCATACAAAACCGCATCCAGTCCAACCAATAATTCTATATGCCAAATGCTCCTTCTAACAACCCTACAATATCACCCCTTACCCCAAAATCTTTCTTCAGTTGAATCTCTCTCACTGTAGGTTCCCATGCCACCCCTAATCCCGCTCGAAGCAGCCCTGAGAAACATCGCCCATTATCTCTCCATACCACCCCCCAAAATTTTCGCCACCCCAACACTTTACCATTTTATTTTTCTTATTAATATAAGAAGACAGGAATGTCAGGCCTCTGAGCCCAAGCTAAGCCATCATATCCCCAGTGACCTGCACGTATACATCCAGATGGCCTGAATCAACTGAAGATCCACAGGAGTGAAAATAGCCTCAACTGATGACATTCCACCATTGGGATATTTTTCTGCCCCACCCTAACTGATCAATGTACTTTGTAATCTCCCCCACCCCTAACAAGGTTCTTCATCATTCTCCCCACCCTTAACAAGGTTCTTCATCATTCTCCCCACCCTTAACAAGGTTCTTCATCATTCTCCCCACCCTTAACAAGGTTCTTCATCATTCTCCCCACCCTTAACAAGGTTCTTCATCATTCTCCCCACCCTTAACAAGGTTCTTCATCATTCTCCCCACCCTTAACAAGGTTCTTCATCATTCTCCCCACCCTTAACAAGGTTCTTCATCATTCTCCCCCACCCTTAACAAGGTTCTTCATCATTCTCCCCACCCTTAACAAGGTTCTTCATCATTCTCCCCACACTTAACAAGGTTCTTCATCATTCTCCCCACCCTTAACAAGGTTCTTCGTCATTCTCCGCACCCTTGAGAATGTACTTTGTGAGATCCACCCCCTGCCCCCAAAACATTGCTCCAAACTCCACCGCCTATCCCAAAACCTCTAAGAACTAATGATAATCCTACCACCCTTTGCTGACTCCTTTTTCGGACTCAGCCCGCCTGCACCCAGGTGAAATAAACAGCCTTGTTGCTGGTCTCTTCACACGGACACATGAGACACTAAGTAATCTCTCTCTTTTTTTTTTAGATGGAGTCTCTCTGTCACCCAGGCTGGAGTGCAGTGGTGCGAACCTGGCTCACCACAACCTCTGCCTCCCAGATTCAGGCAATTCTCCTGCCTCAGCCTCTGCAGTATCTGGGACACAGGCATGTGCCACCACGCCTGGCTAATTTTTCTAATTTTAGTAGAGACGGGGTTTCACCATGTTGGTCAGGCTGGTCTCAAACTCCTGACCTCATGATCCTCCCACCTTGGCCTTCCAAAGTGCTGGGATTACAGGCGTGAGCCACCGTGTCCGGCAGTAATCTCTTCTGTATCAGTTCTTTATGGCTTCTTTCCCTTTCCTGCCTCAAATCCTCACTCCCTTGCTCCTGTAGTGTTTCCTGAGTTATCCCCAAATACTTTCCTTGCACTCAAATCTTTGACTCAGAGTCTGTTTCTGGGGAATCCAAACTAATAAGACAGGTGGAGATTTACAGATCCCCAAACCAGCCTTCCCAGCAGATCTCAATGTAGGATATGCCCAGAGAGGCCCAAATATGCGGAGGGTAAGGAGGGCGGACAAAGCAGTGAGGAGAAGCAGCAGAGCGGCCACTGTGGTGCAATCGATCAGGAGGGAGGAGGAAACTCTGGAGTTTGACAGGACACAGGATGCGGGGCCCTGGGCTGGCTCTGAGCTCACCAGGGGCTTCTATGTCCTGACAGTGGAGGCTTCCTCACTTCCATGCACCCTGGTGACAGACCCATCTCCTGAGTGTCAGGCCTCTGAGCCCAAGCTAAGCCATCGTATCCCCAGTGACCTGCATGTATACATCCAGATGACCTGAAGCAACTGAAGATCCACAGAAGTGAAAATAGCCTTAACTGATGACATTCCACCATTGTGATTTGTTACTGCCCCACCCTAACTGATCACTGTACTCTGTAATCTCCCCGACCCTTAAGAAGGTTCTTTGTAATTCTCCCCACCCTTGAGAATGTACTTTGTGAGATCCACCCTCTGCCTGCAAACCATTGCTCCAAACTCCACCACCTATCCCAAAACCTCTAAGAACTAATGATAATCCACCACCCTTTGCTGACTCCTTTTTCGGACTCAGCCCGCCTGCACCCAGGTGAAATAAATGGCCATGTTGCTAACACAAAGCCTGTTTGGTGGTCTTTTCACACGGACACGTGAAACACTGAGGTGACCTGCTGCATCTTCGCCCCTTGAAATGGAAGGAGCCTAACGGGCCCTGTGATCTTTCTTTGTTTTCTTTTCTTTTTTTTTTTTTTCTGAGACAGAGTCTCGCTCTGTTGCCCAGGCTGGAGTGCAGCGATGTGATCTCACTCACTGCAGCCTCCGCCTCCGGGGTTCAAGTGATTCTCCTCCCTCAGCCTCCCAAGTAGCTGGGATTACAGGTGCCCGCCACCATGCCCAGCTTATTTTCGTATTTTTTAGTAGAGACGGAGTTTCACCACGTTGGCCAGGCTGGTCACGATTTCCTGACCTCGTGATCCGCCTGCCTCAGCCTGCCAAAGTGCTGGGATTACAGGCGTGAGCCAACACGCCCAGCCGAGCCCTGTGATATTTCTCCAGATTTGTGCGGGGCACCTCCCTCCTGCTAGCTTCCTGCACGTGTGCATGCGTGCGTATTTGTGTGTGTTTGGTGTCAGAATTCGGATCTTCACCTTCTTCAGGAAGGAGGAGCCTTTTCTCAGAACTGCTCTGTGGCAGTTGTCCACTTCTGGGGGTGATTCTGCCATTCTCTCTGCCAGATGGTGACATTTGGGAATGTCTGGGGGTGGGTTCTAGCGTCTAGTGGGCAGAGGCCAGGGATGCCACTAAGCGGTGCACCAGCCAGCGCCACACCGAAGAATGACCCAGCCCCACATGTCAGTAGTGTCTCGGTCCAGAACCCCTGCCCTGTGGGGAGCAGTTCCGCATGGGTTAGTTCCTCCAGGAGTTAGCCTGCAAGATGGAGGCACACTTGTCCCAGGTCCCCCATTGCTTTGTGTGAGTCATCGGTGGTCGGACAGGATTCCGGTCCTGTAGACCGGATTGTAGAAGGCATCCGAGGATGGGGAATGAGTGATGGACCTCACCGGCACATGGGTGCTGGGACTGTGGCTGTGCTTGGTGGCTGTGCTGCTGCAGGTGCCGTGCCGCTCCTGGCAGGCACAGGGCCTTACTTCTCATGTCACAGGTGTCACAAATGGTGTGGCCTGCAGGAGTGACCTGGCCAAGGCCCTGCCGCTTGTCAGATCTGGGGCCAGGATCAGGCCCTGAGTCCAGAAACGAAGGAGTCACCTTGAGAAGGGCTTGTAAATGGTAAAAACTGTGGCCTTGTAGCTGTCGAGGCTGCGGTGGGAACACGGAGAATTACGTTGTCTTTGTGAGAGCATCATGTTGATAACAGTGACATGTATTGAGTGCTTACCTGCAGCCAGGGCTATTTACATTAGCATGCCTTTTAATCCTTACAAGGCCACCCGGGCGCGGTGGCTCACGCCTGTCATCCCAGCACTTTGGGAGGCTGAGGTGGGCGGATCACGAGGTCAGAAGATCGAGACCATCCTGGCTAACAAGGTGAAACCCCATCTCTACTAAAAATACAAAAATTAGCCGGGCGTGGTGGCGGGCACCTGTAGTCCCAGCTACTCGGGAGGCTGAGGCAGGAGAATGGCATGAACCCAGGAGGCGAAGCTTGAAGTGAGCCAAGATTGTGCCACTGCACTCCAGCCTGGGCAACCGAGTGAGACTCCGTCTCAAAATAAATAAATAAAATTAAATTAAAAAAATAAAAAAATAAATCCTTACAAGGCCTCCGTGAGGTTGATGTCATTATCATCTCCTTTTTACAGATGGAGAAACTGAAGTTAAGTACTTAGCCACGGTCATATGGCCTGCCAGTCAGTGGCAGGTGGCAGGGCTGGGGGCTGAACCCAAGTGTTCTGACCCCAGAGTCCAAGATCCTCAGCACCAGTCTGGTTATCATTCTGAATACTAACACTAAATCATGAAACATTTCCCAGCTAATCCCGAAAGGAAATTCATGGCCGGGGGCTTTTGTCTGCATACCCCTTACCACCTGGCACTGTAACTGCTGGCCTGTGCATCGGCCTCTTCTGGAAGCTGGGCATGTTGCCTTCTTCTGCACAATGGTCACAGCCTGGCACATTTTTGATGTGTTTAAGCAGTTTGGCTCCCAAGTCTGTGCTCTCAACTACTACCTAAACAGAGTGCTTTTTAAAAATAGCAGAAGCAGGACAAACCATTTCTGGGGATGTACTCTAAATAAGGCCTGGAAATTCAATTTATAGCCCGTGCACTAAAACAGGATTCCACATGATACAGAGGACAGCCTCTTCCGCCTGCACCTCCAGCCCTTCCTTCTTCCAAGGCCCTGCCAGGGCTGCGGGTTGGAGCGTTGCCACCTTTCAGCCACAGGAATTCGGCTCCTTCTGGAATCTAACTTTCACTTTTCTGCCTGCTCTGCAGGGCTTGGATGAAGGGGAGGCAAGGCAGGGATGGGTGGGGGGGATGTTTAAATCTGAGGTGGTGCAAGTTCAGGGTGAGCACTGGAGAGTGAGTGTCGGTTACCTTTTGCACCCCCGAGACTTGCTGGCCTTACCCTATTCTCGACCTTCCTAAATGCTAAGCAAGCACGTCATTGTGTGCTCCGGAGTCCCCAAGGCTCCCCATTCCCTGCAGAATGAGGCAGGACTGCAAGTCATTGACATGGTTAGGGAAGGAGGAAGAAAAAGCGGAAGGAGGGAGAGACAAGTGCAGGAGCCGAATCTCGCAGGGACAGGTGCGTCCAGAACCGCCGTGGGGCACAAAACTGCTTTGTGGTGACTGGACCTGCCTACATGTCCCTGGTGGCCAGAAACACTGCCCAGCACTGCCCCATGAAGTGTTCCTATGCGTCCGCTGGGTCTGCTCCCATTGGCTCAGGTCATCTGAGCAGCTGTGCTCTGTGTAGCTAGAGAATCCACCTGCACCTCTGGCTTCAAACTAGTCTTCCTGGCCTCAACTAACCTCGCCTCTCCTTGACCTCAACTAGCTCCTCCTTAGCCTCAAATAGCCCACCTGGCCTCATCTAGTTCCTCCTGGCCTCAGTTATCCATGCCTTAGCCTGATCTATCTCCCTGCTCTTCATGGCTTTTCACAGCCTTGACTTGCCCCCTGGATGGCCTGCCTTGTTTATGAATTTGTGCTCTTGCCTTTACCTCTGCTTTGGACGTTCCTGCATCCCCAAAGCTCTTCTATTTGCTTCTTTTCCGATGCTGTGCACGGTGCCCTCCCTCACTGCCTTGTCTCGAAGGATGAGGGAACGGGATAACACTCACTGAACCCCTACAGCAGGGCCAGGCGCCGAGCCAGGGGCTTTGCAGAGATGAGCTCAGTGAATCTTCGACAACCACACCAGGTAGCCTTCTTTCCATTGTACAGATGAGGAGATTGAGGCTCAGAAAAGCTAAGAAACCTGTGCAAGATTATAGTTTTAGGAAATAAAAGACATTTAAGCCCCATTCTATCTGTTCCCATAGTCCAGGATCCCTCCCACCCATGGCCTACCTCAATAGAAGCACTGACCCCCAAGGCCCAGTGCACGCCATCAACATGTGTGGCCAAGTGCATGGAGGAAGAGCATGAGCTGGGTATGCCTGCTGTGAGATTAGTCACTGGTAAGCCTAGTGGTTCGGTCTGCTGTGACCTGAGAGAGAACTCACCAGTGCAGGCCAGCCAGCCCGTCAGAAAATAACAAGAAACTAGATTGCCTATACCTAGACTCAACCTCCCAGTGCGTTCCCTGGGTGGTTCAGATTTCCCAAAATGGGACCTTCGTGGGTGGCAGTGTCTGTGGGGGTGAGAACACACATTTGCATTATAAAGGGTCTCTGTCAGAGTGAAGGCTGGGAGCTGAGTTTGCTGCCTTGCAGAAAGCTTCTGGGCCTTCCCATAGCTGGGTCTCCATGGAAATTTGTTTGCCAAGAGAAAGGAGCTATTTTAAGGACATGCAAAGATGAGAACCTGGTAGGCTGGAACCAGGGAAGGTAGCTGTGGGAGAGAGCTTTTCTGAATGACTCACTAATTTCTCTCCTATCCGGGTGGGGAAAATGGTGTGGAAAAAGAATGGAAATGCAGGAAGGAGGAGGAGCCCGTGGCTGACTCTGTCCCTGCAGGTGGCACTGGCTGCAGGCGCTGCCCTCCAGGCTGCGGGGGGGTGGGGGGGGGGCTGCGGTGGAGGCACTGGGAAGAGCGCTGCTAGAGACTGTCCATCATGAGGGTAACACCTTCCTGTCGGCACAAACTCTGCTGCTCTCAACCAGCCTTCATAGCATCAAGCAGAGAAGGAAAAAAATTACCTCTGAAAAGGAACAGTGACTGTAGCAGCATCTGCAATCTCAGGGGGCGGTGAAATTCATCCTAGGAATGGAGCACTTTGATGAGAGCTGGCTAATTGACCTGCCTTCTTGATTAGGGAGCCTGGTGTAGGTGAATTACTTGGAGGTGAATTATGTAGGTGATAAGGAGGTGGGGATGTCTGGGTTCCCCCTCTGCCAGAAGGGGGAACCTGGGTGTTTGGAATGCCTAGAATTGTCAGGAAAGGAGAGACAGGAGAGAGACCTGGTCAAGGTGGAACCCAGATGATCACGGCAGCAAAAAGCCTAGGGAGAAAGTGGTCCGGGACCTCTCGGGGTGGGTGCAGGGTAGAGAGATGGAAAAGGCAAGGATGAAAATTCTTGCATTCCACAGCGTTTCCTGTTCTGAGCACCAGGTGGGCCTCAGCTGTCCGACCACGTGCAATCAAAGCCAGGTCCTCACAGCAGCCCTGGGTTTGACTGTGGTGGGGGCACTGCATTTGCTTGAGTGACTGGAACCCAGAGCAGGTGACGGGGAGCATGATGTATGCCCCAAACAGTTGCTCTCCTACCCGTATCTCCTGGGAACCCACAGAAATGCTGGGGAGTGCCTAGACATCCATCCTAAGTGGGCATGGGGCCTTGGGCTTGACATTCTCCCTGTGGGTGAGCAGATGATGGCACTTGTGTAGCAGGCCAGCCCACCCCAGCAGCCAGTGGGTTCCCCAGGGACCATGGGCATCCATGCCTGGGTCCTCAGCTCTGGTGATGGGGGCTGGGAGACTAAAGAATGTCTGGGTGTCTCCAGCTCTCTCTCCACCGTGGCCCTTGGTCTGTTGAATCAGAGGCTGGGGCCTGGGACTTAGGTCAGGTTCTACACGGACACCAGGCAGTGAGCCTGCAGGGCGGGGACACCTGAGTGGGGGTAGGGAGCCATGGTCCCAGCAGGCACTCAGTCCTGCCCCTGCTGGGCTCCAGGTGCCACTGAGGCTTGGGAGTGAATGGTTTGCTTGGAGGCTGCCAAAGACACGGCTCCAGGCCCTGCCTGGAGCCCAGGCCTGGTGTCTGTGAGCAGAAGCAGAGGCCAGGCAGCCCAAGGTGGGGCAGAGGCGCCGTGGAAGTGGCCCGCACTGTGCCTCTGGGCGGGGGTCTACTCCCTGACCTGGGAACCCATGACCTGGGGAGTGTTGACGTGTTTTTTTTGTCACTGCAGCTTAAGTGGTGAAAACTTATAAAAGCTGGGAGGAACTTGTGGGCTGCAGGACAGCAGGTTTGGAGGGGATGCTCGTGGCCTCTGGGTGGCCGCAGGGTGCTTGGAGTGCCAGGAAGATGTGTGGGTGGAAGGAAGGAAGGGGTGCGGTTTACTCCTGTTCCTAGTCCAGGACCAGCTTCAAACTGGCTCTATGGTGTCCCATCTGGTCAGGGCAACACCATCCATCACCACCATGAACCCTTAACTGCCTCAGTTGTGCCCTGTGCAGGCCCTGCCATCTAGAAGGATATCTATGGCTCCGAATGTCAGGAAAAACGCCACACACACAGCTGAGTGAGAAAGGCACAATTTATTGGTTACGCAGACTTCCATCATGGGAATGTGGGGTGCATTCCCTTCTGCATTCACACACACCACTGGATTTAGCTCCCTACATTAATTCTGCTATGTTGAAAAAGCAACATAAGGAAAGACATCACCCATCTATTCTCCTAATAACCAAGGAAGCAGAGCTGAAAGCCACAGAGATAGGAAGAAAAGGCTGCACTATTTCAAGAGCCTGGAACCAAGAGGCCCACCCTCCCTGGCAGCCAGGCTGGAGAGCACGGCTTTCGGGAGCAACAGCAAAGACTCTTCTACCAGCACGATGGAATACATGTTGGGGGGCTTGGCTTAACTGTGGCTGGTGATGGCTGCCCACCTCGAGGAGGGCACAGGGAACCTGGCACAGGCCTTGGCATCTCTAGCCCAAGCTGAGGCCAGATCTCTCCACTGGAGAATAGGAGCTGATTTCCTGCTCCTTCCAACCAAAGAACTGAGAAGCCAGGTAGATCCCTGCTCTCAGCCTAGCCATGCCGGAACCCGCGGGACTTTAGCTAAAGCAGCTTGTGTCACTGAAGCTGGACAGAACAGGCTTCTTGTACCCTAAACAAGCTACCCAGACTCTTCAGCTCCTTAAGGCCGAGCCCTTGTCTCACTCCAGGAGGGCACTGGGCTTCTTAATGCTTTCACCCCTCCGAACACACACCGTTTTAAACTGGTGGGTTTGGGCACGTGGTTTTAGGTGGCTAGAGCCTCAGCTCTCGAGGTCATCCTGATATGACGAATGTTCGTAAAGCACTTAGCACAGCACTTGGCACATCATGAGTGTTCGATCCATGTGGCCATTATTATTATTAATATTATTATTATCTATATCTCCACCCTCAAATCGGCGCTGCAGTTCCTTTCTTCAGAATGGCGCCCTCAACGAGGCACTGGGGTCCCAAGTACCAAGAGCGAGCTGGGGACCCAGACTGTTTGTTGCCCGTCTGGTGTGCGTTTTTCTTCCAGCCTCAGCACTTGGTGCTAAGTCTCACAGGCAGTGAACTCTGTGGGCCACACAGAAGCTAGGCCCTTTCCTGAAAACACAAAGCCTTGCATAGGAAGCTGGGCAGGAGGAGCCAGCAGGAGGTCCCGGGAGAGGGTCCAGTGGCTTCACGCCGTTCCTCTGGGCTCCCGACTCAGTGGCAGCTCACTGAGGGCTTCACTGTGGGACAAGAACAGAAGGGCTGTCAGGGCTCATTCTCACCAGGCCATGTTGAACTAAGTGGCCCAGGTCCCTGCATGCTGTGGGCTAGGCCAGGCTTCCTTTAACGTGTAGCTGAGAAGAGCCAGCACTCACTGCTCTAAGTACTTTACCTGCTTATTTAAAAAAATTGTTTTTTAGAAATGGGGTCTTACTCTGTTGCCTAGTCTGGAGTGCAGTGGTGCAATCATAGCTCACTGCAGCCTTGAATTCTTGGGTTCCAGCTAGCCTCATGCCTCAGCCTCCCCAGTAGCTGGGACTACAGGTGCATGGCACCACACCCAGGTACGTACCATATATATATATAAAATATATACACATATGTAATATGTATAGTATATATATATGAAATGATATGTAATGGATATCAATGTAAATACATAAATATAAATATATAATTTCTATATAGATGATAATACATGGTAATAATACATAATAGCCTACAATGCAATTCTCCTTCTAAGTCTATGAGGTAGGTACTATTAACAGCCCCTTTTTACAGATGGGTAAACTGAGGCTCAAGGCACAGAGCCAGGAGGTGGGAGGGCTGGGATTCAAATCCAACATAGCCTGACTGTTCTCTTTTTTGAGATGGAGTCTCACTCTGTCGCCCAGGCTGGAGTGCAGTGTTGCGATCTCGGTTCACTGCAACCTCCGCCTCCTGGGTTCAAGCAATTCTCCTGTCTCAGCCTCCCGAGTAGTTGGGATTACAGGTGCACACCACAATGCCCAGCTAATTTTTGTATTTTTAATAGAGACAGGGTTTCACCATATTGGTTAGGCTGGTCTTGAACTCCTGACCTCAGGTGATCCATCCACCTCGGCCTCCCAAAATGCTGGGATTACAGTCATGAGCCACCACGCCCGGCCTGGAGTCTGTTCTTAATCACTGTTAGTTTTGCTCAAAAAATTTTTTATTTTACATGAAGGAGAGGGAAAGTGTGCTGAATTCTCCAAAATATTGGGAAATTTTCAAGTATGAATGCGACTTAATAATAACAATGAGGCTGGGTGCAGTGGCTCATGCCTGTAATCCCAGAACTTTGGGAGGCCCAGGCAGGCAGATCACCTGAGGTCAGGAGTTCGAGACCAGCCTGGCCAACATGGTGAAATCCCATCTCTACTAAAAATACAAAAATTAGCCAGGCATGGTGGCAGGTGCCTGTAATCCCAGCCACTCGGGAGGCTGAGACAGGAGAATCGCTTGAACCCAGGAGGCGCAGGTTGCAGTGAGCCGAGATCACACCACTGGACTCTAGCCTGGGCAACAAAGAGTGAAACTCCGTTGTTGTTGTTTTTTAATTTTTTTTTTTTTTTTTTTTTGAGACGGAGTCTTGCTTTGTCACCAGGCTGGAGTGCAGTGGCGCAATCTCGGCTCACCACAACCTCTGCCTCCCAGGTTCAAGCGATTCCCCTGCCTCAGCCTCCCAAGCAGCTGGGACTACAGGCGTGCGCCACCATGCCCGGGTAATTTTTTGTATTTTAGTAGAGACGGGGTTTCACCATGTTGGCCAGGATGGTCTCGATCTCCTGACCTCGTGATCCACTGTGCCTGGCGAAACTCAGTTGCAAAACAAATTTATAATAACAATGAGATATAAATGATTTAGGCTCCTTTTCTTTATGGAATCTTCTTCCTCTGGGACTGACACTAGACTAAGTTTATCCACAGCCCCGCCTTTCTTCCTTTTAACAACTGCTGCAGAGGCAATGCAGGGTCAGGGATGTGTGGGACAGGCAGACCTGGGTTCAAATCCTGACTCTCCCTTCTCATGGAGCAGTTCCCAGGACCATCACTCGCATGTGTGCACATGCATGCGTTCACACATGCACGCACATATGCATGCGTGCACACACACATGCACACACATATGCATAGGTACACACATACGCACTCACGCATGCACACACACACAAATGCACACGAACCCACGTGTGGCGCAGCGCACCTGCATGGCAGTCCTGCCTAGAGGCCCTGGTGGCCCCTCCTCCGGCCGGTGCTTGCCGTGATGCGGGAGCTCGGTGTTGTCGCGGTAGTCGCGGCCCTTGGAGTGCTGGAGGTGCAGCACCGCCGGGCTCTTGACTGGCAGCGGCGGCCGCGGCGTCGGGGTGGGCGGGGTCTGCTGGTTGATTTCCGATCTGGAAGGCTTGATGGGCCTCTTGGCCGGCACCGGGGCCTGGGAGCTGACCGGGGTCTTGGGCTTCCCTTGGCTCTTGTCCCCGCCGGCCGCCCTGCCCTCGGCAGAGGATGAGCACGTGAAGGAGCGCAGCCGGGGCGCGGGCACCTGCTTGCCGGGCCCCTCGCCGCGATCAGCCTCCTGGGCTTTGGTGAGCACGATGCTGGGCGACAAGATGCCGGGTTCCGGGCAGGGCGGGGGTTCCTTCCGCGGCATTTTGGGGGATTCCTGGTCCTTCCTGGGAGCAGGCTTAGGGAAGGAACTCAGGGACCCATACAGGGGGTTCTCAAACATCTCGGGCTTCGTCAGCGGCAGGTCCTCCTGAGGCAGCGTGTCCCCTGCGTTCTTCCCCAGGTCACTGGGCCTAGAGCCAGGGACAGAGCAGGGAAGACACATGTCCAGGGGAGAAGACATGGGAGCATGGCTGCTTAATGGCTCTGGGTCTTTCTTTGGGGTGATACAAATGTTTCTGAACTAGATAGAGACATGTAACATTGCAAATTTACTGAATGGCACCAAATTGTTTTGTCTTGTTTTGTTTTAGAGACAGAGTCTCGCTCTGTCACCCAGGCTGGAGTGCAGTGGTGCGGTCATGGCTCACTGCTGCCTCAACCTCTTGGGCTCAAGCAGTCCTTCCCCTCAGCCTCCCAAGTAGCTGAGACTACTTGGGAGTAGCTGGGAGTAGCTAGGAGTAGCTGGACATTGCTGGGAGTAGCAATGCCTCCAGGCCTGGCTAATTTTTTAGTTTTGTTTTATTCTGTAGAGATGGGGAGTCTCACTATATTGCCCAGGCTGGTCTTGAACTCTTCGCTTCAAGCAGTCCTCTCACTTTGGCCTCCCAAAGTGCTGGGATTATGGGCATAAGCCACTGTGCCCAGCCTAGCAAACTGTTCATTTTGAAATGGTTAATTTTATGTTAAGTGAATTTCACCTCAAGTGAAAAAAAGGAAGAGGAAACAGTACTGTGTTCATCATACGTTGTCCTCAAAGACAGCCTCAGTTCTGGCCTGGGACCTTTTCCACTATAAAACCTGTTCACATCAGAGCATCTGTGAGCAAGGGGCATGGCACTGGAGGATTTGTGGGAGAAATGAAGTGAGAACTTACATGGCACCTCAGTATCAACCCCTCATCCTCATCAGATGAGCCTGCTCTCCACAGCCCCTTCCCACCTCCCCAGTCAACAGGCCTCCTTTCCCGGTTCCTCCCATCCCCACCCCGCAGCCTCTCCTCTGACTCCAGCAATTCTGCTCCGACCCAGCATTTGCATGACCGCTCAGGAAGGCGATCACACCTCCTCCTCAGGAACCACTTGTGCTACTTGAGGGTGAAAGCTCAAGAGGCTCCATCTACCAAACTCATGTGTGAGACACTTTCCCAGGCACAGCAACACAGCCACAAACAAGGACAGAATCTGAGCTCAGGGGGCCCGACATCCCGGTTAACACAGTGTCCTTCCCAGCCACATGAAGTCCTCTCCCTGGAAGCCTCTCCTAACTCACAGTGGAAGGAACACGTGGTGGCTGTGGTGCAAGTCAGAGGGAACTTGGACACTTGCGAGTACTGGGGAAGCCAAGGCCAGTAGCTAGAAGAAAGGCCCACTCAACTCATGGGCAGGGGAAGCTCCTGTGTTGTGACCCAAAGTAGGCAAGTGCTGCCTTTGCTTGTTTGTGTTCTGATTTATCACTGCTCTGACTGGAGGTGATTTCCTGCTGAGCAAACTATGAGAACGAGAAATGGGAACACATTTTACTTCCTGACTAGCAGCAGAATCTCCCAGGGGAGTGTTCTGGGTTCTGCTTTCTACAGAAAAGGAAGCTATCGTGAAGAAATTGTGGATCGCTGGGAACCCACTGAGCTGTTGAGGCTGTTGCGCCTGTTACTGATGGGATGTGCACTGAGAAGCTGCTCACAGGCACTCAACAGTGACTCTGGGGAGCAGGTGTGGGCTCAGGGGACAAAGGCGGGATGTCGTCCTCACACAGGTGCCGGTGAGAAGCCATGGAGCTCCAGGGAGGCTGGCCTCCGGGACACACCAAAGGGAGCCTGACTGTGCACCTGGGGGTGTTGCCCATTAATTTTTGGAAACACCTTAGAGCAGGTGCATACATAGAAATGCTGGGGCCTCAAACAAGGACTTTGGAAAGGGCCCCCTCCATGTTCAGCCCTCTTCTGACCCCCGTGTGGACCCTCAAAGGCCGTTGCTGTGAGTTAGCCAAGGGAAGAGGGCACAGGAGGGTGCAACTGGCATGGTCACAAGTTTTCAGATGAAGGAGCAAGAAGTCCTGACCTCTGACCACCCTCTCTCAGGGGCTGAGATGGGAGGAGGGGGCTGACTTCAGAGAACTGGGGGCAGGACCAGGAAGAGCCCTGGGTGCAAGCCCTTTTGTGATTCTAAAGCTCACTCCTCTGGGAAAAGAGCAGTGAGATAGAGACCAGGGAAGCCTTCCCTCTAAGAGGAGGCTTCTGTTGCACTTAGAGAGGGGAAGCTTGGTGGGGCGGGCGGGGAAGACTGGGGAAAACCATGAAAAACTCAAAAGTAAGTCTTATTCCCCTGACCAAAGGTAACAAGAAATTGACTCCTATAGCAGGCCACAGTTGTTGAATAAGGGAACCGATATCTAGGGGACGAGTTGATTCCTGCAGCAAATGACTGTACTTCTCAGATTCAGGAGACGAGTCTCATCTCCAAAGCAGCTAAGCACTGGCCAGGGGCTGAGAAGAGTCCCCTTCCTAATTGCACAGCTTCGATCTGGGGTCACCAGTTGTCCTTGCTTACGCAGGACTGAAGGGTTTCCTGAGATGTGGGACTTTCAGTGCTAAAACTGGGACAGTACTTGGCAAACCGGGAAGGTCAGTCCCTGCACTTGGGTCTGGGTGATGGTGGGGAAACACTGATGGTGCTTGGAACACCCCCTTCCACAGCCTTTGCTCTGGCTGAGCCTGGGACCTGGAGCAGCGGAAAGGGATGAGGCAGGTGTGCGAGCTGCAGGGCTCCAGGCTCCAAGCGCCTCCTTGGTGAGCAGTGAGTTAGAAGCGTACCCTGGGGGCCCCTTGCCCGTGGATGGCAGCCTGTCTGCAGCTGTCACCATGGGGCTGTGGGGAGCATGCTCCCACCAAGCTGTGTGCTCGTTGTTATGCACCAAGATCCATTCGCTTTGGGAGCTGAAAAGCATTCACTTACACAAATAATCATGCTCCTTTTTCTTTCTGGTTGCTTAGAGCTCCATTTCCTGGGGTCTCCAAAGAGGTGGCCACACAGGCACCTTGATACCCACTGAATAGTGCCTTTTGTCCTCATATTTCCAGGGCAGGAAACTGAGGCTGTTTCTCCTCCCTCCAAGTTTCTTAGGGAATGACCAGGGTCTGACACCCTATCAACAAACTCTGTACAGAGGCAGAGAGAGAGACAGCTGAGCTGAGCTTCAGGGCTATCCTGTCCTGTCCTTTTCTCTCTCTCTTCCTGACTTCCTCTCATCTATTTATTTATTTATTTATTTATTTATTTATTTATTTATTTATTTATTTTGAGATGGAGTCTTGCTCTGTCACCCAGGCTAAAGTGCAGTGGCATGACCTCAGCTCACTGCAACCTCCGCCTCCCGGGTTCAAGCGATTCTCGTGTCTCAGAGACTCCTGAGTAGCTGGGATTACAGGTGTGGGCCACTACGCCTGGCTGATTTTTGTATTTTTAGTAGAGATGGGGTTTCACCGTGTTGGTCAGGCTGGTCTCAAACTCCTGACCTCAAGTGATCTGCCCACCTTGGCTTCCCAAAGTGCTGGGATTACAGGCGTGAGCCACCGCGCCTGGCCTATCCGTTTCTTAGAGCATATCTCGCATATTTTGAGAAATGAGACTGTCAACAGCTTCTCCATCCAGAGGAAGACCCTGCCAGGTCAGGCCTGGGAAGGGTGGAACTGGAGGGAGCTGGAGGACAGTGTGATGGAGAACACACCGCTGCTGGCTCTGCCCCATGTGGCGGACAGCACGCAAGTCCTCATGGAAAAAGGATGAAGAAAAAACCAGTGTTAGAGGAAGAGAGGCTGAGAGTGAACCCCTGAGGTTATGATAAGCCAGCAAAGAGCCTCAAGGGAAGACAGTGCTCAAGCTATCTTGCCCATCTTAAATCGTTGGTAATTGGGCCTGCACTTTCACGTCTGTCTGTCATCCTGTGGCTACTAGAAACATGTAGAGCTCCCCACTTGTGTATCCACGAGGTACCCATGGTTGGCTCTGCTCTGTTCCAGCAGCACCAGAGAGCGTCTGTGCCTTTGGGAAGTGCTGACCCTGTTCCTCGGCTGCGTAGCCCGGTCTCCTATCTGGCTTCCATTCTTCTGCCTGAACCAGTTCTAGACTCAGATCAGTTTTCTCCACCGTCCGGGGCTTCCCCAGAGTTTCAGGGCCGGGCCTCCTCTCTCTGCAGGCTGGCTGCCCTGCCTTTTACATCCCTAGTTCCAGTTTCTAACTAAGTGTCCCCTACAGGAGAGACTAGGAAGCTGCTTATAGAATGGGGAACCTCATGGTCGAGAAAAAAGAGGGGAACTGGAGGGTGCGAGCAGGCTCTACATGGAAACTCCCACCCTGTTCCACAGGGCCCTCTAGGGAGCGGGAGATGCCCAAAGGTTAACTAGCTCTAGAAACATTTTTTTTCTTTTCTTTTGAGATGGAGTCTCGCTTTGTCGCCCAGGCTGGAGTGCAGTGGTGTGATCTCAGCTCACTGCAACCTCTGCGTCCCGGGTTCAAGTGATTCTCCTGCCTCAGCCTCCCGAGTAGCTGGGACTACAGGTGCGTGCCAGCACATCTAGCTAATTTTTTGTATTTTTAGTAGAGATGGGGTTTTACTATGTTAGCCAGGATGGTCTTGATCTCCTGACCTCGAGATCTGTCTGCCTCGGCCTCCCAAAGTGTTGGGATTACAGGCGTGAACCACCGCACCTGGCCATTTTTTTTTTTGAGACGGAGTCTCACTCTGTCACCCAGGCTGGAGTGCACTGGTGCAATCTTGGCTCACTGCAACCTCTGCCTCCTAGGTTCAAGCGATTCTCCTGCCTCAGCCTCTTGAGTAGCTGGGATTACAGGCGTGCACCACCACACCTGGCATTTTTATGGAGTCTCGTTCTGTCGCCCAGGCTGGGGTGCAGTGGTGCAATCTTGGCTCACTGCAACCTCTGCCTCCTGGGTTCAAGCGATTCTCCTGCCTCAGCCTCTTGAGTAGCTGGGATTACAGGCATGCACCACCACACCTGGCATTTTTATGGAGTCTCGTTCTGTTGCCCAGGCTGGAGTGCAGTGGTGCAATCTTGGCTCACTGCAACCTCTGCCTCCTGGGCTCAAGCGATTCTCCTGCCTCAGCTAGGATTACAGGTGTGAGCCACCATGCCTGGCTAATTTTTGTATTTTCAGTAGAGACGGGGTTTCACCACGTTGGCCAGGCTGGACTCGAACTCTTAACCTCAAGTGATCCACCCACCTCAGCCTCCCAAAGTGCTGGGATTACAGGCGTGAGCCACCGTGCCCGGCCGAAATTTGTTGTTTTTTGAGACGGAGTTTCAGTCTTGTTGCCCAGGCTGGAGTGCAGTGGCGCAATCTCGGCGCACCGCAACCTCCACCTCCTGGGTTCAAGCAATTCTCCTGCCTCAGCCTCCTGAGTAGCTGGGATTACAGGCATGCACCACCACCCCTGGCTAATTTTGTATTTTTAGTAGAGATGGGGTTTTTCCATGTTGGTCAGGCTGGTCTCGAACTCCCGATCTCAGGTGATCCACCCGCTTTGGCCTCCCAAAGTGCTGGGATTACAGGCGTGAGCCACCATGCCCGGCCCAAAACATGTTTTTTGATATGTATATAGTTTTTATAGGAGGTTCCTTTTCTTGGCAATATCTTTACAAATTTTTACCCTTTAAAAAGCAATCGAGTTGCACTAACAGGTTAGGACATGGAAGACTCCACATACATGTCAGGGGCCTGCTGTGTTCAGGCCCCAGGGATAAGTCATGAGCCAAGTGGACACAAATTGTGGCCCTTATGAGGCTTCCATTCTAGGGTGAAAGCCCAAAGCCCAGGGCGCTTTCATAAGGAGGGAGGGAGCCGTCTTAATGAAGAGGATGCTCACCTTGACTCCTGTGTCCTGGGAGGGAGACCCCGGTTTGCTGTTGAGGGTAAAAACTTCTTGGGTGATATGGGCGGCTGGCCGGGAGGTGTCGGAGGACTTTCTCCCCTGCAGGGCCCCAGCGGGGAGTCCTTGGGCGGCTGGTCGTAGCTCCAGGCTGTGGGCTGCTGGTCAGGGGACAAGGTCTGCTTCACGTGCAGGGGCATTGGTGGCCCAAAGGGCCCCACTCCCATGTAGTTGGGGTTGATGATTTCAGTGATGCTGGAGCCACTGCACGGAGGGGCCCTGCAGGGAGGACATGGAGTCACATCTCAGGGGTCCCTTCCCTTCTCGGGGTCAGCACCAGCCCAAGGAAAGTGTCCTCTGATAACCCTAGGGCTCTCTCGAGCTCTCCTCAACTCCTTCACCTCTTGGGCAGTGATCCATTCATTCATTCATCTATCCATGCAACACCGTGATTACTGAGGGCCTCGTAAGCACCTGGCCCCAGGCCGGGAGGAGGGAATATGGCTGTGAGTGAGGCAGCCATGGTCTCTGTTCTTATGGAACTCACTTTTGATGGGAGAGAAAAACAAGCTCAGTGACACAGAGACACGGTATTGATGTAGTGCTGAAGTCTGAGAATAACAAGGGGCAGAGATGGGGACTAGTGAAGTGTTGGGACCAACTGGGCATTGGGTGACCCCAGGAGGCCCCATCTGAGGAGGTGGTCTTTCATCTGAGATAAGAAGATAAGCAGATAAGAGAGAAAGAAGGGGAGACTGTTCTCGGCAGTGGCAAGAGTACATGCAAAGGCCTCCAGGTGAGAGGGGTTTGGCCTGTTCCTGGACGGTCCGAAGGCTGGTGAGCAGGTGCAGAGGATGGAATGAGAAGCTGGCAAGGCTGGCAGGGCAGAGAGATGGTGGGGGGGTAGCCTGGGTGGCAGGAAGGAGGGGATTTTCAGGGCAGACTCCAGCAGGGGTTCCTCTGGAACACATCAGCTCACACATTTGTGTGTGCAGCGTCAGCATAGAGACAGCCATGTGCATATTTAGAAAAATGAGTGTGAGGTCACAGAGATCAAGGTTGGAGCCTGGAATTGGGGGCAATCAGCTTAAAGCTATGGAGGGGATGGCCCAGACCCAGGCAAGGTGGCCCCAACAGACACACTGCACGCTGCCACTGTGTCAGGCACCGGCCTCCTGAGAACTGAGTTCTGAGCGTATAGGCTGTCAGGGACACTCCACAGCTCCCATGTGCTCTGCCAGCCTGGTTCCGAGCTGTACCTTGTTCCCATCCACCACTGCCTGCTTCAGAAATAAATGCTCGTTCTCATGCTAGTCAAAATGGAAAAGAATTTGTTTCCCTACACTGATCCTGATTCTGGAACACAGTAGACACTTCAGAGCCAGGATGCATTTGCTGATGGGATTATCATGGGAGGGAAAGAGGGAAAGGGGATGCTTGTGTGCCCACGGCTGTGAACATCGGAAGCTGGAAGTGGATCAGGGAATGTGCTAGAGATGAGAATTCCTGTGTACAGCGGGGGTGGCTGGGGTGAGGGCAAGGGTTGGTGGGGATGAGTTGTGGGGAAGGGAGGGAGGAGAGGAACAAGCTATGTCTGCTGCTGGCATGGTTCTGCCTCCTCGGCTGGTGAGCCGGCAAAGAGACCAGAACTTGATTCTGGATCTCGGAGACCACATCGGTGAGTTAGGGCAGCCCTGCTACCAAGGACGTCTGTATTCTGGTAATACAGACTTTAACATCTGTACTATTCTCAGTTCAGTCTCTGCCAAGAGCAACCAGTGTGCATTTTCCCCCAGTGATTTTTCTTGCTAGTGGATAGGGTGGGGTTTGGTGGCCACAGATCCCATGATTGCTGGTGTCCTCTGTCCCACAGGAGACACAGCCACCATTTGTAGACTTGGAATCTCTCCATTCTCTCCGCAGTCACTTCTTCATGCACTAGGCCGCAAGTTCCTAAGTCAGGGACTGCACTGAATTTGCCTTGATTTCTCTAGAACTGGACACATCACAGGGACTCAACAAATGTTAGCTGAGTCAAACTGAACTTTCCGTCACATTAGAATTTCCCCAGCTTTGTCACAGTCACATCAACCTCTCCAGCGGTCAACAGACTCGCAGAGGAGGCAGGAGAGCACCTCTCCTGGGCTGGAGCTTCTTTCTCCTGTGTCCTGGGTTTCTCTGTGCTTCAGTTCACCTTCTCACAGGCCCTGGGTTTGCAGAGCCATGCTAGTGTTTTGTTTTGTTTTTTTTGAGACAAGGTCTTACTCTGTCGCCTAAGCTGGAGTGCAGTGACACAATCACAGCTCACTGCAGCCTCAGCCTTTTGGGCTGAAGCAATCCTTCCATCTCAGCCTCCTAAGTAGTTAGGACTACTACACCCAGCTAAGTATTATTATTATTTTTGAGACAGAGTCTCGGTCTGTTGCCCAGGCTGGAGTACAGTGGTGAAATCTCGGCTCACTGCAATCTCTGCCTCCTGGGTTCGAGCAATTCTTGTGCCTCAGCCCTCCAGAGTAGCTGGGATTAGAGGCGTGTGCCACCACCACGCCCAGCTAATTTTTGTATTTTTAGTAGAGATGGGGTTTTACCATGTCGGCCAGCCTGGTCTCAAACTCCTGACCTCAAGCAATCCACCGGCCTTGGCCTCCCAAAGTGCTGCGATTACAGGCATGAACCACCACATTTTTTTTGTAGAGACAGGGTCTCGATATGTTGCTCAGGCTGGTCTCAAACTCCTAGGCTCAAATGATCCTCCAGCCTTGGCCTCCCAAAGTGCCGGGATTATGGGCGTGAACCATCGCACCCGGCCAAACCATGCTAATTTGTCATGAGTCCCTGATATCCACCCCCCCCAACACCCACCCCACGCCCACTTTACCTGCTAGTGACTTCCCACTGCTTCATGGGGTCGTGGCTGGTGAGGCTCTTCAGGGTCTTTGGCCCACTGGATTCATCACGCTCCGTCTTCACAAAGTCTGGAAGGAAAGGGACGGGAAAGAGCATGTGAGGGCCCAGCTTCCAGAGCTTAGGCGAGGGATGGCAAAGGGGTTTCCATTTGCAGGCTGAAGCTGCACAGTGAATAGTGAGTACCTGGAGAGGTGAGTTAAGCAAGATTCTGAGGCCTCCTAAGAGTTCAGTGATTGATTAGTTATGCCTGCAGTGGATCCACAGAGAGGAGAGTTGGGATCCAGAGTTGCCATTTCATGTGACATTTCCAACTTACTGGTCTCAGCAAGAAACAAAACAGGCAAGTATGTTTTGTCAGATTAAAATAAACAGGCCAGGTGTGGTGGCTCATGCCTGTAACCCCAGCACTTTGGGAGGCCGAGGCAGGTGTGTCACTTGAGGTCAGGAGTTCCAAACCAGTCTGGCCAACGTGGTGAAACACTGTCTCTACTAAAAATACAAAAATTAGCCAGTGGTGGGCACCTGTAATCCCAGCTACTCGGGAAGGTGGGGCAGGAGAATTGCTTGAACCTGGGAGGCGGAGGTTGCAGTGATCTGAGATTGTGCCACTGCACTCTAGCCTGGGCTACAGAGTAAGACTGTCTCCAAAAAAGAAAGAAAGAAAAAAAAAGGCTCGGTGCAGTGGTCACGTCTGTAATCCCAGCACTTCAGGAGGCGGAGACAGGTGGATCACTTGAGGTCAGGAGTTCCAGACTAGCCTAGTCAACGTGGTGAAACCCTGTCTCTACTAAAAATATAAAAATTAGCTGGGCATGGTGGTGGGTGCCTATAGTCCCAGCTACTCTGGAGGCTGAAGATGGAAAATCACTTGAACCCCAGAAGTGGAGGTTGCAGTGAGCTGAGATCGTGCCACTGCACTCCAGCCTGAGCCACAGAGTGAGACTCTGTCCCAAAAAAAAAAAAAAAAAAAAAAAAAAAGCAGTTTAGAAGGTACAGAAACCTGGGTGGGCACCATGAGGGCAGGGTTTAGGTACGTACGAGGGCCTGTTTGTATATGGGAGTGGGCACCATGTGGCCGTGTGGGCAAGCAGAGGTCGCCCAAGAAATTCTAAATCTCATCTGCAGCTGTAGCTGTGGCCTTCCCCGGACAGCCTGGAAGGAGCCATTTAACAAGACGTAGGTTCGCTTGGTACACTGGGTCCTTCTTTTAGTGGAGGTGCTAATGGGGGAATGACAAGGCCTAAAGGCTGACAGGTGAGGTTCGGGGCCCTAAAAAATCCACAGGGTCGGGGAGGGTGATCTGGGGGTGCTGGATGTTGGGTTCTGTTGGGACATTTTTGAGTTGAGTGAGGGTTGGGCCAGATTGTCTGAGATCTTTTCCAGTGCTGGATTTCTGCTCTGAGGCCGCAGCAGAGAGCATATTCGACAGCTTTGCTGAGAGAAAGCACGTTCCCGTCCCTAAGTGGGGGGCTGAAGAGGGCGCTGGGGAGGGGCTTGCTGCTTACCATAGAGCTTCTCCCTCGTCTTGCCCTGAGAGGTCTGCAGCTTGATCTCCCCCTGGAAGTGGCCTGTCAACTCCCCATGGTGGGTGAGAGGCGTGTAGATGGGCAGCTGCGTTTCTGTGGCCTCTAACCGAAGGGCAATGCAGCCCTCGCCTGCAGGGAAAGTGGGAGACAGCTGGGTGAAGACCCTGCCTTTTCATGGCAGAAACACCAAACTCTTGGCCGGAGAGTTGGTCCTTTGAAACTATAGCCCAGGCAAGGGTTATTTAATAAATCCGTCAGAACAACACCACAGTACTTTGGGGGCAAATGTCTCAAGTCTTAGAACAAAACGTGGATTAGTTGATGTAAAAAAAATTATATTGTAGAAAATGCAGCAGAAAGACAGAATTAAACACTCATCTGATCGCTGTAGGGAATGAAAACTTCCCAAGATTTGATGCAGCATAAGACATGACAGAACAAAATTGGCGGGCAAGAGGACATGCAAGTTTAAAACTTGCACAGAGAAAAAACCTAAAATAAAAAGGAAACGGATTGGGAACAGTATCTGCAGCTAGCTCCCCAGGCAAGAGGGTACCCTCTCCAGCAGATGCATGAACAGATAATACAGACAGACGTTTCACACAAAAAGAATTGCAGCTGGTTAATTTTAATAAATGGAAAATAGTTCCACTTTCCTAGCCATCAAAAATGCAAACTAAGGAATCATTAAGTTGCTCTTTCACAGACATGAAGTTAGCATAGATAGGAAGCGAGAAAAATAACACCCAATGCACCGGGTGTGGTGGCTCACGCCTGTAATCCCAGCACTTTGGGAGGCCGAGGCGGGCTGATCACTTGAGGTCAGGAGTTCAAGACCAGCCTGGCCAACATGTTGAAACCCCCTCTCTACGAAAAATTACAAAAATTAGCCAGGGGTGGTGGTGCATGCCTGTAATCACAGCTACTCAGGATGCTGAGGCAGGAGAATCTCTTGAATCTGGGAAGCGGAGGTTGCAGCGAGCCAAGATCGTGCCACTGCACTCTGGCCTCCAAAAACAAAAAACAAAACCACCCAATGCCAGCAAGGATCTGGGGAAGCCTATCCGTGGTGAGGTCAGCTGAGACAGCCTTTATGGCAATCAGTTTGGTGTCAAGCGCCAAGAAGCACAAACACTGATTGACACCCTCTGATCCGGCAAACATGGGAACCTGTCCTAATGAGATTACTCAAAGGAATAAAAAATGTAGCTGAAGAATAATAAAAAATGTCCACAAAGAGATTCATCTCAGTGTTACTGATAGCACCAACAAAAACAACTGACAGAGCCTCAATAATAGTACTTTTAAAGTGAGGAATACTTTTAAAATGAGGATGCAGTAAGTCCATGGAATATAATGCAGCCATCAAAAGGAACAGTCACAAAGATGGGGCAGGAGAATCATGGAAAATGTGTTTCATCTAATACCAGGTGAGGGAAGCAGAGTATAAAATGATGTTTCTGTGATGTAAGTATGAAAATCTAGGTATGCCTATGTATGAGGCTGGAAATGTGAAACCAAAATAAAAATGATTACTGGAATGAGACTGTTGATGTTTTTCCTTTTTATTTTGATGATATGCTGCTTGTGAGTATGAATATGAAGCGGAAGAAACAAAGGAGGATTACAGTATATTATTTTTAAAGACATGGTCTTGCCGTGTCGCAGAAATACAGGATTTGAATGAGAAAATGAAGCGTGTGTTTTGCGTACTGCCTGTTTCCTGCTAACAAAGCTTCAAACATTTCAGCAGCCATTCAGATGCTCTTGCATCCGTGACGAGGGGATCCCTATTAGGGCCATCACACTCCTCAAGCTCTTCCCACCCCTCCTGCAGCTTGGGGACCCTCTTGCCAGTGCTGCACTGGGAACGGGGAAGAGCTGCCTGGGCTCAGGCCCAAGATCACGTAGTTACCTCCAACAAGCTGCTCAGTAGCTGCATGACCTTCAGGTCTCCCAGCCTCCTTTCCTCACCTCCCCAAGGAGGGGAGCGACAGTGCCCACACCCAGGTGTTGGCAGAGCCTGCACAATGGGAGACTATGCGTGGGGCTTTCATTTGTGTCTGCAGCCTCTTCCTCTTTAGTGACTTCCACCGAGCAGTATTCAAAGGTTTTCCATTTCAAATAAATAAGCACGTGGATAAATGTGCTCCCTTGACCCAGGCGCATTCTCCTCTGCCTCCCTCCTCATGCTTTGTTCACTCCTAAGTGCTGAGGTCTGATGTCACCCCAGCTCTTCCACGGACACTGCGCTCACCAAGTCTGCTGATGGTCTGAGTATCTCCATCTAAGAGACGCTTGGTCTTTGTGTTGGGTCCCTTGGCCACATTTGCTATTGTAACCACACCCTCTCCTTGACCCAACTCTTCTGATGGTGTCCCCAGCACAACAGCATTCTGGTCTTCCTCATATGCTGTGGCTGTGCCTTGGTCTCCCTTACCCGCGGCACTGCATCTAACCCAGTGCAAGAAGTAGAAGCATCATTCATGCAGCCGCTCAGACCCTGATATGGTTTGGCTGTGTCCCCACCCAAATCTCTTCTTGAATTGTCGTTCCCACAATCCCCATGTGTCATTGGAGGGACCAGGTGGAGATAATTGAATCATGGGGGTGGTTTCCCCCATCCTTTTCTCAATAGTGATAGTGATGGTGATGGTGAGTGAGTTCTCAAGAGATCTGATGGTTTTATAAGGAGCTTCCCCTATCAATGGGCACCCACTTCTCCTTCCTGCCATCATGTGAAAAGGATGTGTTTGCTTCCTCTTCTGCCATGATTGTAAGTTTCCTGAGGCCTCCCCAGCCCTGCAGAACTGTGAGTCAATTACACCTCTTTCCTTTATAAATTACCCGTCTTAAGTATGTCCTTACAGCAACATGAGAACAGACTAATACAGACCCTTTCCCCAATCCCAGGCCCAGACAGTTTTCTACTCCATTCCTCTCAATGTCATCCGCTTCTCTCCTTTTTTACTGTCACTACTTCTATTCTGGCTCACTCATCTGTCGTCTTGATCACTGCAGATGCGGATTTCCAAGATGTGAATCTGATCCTGTTACTTCCTTGCTTGAATCTTCAATGGCTCCCTACTGCCCTCGGGATAAGGTATTTGCTCTTAGCTTGGCTTGTAAGGAGAGGCTTGGCCTGGCTCCTGCTTCCTGCCTCTCTCTGTCCCCTCCAGGCTCTCTCTGCCTCTCTCACCCCATGGTCTAGCCACACATGTGGTCTAGCAAGGGTGAGCCTGACTTTGGGCTGGAGCCACAAACAGGCAGAGATGGTACAAAAGCCCCTGCTGTCTCTCTGGCTGTGGGCCTCCACAGCCTGCCTGGTCTGGGCACCAGGCGATGCTGAGCAGAAGACCAGAGAGCCCTGAGCTGTGTTTCCAGCACCCCAAGTCCCACTCAGGGGACCCTGAACGACACCTCAGCCCAAATTGCTCTGGCTGGGGAGAGGGGGTCTTCGGGCAGAGGGTGGCTCCTTGGGGGCAGAAGGAGCAGCCCCTTTGTGCCTGAGCAGGTGTTTTAGAGACTGGGTCAGCAGAGGGGAGTCCGCAGCTCCAGACCTGTGAGCTGAGAAGGCTGACTCAGGACACTTGAGAAGCAGAGAAGGGCAGGCAGGCCTGGGTTCAAACTAGGGCCCAGCCACCACTACCTATATGACTCGGGCAAGTCACTTGATCTTTCTGAGCCTCTGTTTACTCATTGGAGAACAGTAAGGTCTTGTCAAGGTTATATCACATGATACTGGAAAGTGCCTGGCACAGATCTCACACATAGGGAAGGCTCAATACATGGAAGGGGTTGCCACTGCTGGCTGTCCTGCCCAGAAGCCTAGTGGGGAGGGAAGGATGACTTAGTGGTGACGGTCCCACTAGCAGCCCTGGGATGAGGAAAGGAGAGGCAGGAGCCTATGACCGGAAGTGCCAGGTGAGCTCCCCTGAAGGCAATGCTACGTCAGAGGCCGCCAGTTCACAGGCAGGTGTGGCACCTGCCCACAGACCCTTACCATAGGATTCGTCGCTGTCAGAGGACTTGATGCTGATGAGGATGTGCTGGTCTAGCAGGTACTCAGGGTCAGAGATAATGGGCTTCAGCTGCAGAGAGAAGGGCACAGGACTGGAGTTGATGGGCAAGGGACAGGTGAGGGGACAGGTGGGTGGACAAGTGGATGAAGATGACGAAAGGTGTTCTTAGTAATCAGATCTAAATCTCTGCTGTCCATACCCAAGAGAGCAGGTGGGGTATAGCTTTCACATACACCCTGTCCAGCAAGGTGGGGGTTAGCTTCCTTCCCTGTCCCCCTCACCTCCACGCTGCACCCCAGGCCTCCTAAACTGAGCTGGCTCCCAGGTCCCAGCAAGAAGGCCTGACCCCAGATGGGCCCCATCCATTGCCCCCGTTCCTTCCCATCCCTAGGCCAGGGTCATAGAGGAGAAGGCAGGCTGGCGGGGAAGTGGGGCCAGGCACCAGGTCTGGAATGATCCATGCACTCCACCCTGCGCCAGGCTCCCCCTACAGAGCACAGAATTTCTCCTTGGCCCCCTCCAGGACTGTGGCTGCATCCCAGCCCTGCCCCTGTCTGGCTTGCCCCTATCTAGGGAGGATGCAGCCTCTGTGTCCATCCTGGCAGAGCCCCCAGCTGGGCCTGGAGTGTCCTACCGATTGTTGGGGGTGTGGCTCAGCGAATGACAGACACAGGCTCCCACATTCCATCTGCGAGCAAGTTTCCAGAGCTGGGGAGTGCCAGCTCCCCCAGAGGCCCTGCTGGCCTGGCTGGCAGCGGGGGTGGCTGCTAACAGGCTTTGCACAGCACTGGCCAGTGGGGGCTGTGTCCGGGCAAGTGCAGGGAGGAGCATCACACGCACACTAGCTCCTCGTCTGCCACGAGTTATGACTTTTTCAGATGTGGGGCTGTTTCTCACGATGACTCCCATACAGAAGGGCCAAATAAAAAGGTGATACTTTGTTCTAGGCGATTCCCTCCCTTCCTTTCCAGACACCAAAAGGCTCCTGGTACAGGGCTCTGGGCACCATGTTGGCCAACAGGGCAGACTCACTATATCTCCATTCAGAAAGTTCCAGGCCAGGTGCAGTGGCTCATGCCTATAATCACAGCACTTTGGGAGGCCGAGGTGGGTGGATCACTTGAGGTCAGGAGTTCAAGACCAGCCTGGCCAACATGGTGAAACCCCGTCTCTACTAAAAAATACAGAAATTAGCGAGGCTTGATGGGGCGTGCCTGTCGTCCCAGGTACTCGGGAGGCTGAGACAGGCAAATCGCTTGAACCTTGGAGGCGGAGGTTGCAGTGAGCCGAGATGGCACCACTGCACTCCAGCCTGGGCAACAGAACAAGACTCAGTCTCAAAAAAAAGTTCCAGAACAGATGACTGGAAACTGCAGTGGAGCTCTGGGTACTCCAGGGTTCTACAGCTGCACCAATTATCACTTGGCTCCTGGCATGAGGTGATGTCAGGCTCTAAGCTAGACCCAGGGCCAGAGCTGGGGTTCTTGGATGCTGGAGGAAGACCCGGTCCTCCCTGGGATGGAGTGGAAATGGGGTGACAGACATCTGAACAACAAATGTCTCTGTGCGACACCACCACCCTGGCAGGCGGTGGCAGGGAGGAGAACTATCTAGGGGGCCACAGCAGGGATTTACAGGGTGAACAGAGGAGGCCGCCAGGCAACAGGGGTGGGGCGGGGGTCAGGGAGCAGGAGACGGTGAAGGCCCCTGCAGTCCTGTGGGAACAGCAGATGAGGCTGCTTGCCTCACTAGGCAACAGGGAGTCGACCGGATAAAGAGGGGGACTCCAGGATCAGAGAGGCATTCCAGAAAGATCCATCAGCGTTCAGGATGCCTCAGCAAGAGGCAGGAGACAGGAGGAGTGGACCCCCTGGGAGGGGGCAGGGGGACTGAGGGAGGGGACAGAGGCAAGAGGAACAGCAGGACTTGGCGGCTGTGAGGATGTGGGGAATGGAGGAAGACAGGGGCCCTAGGGGTCCCTGAGCTGGACCAGGGGGTGAACATGTTGTGGAATGGGGTGCTGCTCTCTTTTCCACCTTCACCAAAGGAGGAAACTACTGTTCAGGCCCTGCCTGGAAGCAGCCAGGGAGGAGGAGCAGGAGGACGGGCTTGGGCCGGGTGAGGCAGAAATGTCTCCTTGGAGCCCAGAGCCCCCACGACTCAGGGGCCTGAAGACAGCCCCAGAACAGGGACTTCTGACAGCTCTTCTGGGGCTTCAGTGGGAGACCCCAGTCAGAGCCATGTGAGCTGGCCGCAGCCTCTGAGTAATTTGGAATTGTGCCGCAGCTGGGGGAATCTGGAGTTCAGGCATCAGCCTCTGCTCCGGAGATGACATGGCCTTTTTACATGGCCTGAGAGTTGGTTCCAATCAAAAGTTAATGCCAATGTGGGTCCAGCCCCCTGAAACCTGCCAACATCCTACCCCAGTCTCAGGAGAGAATGGTCCCTCTGCCTGCTTAAGACTGTCCTTTTAAAATTCACCTCGAGTGTCACCTCTGAGGGAATCTCCTAGGGGAGCCTCCAAGACGCCCCACCTCCTGTGATGGATCTGCCTGGCCTGGGACTCCCCTTCATTCCACCCCTCCCTCATGGTGCGAGAAAGAAACTCCACTTCCCACCCAGCATGAACAACTAATAAGCTCATAATAAGCTTGTACTCGAGGACACCCAACATCTCCACTGTCAATTTAGCTCCACAAAAGCAGTTTCAGTAGAAAAACAAATGAACAAAAAAAGAGACAGCGTCTCACTGCATCACCCAGGCTGGAGTGCAGTGGCATGATCATAGCTTACTGCAGCCTGGATCTCCTAGGCTCAGGTTATCCTCCCGCCTCAGTCTCCAGAGCAGCTAGGACTCCAGGCATGTGCCATCATGTCTGGCTAATTTAAAAAAAAATGTTTTAGGCTGGATGCGGTGGCTCATACCTCTAATCACTTTGGGAGGCCGAGACCAGTGGATCACTTGAGGTCAGGAGTTGAAACCAGCGTGGCCAACATGAGGAACCCCATCTCTACTAAAAGTACAAAAATTAGATGGGTGTGGTGGTGCACATCTGTAGTCCAAGCTACTCAGGAGGGTGAGGCAGGAGAATCGCTTGAACCTGGGAGGTTGAGGTTGCAGTGAGCCGAGATCATGCCACTGCACTCCAGCCTGGGCAACAGAGCAAGACTCTGTCTCAAAAAAAAAAAAAAAAAAAAAAAAAAAAAAAAAAAAAAAAAAAAAAAAAAAAAAAAGAAAGAGAAAAAGAAAAAAAAACAAGAGAAAAAAAATTTTTTTTTGGTAGAGATGGGATGTCACTATGTTTCCCAGGCTGGTCTTGAACTTCTGGGCTCAAGCAATCCCCCTGCCTTGGCTTCCTAGGTGCTGGGATTATATGTGTGAGCCACCACACCAGGCCAGAAAACCATTTTTTCTATAGCAAAGAAGAATGTGTTCCCACTAAGGTCTGGCTGAGTGTTTCCAATTCCACCCTCTGCTCTTTGCAGGGCCACAGACATGTCGAGTACTTCGTGTGTTCACAAGTGTATGATCAGTAGCCAATGGACCCCTCTCTATGCCTCTTTGTACTCGATTCTATGAACCAGCACTGAATAGGAAAACAAGCGTCAAAGAGGGGATCGGGGTCTTGGGGTTGCGTCCTAGGTGTGTTACTGCAGCCATGAGGCCATGAGCAAACAGCGCTTGGCCCTGCACCTGAGTTTCCTTCTTTGCAAAATCATGTGGTTAGACGAGCTGACCTCTAGATCCCTTCTGTGATCCTTTAGGGGAACTGAAACCATTTAGGAATAATAAGGCCACATACCCACTGCTGTAAAGTGTGTTACGAACCACCTTGAGCGAGAGCTTGCTCCTAGAGTGGGTCTCTTTCTGCATTTGGTCTATGAGATTCCTGCTTCCTCTGGTCAGGCCTGGCCATAGCTCTGCCACTGGCTGGTACTACTGGCCTAGTAAATGCAAATCTCCCTCTGGGGAATGCCTTGCTCTAGAATTACCTTTGGAAGAGTCTCACCAAACTTCACCACCAGCTCCCCCTCACTTCCTTCTTCATTTTCTCCTTCCTGACTCTTGACAAAACCTGTTGGAGGACAAAAAGGCTGGTTTTCAGAAAACAGAGCAAGAACCAGACAGAAAAGACTCCCTGGGGTCACCCCACCCAGACCTAGGAAGATGTGCTCTCTCCTTTTTTTTTTTTTTTTTTTTTTTATCTCGGGGCCTCAGCATCATTTAGGAGTCAGGCCTGCCGGGGATTCTGTTTTTGTGCAGGGATTGGTCATTTGCCAACATGGTCTAATTATTTTTAGGAAAATCAAAGAGATTCCCCCTCCTTTTCAGTTCCTCTTTGCAACAAACCAGGCAACAAAGAAATCATCACATCACAGGCAAAAAGATTAGGAAACTTGACAGCTCGTCCCACGCCACTCAAGATAGCAGCCTTTTGAAATTCTAATTTAAGCTTCCTAATATGCTGTTTCCATAGAAATGTATGGAACTGTCTTGATAGTTTATTAAAAACACCCGCACAAAAATCCTCATCATTTTTCGAACCGCTTTGACCCTGCTGGGTGAACTGGAGCTTGGGGACTCAGTGACAAAGGCCGCTCTAGCACCAGGCCTGGGCCCACCTCAGTTGGAGAAGGAGGCAGGGACCAGAGGGGCAGAACTGGCAGCACACGCTTCTTCCTGATTTCTGGAAGCATCCCAGCCAGGCCCTCACAAAATGCCCTTTTGAGGAGGTGATGCCCCCTTTTCCTCCCCCGATCACTGTGCAGACCATCTCAGCGAAGACGGCTGGACACACGCAGCTCTTCCCTAGCCATGAAACAGCTTTAGACAATCTGCCTAGAAATGTCACCCGGAAAGGGTGTTTCCTAAACACAGTTTGTGCTAAAGGCTGCTGGCTCAGGGGAGCCTGTCCATCTCCTGCTTGCTTTCGGACGCTGCAGTCCCCCCGAGAAAGACGCTGTGATCTCCAACGAGCAAGAGGGGCCAGGGCGACAACAGGCAGCTGCTGCTCAGGCCCTCACACCGGCTCTTTGAGGTCTGGACCTGGGCCCAACACTCTCTGGTTGAGTCAGAGCCCCAGCTTGCAGGGAACCTAGAGTGGGTCACAGTCCACCCTGAGGGCCAGGGATTGGACCCTGCTTGCCACCTACAAGGGACTGGGGGGTCAGTACATTCATGGCCACCCCTGCCCCTAGGGCTGCACAGGCCACAGGGGGACCCCTCACAATAACTGAGTGTCCCCTTGAGTCATCCACCTGCAGCCCCACTTCTCTGATCAGCTTCGTGAGTCCTTTCCAGGGAGAGAAGATATGGGGCAAAGTGCCAAGTATGAAAGGTGTTTATAAGAAGGCTCCGGGCAGTTCTGCCCAGAAGGTGGCTCAGCAGCCACTTACTCTCCAAGCAGCTCGAGTGGAACTCCAGGTAGAATTTGGTCTGGGACTTGGTCTTCAATGTGGCATAGCACCTGAGAAACTCAATCTGTCCTTGGCTGTCAACAGTCCCGGGACCTGGAACAGGGGAGAACACGGATTCAGTTCCACAATGTGCCTGGAGATGGAGCATTTCAAATTAGTTCTCATGCCACATACTGAGCTCCTTCTCAGGGTCCCAGGAAGGTGGGAGTCTAGTGGGAGGAGAACTAAAGCTACAGCGAAATCCAGCACCCAGCCGAGCATCCTCAACCTCTCTGATGCATCGTGAGCTGGCCAGGGCAGAGAGCGGGGCAGAAAGATGCAGAGTCCCAGGAGTCCGGACCTCATTTCATCTCTGTCACTAAAGCTGTGTGACCTCAGGCAATACCCCCACTATTTCAGGCTCCCAGCTAGTTCCAGCAAAAAGACTTTGTACAATGGCTCGGTTGCTCAATACCCAGATCAATGCTGTTTCTGAGTTCAGATAATGAGGGCTAGCAGCTCTCTCTCCCTTAGGCACAGTTATCCCCACTCCTTCCTCTGGACTCCATAAGCTCATTTGTACAGAGTTAACTTGCCTGCAACTGTATTAATTTAGACGATGCTTTTGCAAGCATCCTTAAGCTGCTTTTAAACAAGTGTTCTGTCCTTTCATAGAAATTTTGAGCCACAGAACAGAGACTTGTTCGGAGACCATGAACAAACCTTTCCTTCCTCCATCCCTCACATCCTTCCTTCTTTCCTTTCTCTTTCTAAATCCCACAGTGCCCAGTCCAGGCTTGGCTTAGGTAGATGCCCTGTCAATGCTCAATCCCCGTGATCAGTGTTTTCCAGCATCTGCTGTGTACTGATCCCCCGTGGAGGGAAGCCCAGCCTGACATGGAGGATGCCCTACCCCGGAATAGAGGAGGAGATGGCAAGGGCAACCCCTTCAAGGCTGCAGGAGCTCAGAGAAAGGAGAGATGGGTGGAAGTCGGGGAAGAGGTCCTGCCTAAGGACTAGGAAGATTCTAGAAAGGCACAGTGGCCAGACTTAGGAAGGAGACACGATGGTGGGTCAAGGCTTGGGTGGAGGAGGGAGGTCACATTTCTGGGGCCATGGATGTTAGATACAATAGGATAGATAAGAGCACCCCAGGAAGACAGTGCTTCGGCCTCACGTGTGTCCCCCAGGGCATGAAGGACACAGAGCAAGATGGTCTTTCCCTGTATTTGGGTCCCCTACGCTTGGTCTTCCTAAAGGAGCCCAGTGACCACTGGGCTGACCGCGGAAGCAGAGACTGGGCAGAGACAACATGGCTCCCTGGTCACCTAGGCCAAGGGCTGGATGGGCACATTACAGAGAACACCTGGCCCAGCTGGGATGAGGGTGGCCTGGCAACCAGGGCTGAGCTGGATTATTTGAAAAATTACCTGCAAATCTAAATATTATTTACTGTGGTGTTTCCCAAAACTCAGTCATTTGCATCCCATCTTAACGATTTTTACCATCTCTGCCTACCACGCACCTGTGCTACTCTTTACTTCATATTTTCTCTAAATAGACTCACTTTTTAAAATTAAGTGTAGCTGAATAAGGTATATCACAATATTAAATGGAAAAGTAATGGTGCTTGCCTTAAACAGAAGACAGAAATGTAAAACATGTTAAAACAAAGGCATTACTAATAAATGTTTATTCATGTCCCCCGCCCCCTCCTCCCATCCCACCCGGAGAATTATCTTCAGTGTCTTCAGGCCACACCTTGGTAAACACTGATTTACCCACGTTTTCAGACTAAAATTGAGGCTCAAAAGGCTGACATACTTGCCAAGCAGAGCAAGTAAATTCTCTGGACTGCAATTGTGCTGTGGCTGGGACATGAAGAAACTGACTGATATTGTGGACTTGCCTGGGAAAATGAGCCTTCCTCTAATGCAGACCACTGACTGCCACCTGAAGACAAGCTCCCAACACTCCTTGTCATTGAGGAAAACAGAGAAACAGACACCATCCTTTGCTTACCGTTCTTGGAGACAAACTGGGAAGTGACTCCTGCCTCAAATGTGGCAAAGACAGGGCTGTGGTCACTCGTCATGATGTCGCTGGTACTGCCTGCAGGGGAGGGAAGGCATTTTTAAGCAGGGAAGGAGAAGCCCTTCCGGTCAGGCCAAGGATGGCAACCCTAAAGCAGAAAGAAACTTTAGTTATGGAGCCCTCCAGAAGTGCGAAGTTTTGCACCTGTTGTCCTTCCACAGCAATGCTTAAAGGGTTCAGTGGAAGACAGTGTGGACACTGCCTCCTCCATGGACAGAAGAAGCCTGTGCTCATTTTTCCTAAAGACCTAAGACTTTTTGAATTGATTAGGGAGTGTGAACCATGGAGATTTTTCTGGTCTAATCATTGTACTTATTTATTTACTTATTTTTGAGACAGAATCTTGTTCTGTTGCCCAGGCTGGAATGCAGTGGCGCGATCTCGGCTCACTGCAGCCTCCACCTCCCAGGCTCAAGCAATTCTCATGCCTCAGCCACCCGAGTAGCTGGGAGTACAGGTGCGTGTCACCATGCCCAGCTAATCTTTGTGCATTTTGTAGAGATGAGGTTTTGCCATGTTGGCCAGGCTGGTCTTGAACTCCTGACCTCAGGTGATCCACTCGCCTCGGCCTCCCAAGTGCTGGGATTACAGACGTGAGCCACCACGCCTGGCTCACTTTATTTTATTGATGAAGAGCCCCAAACACTGGGTGGGAAGGGGACTTAAGGCCACTCAGCTCATCGGTGGGAGAGACGGGACACCTTTTCCATCCCACGATGCCTCATAGAACCGGGAGAGAGTGGAGGACGCTAAGTGTAGAAAACTCTGTTAAGGAGCTTGGTGCTCGGGTGAGAATGGAGGCAGCAGAGCACTTTGGGAAGGGGCAAGAGAAAGAGGACAGTTCTAGAAAGACAGTTCTTTCAAGATAGCCCGTTGGAGATGCCTGGCAGGAAATGGGCACTCAAGGCTGGAGATGCATCTTTAGATGTGGAGTCTTAGGATTAGGTGGAAGCAGAAGACCTGAGCATGTCTGGGCTTTCACACGAAGGATGAGAAGAGACGAGGATGGAATTCCAGGGCACACCAACCATGAATGGGCGGGCAAAGGAAAAACCGCCAGCAAAGGAGACCAAGAAGGTGATAAAACAGACTTGGCATCCTTTTTAGAAAGCATTTACAAATCAGCAAGAAAAAGATAAACACTCCACCCTTCAACCAACCAAAGGATATGGACAGAAAATTCACCAAAAAATACAGATGGCTAATAAACATGAAAAGAAAAAAAGCTCACTTACTAAGGATCACCAGAGAAACACATGGAAACTATGAGACAGAACAGAGAAAGGGACAGGAGAGAAGGATGGGAGTGGGGGCACTGGTTGGTAGTGGAGAAGGAATAGATGGAGTCAAGGGTCCAGGGGCAAAGGCTAGGCAGGAAAGAAAGAGGAGGCTACCCCTTCTCTGAGACAGGAGGGAGGAAGATGCGAGGGCATCAGCCTAAAAACTGGACCTGAGGCCAAGCACGGTGGCTCATGCCTGTAATCCCAGCACTTTGGGAGGCCGAGGTGGGTGGATCACTTGAGGCCAGGAGTTCGAGATCAGCCTGGCCAACATGGCAAAACCCCGTCTCTACTAAAAATACAAAAATTAGCTGGGCATGGTGGTGGGCGCATGTAATCCCAGCACTTTGGGAGGCCGAGGTGGGTGGATCACTTGAGGCCAGGAGTTCGAGATCAGCCTGGCCAACATGGCAAAACCCCGTCTCTACTAAAAATACAAAAATTAGCTGGGCGTGGTGGTGGGCGCCTGTAATCCCAGCTGCTTGGGAGGCTGAGGCGGAGAATCACTTGAACCTGGGAGGCTGACGTTGCAGTGAGCCAGGATGGTGCCACTGCACTCCAGCCTGGATAACAAAGCAAGATTGTCTCAAAAAACAAAACAAAACAAAAAAAACAAAAAACTGGACACAGGCAAGAAGAAATCAGTGAGGTCCAGTGCTGTGTGAGGCAGGAGAGGATGGAGGTGGGGAGTCAGGCTGAGCACAGGGGTACAGGTTTGCTGTGGCAGTGGAGGAGGGGTGTTCCAGGGAGAATTTAATGGGTTGACGAGCAGGGTTTTTTTTTTTAAGCATTCTCAGAATATTTCAGATATGTACTGAACATAATAGCAATGGCACTACAGTGTGCCCTTAAGCCTAGGAGGTGGACTGTAAGATGGGTGACCCTCAAAGACCCAGTCCTCCTCCCAGTAACCACACTCTCTGTGGTCCCCTCCCACCATGAGTCTGGGCTTGGTCATGTGACTTTCTTTGGCCAATGGGACCTTAGTAAACATGAGGCCAACAGAGCCTTAAGAAGAACTTCCCCACTGGTGACACTCGAATCTGGGAACCCTGAGACCAGGAAGCTAAGAAGCCAGCACTGGCCTGCTGGATGATGAGTACCACCCCTATGCCTGCTGACAGCCAGCCGACCCCAGATCTGATGGGCTCCTGCCTGAGTGTGCCCAGATGACACCAACTAGAGCAGAGGTGAGCAGTCCAAATTCAGCCTAGCGCAGAGACTCGCGAGCAAATAAATGTTTGCTTTAAGTCACTGAGTTTTAGGACAGTTTGTTATGCAGCAATAGACAGCTGATATGCCTGCTATGTTAATTGTCATGAGAAGACTGAGGCTCCCAGGTCACCCCTGTTTCCTGAGCTCTGGACATTCACTCCCTTTTCTTTTCCAACATTTTGCCTCCCCTCAACCCCAACTCATTAAACGCTTCTACTGAGCCCTCTGGCACTCAATGAAATATCATTAGCAAAATTCCCTGTATCTTTAATCTTCCTGTCACCTCCCAAACCCAGCCCTCCCCGGAAGACACTGCTGCCTCTCTGGTGAGGCTTGTTTTCCTCCCCAACCCTCATATTCCGGGCCCGGAGGTGGGGGCAAAGGGTGTCCTTCCTGCTCCTCATTGCCACTTCCGGACTGATCTCCCTCCTCTTTCTCTAAAGCCTCCACTGTCGAGCAGTTTTGAATGCCAAGTTTAGGTGCAAAACAGTAAGTGGTAATTCTACAAGCCTCCACTATCTCCTGACTCTCGGCAGAGGCTGGCTGAAGCAGACAGATGGTTGAGACAAGAATTGGCAGGATGCACGGAGCTGCAGGATGTGGGAAGGACAGTATTGACAGGGTTGACCCTGAGTGTGGCTGGGAAGGAGTGACAGGCCTGGAGAGTCCGACGGGTGGCAGGGAGGGAATGCACAAGTGAGGAGGCTGCAGGCAGAGGGTAGGACTCAGGCACTTTGAGCTTTGGAAGCTGGAACAATGCCCTGGCCGTGGCTATGAGGGCAGGTTGCCTTCCCACACATCTAAAGGTGTTGTGTGAAGTTCGTCTAGTGACGTCACTTCTGGGAGACAGAGCTCAGTCCTTCAGCAAGGAATGCAGGGTGCGTGTGTTAAACTATTTCAGGGTAGCTGCTCTGGGCTCTTCTGGGCAGTAGGAGGAGACAGGCACTGGAATGGAAGTCAGTTCAAAGTATAGGACCAGAGTTAAATAAGTGAGACCAAATTTGCCAGTCCCCAGAGACAGAGTGGGAGCCACAAAGGTGGCCAGCGGGCAGCATTCCCCCACCCCTCTCCTTGCTCCAAGGACTGGGGTGGCCATCCTTTAGAGGCCATTGTGTGGGAATTCGCAGTGTTTTAAAAATAATACCACTGGGCCTGGCGCAGTGACTCAGGCCTGTAATCCCAGCACCTGGGGAGGCTGAGGCGGGTGGATCACCTGAAGTCAGGAGTTCGAGACCAGCCTGACCAACATGGTGTAACCCCATCTCTACTAAAAATACAAAAAATTAGCCAGGCGTGGTGCTGCGTGCCTGATATCCCAGCTACTCGGGAGTCTGAGGCAGGAGAGTCACTTGAACCTGGCAGGCGGAGGTTGCAGGGAGCCGAGATTTTGCCACTGTACTCCAGCCTGGGCGACTGAGAGAGACTCCGTCTCAATAAATAAATAAATAAATAAATAAATAAATAAATAAATAATAAAATACCACAATTCTCAGTCAGTGAAGTGTTCAAAGCAACTCTGTTCTGTGGATTTTTAAGGTCTCACTTCGTAAGTAATGGGAACTAATCAGTAGCTTTTCAGAATAAGCATTCAGGCAATTAAGAACTCCTTCAGTGCACCTTCAACTTTGAGGGTCAAGAGTTAACAGTCATTTCTTTCTTTCATTTTTTTCAGAGATGGAGTCTACGTTGCCCAGGCTGGTTTTGAACTACTGGGCTCAAGCGATCCTCCCCCCTCAGCCTATTGAGCAGCTGAGACTATAGGTACGTGGCACAGTGCCTGGCTAACAGTTATTTCTTAATTGTTTTGATAACTTATTCCATAATTATTTATTTTAATATTACATGTTATGCCTTCTAAAAATCAATTTAACTCAATTTATGGTTAAACCTCCCCAAATATATATGTGTATATATGTGTACACACTTGCGACATGTATTAGTTTGAGCCATATGAATTTCCAATAACTATTTCTGACCTACAAAAACACTTTCATATGGTTCACACTTAATATGTTCTTTTCAAAAGAAATAAAACTGAATTTTTAAAAAAGTGCTCCGGGTCGGCCGCGGTGGCTCATGCCTGTAATCTCAGCACTTTGGGAGGCCGAGGTGGGCTGACCACCTGAGGTCAGGAGTTTGCAACCAGCCTGGCCAACATGGTGAAACCCCGTCTCTACTAAAAATACAAAAATTAGCCAGGCATGGTGGCAGGAGCCTGTAATCCCAGCTGCTTGGGGAGGCTGTGGCACGAGAATCGCTTGAACCCAGGAGGTAGAAGTTGTGGTGAGATGAGATCATGCCATTGTACTCCAGCCTGGGTGACAGAGTGAGACTCCGTCTCAAAAAGAAAAAGAAAAAAAGTGCTCTATAATTCAAATGTCTCCTAAAGCAGGGGATATGGATTAGGTGGCAGCACAAGACAGGCAGGGAAGCATCAACATTTCCAGGTCGCCTGATTAGGGTTACAGTGAATTCCTCCCTTTGACACATCAACAGACTGAAGCCCTTAGATTTTAGGGCAGTCACACCTCCCAGCTTGGTGCCATTCTCTGATCCTGTTCTGCTTTCCCCAGTGTTTGAACTCACCATAAGACTGACACACCACGTGCACCAGGGGATAAGACTTCCAGAGGACTCGGTCACACCAGGAAGGCAAGTTGTACTTCATCTGCAAATCAAAGTCATAGGCTTTAAAAAATGCCTCTTATTATTATTTTTTTAATCAGTAAAAGAACAGATTAACTGGTGGCCTCTGTAATCCTCAAATTCATCGGCTGTTGGCTTTTTATAGAATTTCCCTGTAGGTGGCTTTAAACTTTTTTCACATGGCTCAAGTCCAGACTCCACTGCCACGCCTTCTTCTTTAGACTAAGATAACTCACCTTGCTGTATTCCCTCACATATCCTCCTGACTACTTCAGTATCCCTTGTATCTTCACCTTCTCTTACTTTCTTTCTGACTCAGATGAACCCCCACCTGTATTTTCAGCTCAGTCTCTGCTCACTTTCTGCAGTCACTTACTTTAATAACACACTTCAGCTTCCACCCCCAGTTCTATTCATCCATCTGTCCACCTTTTCATCTCCCCATCTACCCATCTTTACTCATTCACCCATCCATCCATCCACCTACCCACCTATTCATTCATCCATCCACCCATCCACTTATCTACCTATTCATTCATCTATCCATCCACCCATCCATCCAACTACCTGTCCATTTCATCCATCCACCCATCCACCTATTCATCCACTCATCCATCCACCCACCCACCCATCCATCCACCCACCGACTAGCCATCCATCCATCCACCCATCCACCTATCATCATTTATCATCCTCCACCAACCCACACATCATCAATCCATTATCATCCTCACACCACACATCATCATCATCATCATCATCATCCACACTACCACCATATGGCTATCATCCATTCACCCATTCACCCACCTATCCACCCATCCATCCACCTATCCACCCATCCATCCATCCATCCATTCACCCACCCACACATCCATCTATCTATCCATCCATCCATCCACCCACCCACCCACCTATCCATTCGCCTATCCATCCATCCATCCATCCATCCATCCATCCATCCATCCATCGCACCCATCCACTCATCCATTGACCGTTCACACACCCGTCTACCTACTTATCCAATCACTCAAACAGTATCTATTAATACTATATGACAAGCCCTCTCCAGGGCCTCAGGCTGCAATGATGAGCAAGATGTCCATTAGGTGGGATAGACAAGGTAAACTGGCAATAACAACCCTCTTTTATCAATATCCTTATCCCCTCATGTTCTAGCTCTTTCTTCTCTGTCTACAAACATAAAGGAACTCATCCTGAAAGAGCTTATCTCTGTCATCTCCTTCAATTACTTTTCTCTTTTCTTCCTTTTACCAATTTTCTTTCAAGAATGTTCTATTTTCAGGCTGGGCATGGTGGCTCATGCCTGTAATCCCAGCACTTTGGGAGGCCAAGGCGGGTGGATCACCTGAGGTCGGGAGTTCGAGACCACCCTGACCAACATGGCGAAACCCCATCTCTGCTAAAAATACAAAATTACCCGGGCATGGTGGCGCATGCCTGTAATCCCAGCTACTCAGGAGGCTGAGGCAGGAGAATCGCTTGAACCCAGAAGGTGGAGGTTGTGGTGTGCTGAGATTGCGCCACTGCACTCCAGCCTGGGCAATAAGAGCAAAACTCCATCTCAAAAAAAAAAAAACAAAAGTTTTTATTTTCATTCTCTCTACTTCTGAACCATTCACTTTTTAAAAAAAACTTTAGGTACAACTTACATAAAGTGTACTAACCATAAGTGTACAGTCCCATGCATTTTTAGGTTTGTATAAACCCACTTACCCACTACCCAGAGCAAGATACAGAAAACCGCCATCATCCTAAAGCTTCCCTCATAAGCCTTCCTTGTCAATACCAGAGCCTCCTAAAGGTGAGCATTAGTGTGACTAACATCTCCATTGATTAATTTATATGAACGTATATAAATGGACTCACTCAGTAGATACTCTTTTATGTTGGACTCCTTCAGCCACTTCGTTGCTTATAAAAGTTCCATTGTTTATAAGTATCACATTTATCTACTCTACTGTTAATGGACATAGGGTTGTTTTCAGTTTTGAAGATTACAAACAAGGCTGCCATAAACATTCATTTTTTTTTTTTTTTTTTTTTTTGAGATGGAGTCTCGCCCTGTTGCTGAGGTTGGAGTGCAGTGGCATGGTCTCGGCTCACCACCATCTCCACCTCCCAGGTTCCAGTGATTCTCCTGCCTCAGCCTCCCGAGTAGCTGGGATTACAGGCGCCCATCAGCATGCCCGGCTAATTTTGTATAGAGACGGGTTTCGCGGTGTTGGCCAGACTGGTCTGGAACTCCTGACTTCAGGTGATTCACCTGCTTTGGCCTCCCAAAGCTCTGGGATTATAGGCGTGAGCCACCATGCCCGGCTAAACATTCTTATACCTATTTTTGGTGAACAAATATACAAATTTCTCTTGAACACACACCAAAGCGGAATTACTGAATCATAGAATAGGTGCATTTTTAGTTTTCATTGATTCTGCCTAACAGTTAGTTAAGTCCTTTTTTTTTTTTTTTTTTTGAGACAGGGTCTCACTCTGTTGCCCAGGCTGGAGTGCAGTGGGGCAATCTCAGCTCACTGCAACCTCTGTCTGCCGGATTCAAACAATTCTCCTGACTCAGCCTTCTGAGTAGCTGGGATCACAGGAGTGCGCCACCACACCTGGCTAATTTTTGTATTTTCAGTAGAGATGGGGTTTCGCCATGTTGGCCAGGCTGGTCTCAAACTCCTGGCCTCAAATGATTTACCTGCCTCAGCTCCCAAAGTGTTGGGAATACAGGCATGAGCCACTGTGCCCAGCCTAAACAGTTACTTCTTAACATTGCAGTTCTCGGCATCAGCTGCCTCTGAGAATTACCCGTGGGGCTCCACAAATAGTCATGTACCACAGTAATGGACTGCATATAGGACAGAGGTCCTACAAAATTATAATGGAGCTGGAAAATCCCCATCACGTAGTGCTGCTGTAGCTGTCATCACGTCACAGCGCAACACATTACTCACATGCTTCTGGGGATGCTGGTGCAAACCAGCCCACTGCACTGCCAGCTGTGTAAAAGCATAACAGTACAATTCTGTTCAGTACATAATATTTGATAATGATAAACAACTGTCACTCATTTCCGTGTTTACGATATTATTTATCATTAGAGTGTATTCCTACTTATAAGAAAATGTTAACTATAAAATAGCCTCAGGCAGGTCCTTCAGGAGGTAACCAGAAGAAGACATTGTCATCATAGGAGACGACAGCTCCATGTTATTGCCCCGAGGACCTTCCATGGGATGAGATGTGGAGGTGGGTGATAATGTCATTGACCATCCTGAGCCTGTTTCAGCCTAGGCTAATGTGTGCATTTATGGTTTTTGTTTTTGTTTTTTTTTTTGAGACGGAGCCTTGCTCCAGGCAGGAGTGCAGTGGCGCCATCTCGGTTCGCTGCAACCTCTGCTTCCAGGTTTCAAGCGATTCTCCTGTCTCAGTCTCCCAAGTAGCTGGGATTACAGGTGCACACCACTACGCCTAGCTAATTTTTGTATTTTTAGTAGAGACAAGAGTTTTGCCATGTTGGCCAGGCTGGTCTCGACCTCTTGACCTCAGGTGACTCACCCACCTCGGTCTCCCAAAATGCTGGGATTACAGGCATAAGCCACGGTGCCCAGCCTACGTCTTAATTTTCAACAAAAAAGTCAATGTAAATGAGAGTTTTGAAATTTTAAAACTTGAAAAAAAGCTTATAGATTAAGAATATAAAGAAATAAAATATTTCTGTACAGCTGTACAATGTGTTTGTATTTTAAGCTACATTTTATTACAAAAGCGTCAAAAATTAAATTGTTTATAAATAAAAAGCTTATAAATAAAAAATTACAGTAAGCTAAGGTTAGTTTATTATTGGAAAAAGAAAATTTAAAAAATAAATGTAGGGTAGCCTAAGTGTACAGTGTTTGTAAGGTCTACAGCAGTGCATAGTAATGTCCTAGGCCTTCGCACTCATTCACCACTCACTCACTGACTCACCCAGAGCAACTTCCAAGCCTGCAAGCTTCATTCATGGTAAGTGCCCTATACAGGTGTACCACCTTCTTTTTTTTTTTTTTTTTTTGAGACACAGTCTTGCTCTGTCACCCAGGCTGGCATGCAATGGCGCGATCTCGGCTCACTGCAACTTCCATCTCCCGGGTTCAAGCGATTCTCTTGCCTCAGCCTCCCGAGTAGCTGGGGTTACAGGCGTGTACCGCCATGCATGGCTAATTTTTGTATTTTTAGTAGAGACAAGGTTTCACCGTGTTGGCCAGGCTGGCCTTGAACTCCTAACCTCAAGTGATCCACCCACCTCGGCCTCCCAAAGTGCTGGGATTATAGGCATGAGCCGCTGCCCCCAGCCCATTTTTTTCTTTTTATACCATATTTTTACTGTACCTTTTTAATGTTTAGATACACAAAAACTTATTGTGTTACAGTTGCCCACAGTATTCAGTAAAGTAACATGCTATACGGGTTTGTAGCCTAGGATCAATAGGCCACACCATCTAACTGAAGTGGGCTTTGTGTATACACACTTCATGAGGTTCCCACAATGACGAAGTCACCTAATGACACGCTTCTCGGAACATATCCCCGTTGTTAAGCGACGCATCGCTATTTTCAGCTGCCTTCTGGGTATTTTCTCTGGGTTCTTCCACTGATGTCACACAATCAGTAAGTCTGAAAACAAGTTCTATTTTTTTCCCCTTCAAGCCAGCTCCGCCTTGTGATTTTCCAGTTTTTATCAATGGCAATCAGGTCTCGCAATATATCCTGATTTCCCCCTTTCTTTCATTTTCACTGTTTTTTCCCTGATTCGGCCCTAGCTGTTGCTCAGCTGAATGTGCACAACGGCCTCCTCACCGATGCCCCTGCCGCGTCCTCATCCTTTACCACAATGCCCACCACAATTCTGCACATGCCACTCTGATGCACCAGTGCCCGGCAGAGCTTGCAGTGGCCCCCTGTGGCCTGTCATCCTGGCATCTAGGACCGGCCACTCTCCCATCTCAGGCCCTCCTCTGCCTCAACTTAAACTCACATCAAAGCAAACCATCCTTCACCAGCCTGCACAGGGATCCCCAAGGACCTGCTCTGACAGTGCCTTTGGGCCAGGTGACCTTATCCACACAGCAGGCAGTGGACCCTGCGGAATGGGGTGTCCCATCCTGGGGGTCCCAGCCTCGTGGGTGACAGCAGTCCGGGATCTCCTCCTGTCCTCTCAGTTGTATTCTCTTCCTCTCCTGCTCTGTTCTAAAATCCACCCAGCGCTTGGCCTTCCTCTCCCACGTCCAGTTCTTCACTTTCTCCTGAGCCCAGATGGGGCCCAGAACTCTTTCAGATGACACTTTGAACTTGCGCTCCATTGCCCTAGGCTTCTAGTGGGCCTGGGTACCTCACCGTCCCAGCCATTTGACCCTTGAATCCTGCCAGGGGCTGGCTTCCCTGATCCTTCCCTGCCCTGGCATTGTCACATTCTGGCTCTGGCTACAGCTAGTTGCATATCTGTTTTTCCTACTGTGAAGTCCCTGGAAAAGACATCTTTGCTCTCCCATCACCTAGGAGAGTGCCTAACCCATAATAGGCCATCAGGAAATATCTTTGAACAAATGAATACATATTTTATTGCATCTTTCCCCAAAACACTGTTCCTTGGAAAACAAGTGGCCTCATAAGACATTAATTGGTGTTCCATGAATAACTGAGTTTGGCATACAGATTTCCTCATGGAGAACCACAGTGCTCTTGGGCCCATAAAAGCTCTGATAAGTCCTGCAGCGAAGAAACCTGCTTAATGTTAATTCACTCAGCAGTTTAGTAAATATATTTGATCACGGGACTTTAAAAAAATGATCTTCAGAACCCAGTTAAGGAAATAATACTTTAAAGTCCTCTCAGCATCTTAGAGTATCTGGACAGAAGGTAAATCACAAGGGTTATTTTCCCAGCTCAAAGCAGTGCACAAGTGTGGCTTCCCATTTACTCTGTAACACAAATCAACATGTGCTTTCTAATTTTTTTCTTTCCTTTTTTTTTTGCCTAATGGATGAAGACACTTTCTGTTCACCTTTTGGGAACAGACACCAGCGGGGAGGAGATGGAGGGCAGGGAAGGTGTCTATGAAGAGGACTCACCCCTGTCGCTTTCTGCTTGGTGTAGGCGTATTTGTCCCGAGTCAGTCTCTCAAAACGGTAGGTTGGGGCAAACGTGATTTCTTCCTCCTCTGAAACAGAGAGACTTTCGTTTTAATTCTGATTCCCCAGGTTTTGCATCTGGCCAATTTTCCCTATTCTTCTGGTAGGAAATCAGGGGAAAGGGGACGAAAGGATGGCTGGAAAGGCTCCAAGAGGAGAGGCTGCTGCTTTTTTTTTTTTTTTTTTTGAGACGGAGTCTGTCTTTGTTGGCCAGGCTGGAGTGCAGTGGCGCGATCTTGGCTCACTGCAAGCTCTGCCTCCCTGGTTCACACCATCCTCCTGCCTCAGCCTCCCAAGTAGCTGGGACTACAGGCACCCGCCACCACACCCGGCTAATTTTTTGTATTTTTTTAAGTAGAGACGGGGTTTCACTGTGTTAGCCAGGATGGTCTCCATCTCCTGATCTCGTGATCCGCCCGCCTCGGCCTCCTAAAGTGCTGGGATTACAGGTGTGAGCCACCGCTCCCAGCCGGGGTTGCTGCTCTTACCGAAGTGTAGGAAGACCTTCTGCTCCCTCCTCTCTGTGAGCAGCTGGTCGTGGGACAGGAGGTCTGCGTACTGCTGCTGCTTGATTTTCTGGATGATGGTTTCTGCCTCCTGGAACAAGAACATGCCCGGGCCTCTGGTGAGAAGCCCTGCTGATCCAGGCCTGACAAGCTTCGGGGCTGGGGGCGGGCAGCTGGATGACCCGGGCTGCAGAGTGATGGTGGCAGGGTGGCTGTGACAGTTATGGGAACCGGGTGTGAGCACAGGGGAACCGTGAGGAGCGGCTGAGGCTCAGTAATGGAAACAGCGTTGAGCCCCCAAGGGGAGCAGCCGCCTCAGCCCACTTGATTCACATGTCTCCACGACCACCTGCCCCAAGCTGACTCAAGGGAGCCTCCATCTCATACAGCCCCAGCCCCAGCCCCAGGCGGGCAGCCCTTACCCAGGTAGGCAGATCCACACGGTAGTTAAGATCCCCAAACCAGAAGAGGTGCGTGAAGCGGTGAGTGATGTTAAAGGGACTCAGCTTCTTGTCGCCCAGGGCCAGGAACCGGAGAATGTTCATATAGTTTTGGTTTCGCCTAATGCAAGGAAAAAGCGGCCATCTAGCACGGGGTCACTGGTTCCCCCTCCACTGTGGCAGGAAGTCACTCCTGCCATAGGTGTGGGGCGAGGAGCATAGCAGGTGGGGGGAAGTGAGACTTAGCCCTCCAGCCCTGCTGCAGCAGAACTCCTTAGTGTGCAAATATGGCACAGCCAGGATGCAAAGGGCATTTGAGGCCACATTGGGTGTACAGAGGGCAGGGGACCAGGAGCAGCAGCATCTGCTCAGCAGAGAATCAGAACAGTGAAGATTCTAGATGGCTGTCTTCATTCCTGGGCCCCAGCTAGGCAAGATCAGCTTGGATTTGTAAGGAGGCCCCAGAGGAGGCTTTCTGCTTTAGAAACAGTGCTAGTTAGCGGTCCATCAGGCTAATGACACAAGGAAATATCTTTTCTGACCTTCAGACAAAATTCCTCCACACGTGAGGTCACTATGGTGCTGCAGTTGCCTTTGATGAGACTGTGGTGGGCCCTGAAAGGCCACAGGACATCCACAAGGTCAAAGGCAGGAGCTGAGCAGGTCCTTCTGGTGCTTAAAGGTGTGAGGCGTGTCTGGGCAGACAGCCCAAATGCACACTCTTGGGGGGAAGGAGTTCCATTACCTGAGTTTCTTTTCACTTCCTGAAGTCAAGTGGCTGTTGACGAACCCTAAGGAGGTTCCATTGAACATGAACGACACCCCCACGGCTCCCTTGTTCCCTAAAAAGAAGAGCAGAAAGAAGAATCAAAATATCAAACAGACACACTTGCCAAGGGGCCAGAAATCACCCGAAGGCAGGGTGAGAGGGGCAGTGAGTGAGGAGCTGGCAAGGGATGGGCGAAACAGGGTCGTGCAGGGTGGGAGCCGCTGGGCAGAGAGCGGGAGATGAGAAAATGCAGGAGCAGTGCAGATGGCGGCAGCCTCAGCCTTCTCGGCGGGGCAGAGGAAGGTGGCTGCTGCGATCCTCCCCCGGCATCTCTCTCTAAAGTGACCAGGGTGCTAAGCGGGCAGCCAGAAGCCCTGGGAAGATTCAGAAGGTTCCAGCCTGGGTGGGCTGATCTCCCTCCCAGTGAACTCAAGTTTCCTGGGGAGACCAAAAACCCACACTGAGATCATACCTTTTTCTGCCAACGTTCTGATCTATTCTAGGTCAGTGGTTCCCAAAGGGAGTTCCCTGGACCAGCAGCTGCACATCACCTGGGAACTTCATGGAAGGGCAGATTCTCAGCCCCACCCCAGACCTACTGAATCTGAAATCCTGGGATGGGGCCCAGTAATCTGTGTTTGACAAGCCCTCCAGTGTCAGGGGTGGGCAAATGCTGGCTCACTGCCAGCTACAAATGGTTTTACATTTGTAAATGGTTGGAAACAAATCAAAAGAAAAACCATCTTTTGTCATTCATGAAAATACGAAATTCAAATTTCAGTGTTCGTAAAGAACACGTTACTGGAACACAGCCATGCCTATTGACTTCTGGATTGTCTGTAGCTGCTTTCAGACTACGATGGCAGAGCTGAAGCATTGTGACAGTTGTGTGGCCCAAAGAGCCTAGAATATTCACCATCTGGCCTTCTATGGAAAACGCTTGTTAACCCCTGCTCTAGGTGATTCTGACACATGCAGGTGAGAACCTGCTCTGTCCAATACAGGCACAGGCCACATGTGACTATCAAACACCTGAAATGTGGCTGGTACAAAATGAGACAGGTTGTGAGTGTAAAATACACATTGGAATTGTGGCCTTGGTAAGAAACACAGACTGTAAAATATCTAATAACCTTTTACATTAAATATCTATTGAAATAATTGTATTTTGGATGTATGAAATTCAATAAAATCTATTATTGAAATTAATTTCACTTGTTTTCTTTTTAATGTGGCTACTAGAAAATTTGATCTATTGATTGTAATAAATCAAATTGTAATCTATTTTGATCATAAATCTATTTATTTATGATCTATTTGGCTCCCATCATTTTCTTTTCTTCCTTTCTTTCTTTTTTTTTTTTTTTTTTTTGGAGACAGAGTCTCACTCTGTCTCCCAGGCTGGAGTGCAGTGGCGCGATCTCTGCTTACTGCAACCTCCGTCTCCCAGGTTCAAGCAATTCTCCTGTCTCTGCCTCAGGAGTAGCTGGGACTACAGGCACCCACCACCACACCCAGCTAATTTTTTGTATTTTAGTAGAGACGAGGTTTCACCGTGTTGCCCAGGTTGGTCTCAAACTACTGAGCTCTGGCAATCTGCCTGCCTCAGCCTCCCAAAGTGCTAGGATTACAGGCGTGAGCCACGGCACCCGGCCCCATTTTCTTTTGGTTGGACAGCTCTGGATAGGCCATAGGCTGAAGGGACCCCTGGATATCACCTGGCTCAACCTTGTCAGGACCCAGTGGGGGAGTACACAGGCTTTCTGCCCTCCAGCCCTCTCCACTGCACCTAGCTCTCCAGCCCTGCCCCTCTGCCCGCAACCTGGGAGGGTGACCTGGAACTGAGCAACTGGTTCCAGTCCCGACAGCCTGGTTTCAATCCCTGCCCACCACATTCTTATCCCGGGGCCTTGGGCAAGTTATGGATCATCTCCATAGACTCTGTTTCTTCATCTGCAAATGGGAATAATAAGAGTCCCTGCCCGAGTGTTTGTATTTTTTTTTCTAATTTGAGACAAAGTCTGTGTCGCCCAGGCTGGAGTGCAGTGGCAAAATCATGGCTTTCTGTAGCCTTGACCTCCCAGATTTAAGTGATCCTCCCACCTCAGCCTCCTGAGTAGCTGGGCCCACAGGCATGCACTACTATGCCATTTTTTTTTTTTTTTTTTTTGTAGAAATGGTACCTTCCTATGTTGCCCAGGCTGGTCTCAAACTCCCGGTCTCAGGAGGTCCTCCCACCTTGGCCTCCCAAAGTGTGGGATTATAGGCATGAGCCATCGTGCCTAGCAGGGTGTTTATATCAAATGAGATGATTCAAAGCATTCAGCACACAGCCTTGCTTAGGGCACACTCTTAGAAAGGCCTTGGTTGTTCTAAGGACTTTTTTTTTTTTTTGAGATAGAGTCTCGCTCTGTCACCCAGGCTGGAGTGCAGTGGCATGATCTCAGCTCACTGCAACCTCCACCTCTCGGGTTCAAGCGATTCTCCTGCCTCAGCCTCCCAAGCAGCTGGGATTACAGGTGCGCACCACCACATCCAACTAATTTTTGTATTTTTAGTGGGATGGGATTTCACCATGTTGGCCAGGCTGGTCTCGAACTCCTGACTTCAAGTGATCCACCGGCCTCGGCCTTCCAAAGTGCTGGGATTACAGGCGTGAGCCTACCACACCGACCAGCATTTGCTGTTTCTGTCCTGTGCTAATTATGGCTGGGAGCCATTTCAGGGGAGTGGAGGAGGGAGGCTGGCCCCAGGGCAGAGAGGAGGGGAAGGAGGGGAAGGAGGGGAAGGTGTGTGTGAGCTGCACAGCCCAGAAGCTGCCCTGCAATGGTCATAAAGCTGGGACTCTGGCCAGGCCTTTCTCCTCACCCCTCAGATGCCAGTCGCACTGCCCTTCTCAGGGAGGCCCCTGACCTCTGCTCTCTGCCCACGCCACACACTCCTTCGCCAGTGCACTCCCTCCCAGGAACTGGCTTCTTTTCCTCCCGTCTGCTCATGCAATGTGTGTCAGGTCCACATGAGCAGAGCTCCTGCCTGCTCAGAAGCTGACCCAGTGCCCAGCCCTGAGGCCAGGATGACCAGGAACTGGTCTGGCTGAGGGGGTGGTTTTATGTGGCCCTAGGAGGTCCGAGCATATTCTGCACAGCGGGGCAGGGGCTGGTGGGAGGGACTGGAAGCCCAGGGAGCGATGGAATCCACACCCGGGGCGGTTGCTGGGCAGCAGGAGGGCGTGGGCGCAGCCAGGATAGCCACGCCAGCCCCACCCTTCTACTGTGGCAGGAAGGAAGGGGGACGAGTGGGGGTGGACGCGGGCAGTTTGCGGTTTGTCAGCAGAAAAGTTGAGAGAGCTTTGCACGTTCGATTGCAGCAATTCTTCTATTTCCTGTTATCTCTGGGACTCTGTCCTGTTCCTGACTCCACTGACTCCAACCACCAAAAACCACTGGCCTCGCCCCTGATGCCAGCCCTGGAGCCCTGTGTGTATACCACCCCACGTGCACACACGGGCACACACACACACACACACAAACACACAGAGAGGCTCTAGCACTTATGCACATGCACTCGGACACCCACCCTCACATACCTAGACTCTCATAAACACACACTCACAAACACAGACACATGGACTCACAGATACTCACACACTCATAGATATGGGGTGGTACACTCATACATGGACTCACATACATAGACTCACATAAACACACTCACAAACACATGCATGGACTCTCACACACTCATAGATACGGGGTGGTACACTCACACACAGATGCACATAAACACACACTCACAAACACACATGCATGGACACACACACATAGACACTCACACACTCATAGATATGGAGTGGTACACACACACGGACTCACATACATAGACTCACATAAATACACTCACAAACACATGCATGGACACACACACACTCATAGATACGGGGTGGTACACTCACACACGGACTCACATATGTAGACTCACATAAACACACACAAACACACATGCATGGACTCACACATACAGACACTCACACACATAGATATGGGTGGTACACTCATACACGGACTCACATACATAGACTCACATAGACACACTCAAACACATGCATAGATTCACACACATATAGACACACACTCATAGATATGGGGTGGTACGCTCACACATTGACTCACATAAACATGCTCACAAACACACATCCATAAACTCTCACACACCTACACAGGCTCACACACTCACATGCACGCTGTCACTCACACAAACTCACATACACAGACCTACTCACACACACATCCTACACAAACACACAGGCTTGCACTCCTACACTTATGAAGACTTCTTGCCCTTGTTACTGCTCTCTGAAGCCAGCAACTCTCCACTGACACCAGCGTTTCCAGATCCAACCTGGTGCACAGGGACCGAGGGCAGGGGCCAGCCACCTCCCGCCTGTGCTTGTAAGGAAGGTCTCACTGGTAACACAGTCACTCCCATTCGCTTTCTGGGTTGCCTATGGCTGCTTTCCCACCAGAAAGGCAGAGAGGAATAGTGTTGAGTGGCCTGCAAAGCCTGAAATATTTACTGTCAGGCCCTTCCCTTTCCTGCAAAAGTTGGCCAATGCCTCTTCTAGGTTCTTGCTTCTTAAAATGGGTCCCACGGGCCGACCAGCAGCGCTCAAGTCGCCTGGGAACCTGTCAGAAACTTGGAACCCTGAGCTCCACCCAAGATCTACTGGGTCGGAACCTGCATTTTAGCTAGATCCCTGGGACTGCTGGTGTAGACCCTGAGTGAGTTTCAGCCAGGGAGACCAATCACCCCTATTTGCTGAGGACTGAGCCAGGATCTGAGGATGTGAGGCTCTCTGTTTTTAACCCGGGGAACTACTGGTGGGATCAGGATGATGTGGTCGCGAGAGTTGAGGCAGAGGGTGTGGGAGGAACACAGGGTCCCCGCCCTGCTCACCCAGTGTGTTTGCAATGCCTGTCTTCACGTTGTCAGTACAGATGTGGCTGATCCGGTTCTCGTGCTCAGGCTTGGCCAGCACCACGATGCGGATGTTCCAGAGCGTGTGGATGGCGACCTGGTGGGAGGACAACGTTGCAATACTCGGCCCAAGTGTAGGGTGTGAACCAGGGCACAGTGATTCACACCCAGCCCCAGCCGCAGCCCCTGGGTATGGGGTATCCTGTCTGTAATCCCAACCCTTCGGGGGACTCCCAGCGATGCTTGATAGGCGAGACAAAACATCCTAAAGATGAGAACCGGGGCTGACCAAGGGTGGGAAGATAGAGGACTCAGTGGTTTTCAGCAATACCCCACAGATCCCATTTATTTCTGAATACAGACGCATCTCTCAGTGGGGGCCTCCAGACATCCTTGAAAACTGAGAGCTGATAGGCTGAGCCCACCCTTGCCTCTGAGACAGCCCAGCCGAGCAAAGATTCTATCCCGGAAGCCCACCCAGCGTGCAGCCAGCTGCTCACTGTTTTAAAAGTCACACTGGTGATTTCTTGCAGGGAGTGTTTGAGGATCTCCAGCCACTCCTTCTCACTCAGGGGGTCCTCTTGGGTGCCGATCACGTAAATGTCATGGGGGATGTAGTCCGCAGAGTCGTCCCGCGTCTTTCCCTGCCCCTTGGAGAGAAACCAGGACGTGATCTTCTTGGGAGGGGGGGCGTTACCTTCAACAGCAAAACCCAACACCAAGTGAGTCAAAGGCACATCGAGTCAAAGCATTAGGAGAATTCAAAACAGAGGGCGGGAGTGTGAGGGAGGTCACGTCATTACACAAGACCATCCAGGCAGCCCAAAGAAATGCCTGCAATGGAGGCCTGGGCGCCAACCTCACCCAGGATGTCGGTTAGGGCTAGAGCTCAGTTAAGCCTCTTTTTAAACGTAATGTCAAGTTTCAAGGTATAGAAACACCAGAAGATTCCCTGATGTCAGACACTGTCCTGCACTTTGAGGCTACGATAATTGAGACACAGTCCTGTCCCTCAAGGAACTCACATCCTATTCTCAAGACAGCCAAGGGAACTGACAAGTTTTAGATGGCGGGTTCTAACCCATTGTTGGGAGACAACAAAGTCTCCCTTGCAAGACAGATCCCAGCCCAGAGCGGAGGGATGCCTGGGTGTGAGCCAGAGAAACGGGAGAGTGTGGAAACTCCTCCGCATTCCCATTTCAAAACTGAGTTGAAGAAGCTCAATCAAGAAATTTTGAACGGTTCTCCCTACAATGCCCTTGAAGGATGAGCAAACTTTGTTCCTCAAAGAGATGAGCTTCTTGCCTTACAAGTGCAAAGAAGCCAAGCATTGGAGTAAATGGACTGTGGCTAAATTCTGCTCCCCCAAGAGGCTCAAAGTGGGTGCCCGAACCCCCGGGCTGGTGGGTCCCCGGCCCTCCTGCGGCATGGCCTCAGCTGGCTCCTTCCATACTCTTCTGTGGGAAGGGCACCCCTGCCCTTGTGTCATGGACATCCCTGACCATGTCCAGAGGGAGGAGATCAGGCAGACTATTGTCTCTTATTAGAAACACTGAAAGGGACCGAAGGGGACAAGTGACCCCCTGGGGCACTGGCCCGGGCTCTACTCCACGGCTGCTGTGGCCCTGGGACACGAGTGACAAGCTGTCACTTCACTTCCAGGAGGCCCCTGCCAGCCACTGCTCACCCTCTTCCTCCCAGACTCCTCTCAGGACAAGGGTAGGGGACACACGACACCCAGTGAAATTCCAATTTCAGATAAACTGGTAGTTTTTAGAATAAGTTTATCTGGATGTCTTCTATCTAATTTATTTCTACCTGAACACTTACACTAAAAAATTATTTAGTATTATTTATATTTAGTAGAGTGCATGTGTTTAGTAAATACACAATATATATGTTTAATACAAAATATATTTAGCATATATTTAGTATATTATTAGCTGTATGCTTAAACTAATATTACTTAGTATAATTCATATTTAATATAATAATTACACTTATTTAGCATATGTATATATACTATATATTCAGCATAATGTCTATGAGCATATATATTTAGTATTTATTTGTTTGTAGCTAAACATATACTAAAAAAAATTGTTTCTATGAAGTTAAAATTTAACTGGGCATCCTTTGTCTACGTACCTATCTCTCTGTCTCTCTCTGTCTCTCTCCTGATAAATCTGGCAACCCTACTCAGGGTGGACTTCTTTCTCTCAGGCCTGGGGCCCCTTGGTGAGCTGCCTAGGGCTGGCAGGGTTCCCATGAGCCCCTTCACCTAGATATTCAGACTCTTTCCCTAAAACTTTCCAATTTAGACATACAGAGTAACCCACGCCAGCTGCTCTTGGGGTACGATAGTCCCAAAGCTCGTTTTTCTTACCCATCATCTCAGGAAAAGGGTGGAATTCCTCAGGAAGGAGGTTGTGCGGGTGGGCTGGGGCTTAGGGGCAGGGCCCTGGGGCAGGAAGGAAGGGGACATGGATGTCGTCACTCCACCCCACCTTGAGGATGCCTGAGTCAGGAAAGCAGAAGCAGAGGGGGTGACTGCAGGGAGGGGGCGCGCGGACCCACCCATGTTCCAGGTGCCGATGAAGATGGTGATCATGTCGGGCTCCGGCTGCTCTGAGTGCTTGTTCTTCATCTGCTGCAGGAGCTGGCAGAAGCCTTCTCTCTTCTAGGGATGGAAGGGCAGACAGACTTAGAAAGGCCTCTGCCTCCCTGCACATTACACTTTGCAAAGGACTTGGTCAGCTTCAAGAAAACTGAGAGGAGCGTAAATCAGTGTGAACTTCCAGGACAGCAACCTGGAAACATGTGTCCAAAGTCATAAGCGAGTGGCTTCTGGCCTAGACACTCCCCTGCAAAGGTGCGACTTTAACAAAGTGATCAGGAGCTGCGCAGAAGTCCAACCCTGTCACGGCTCTGCAGCACAGGCCTCAGCACAGAAAAAAATCAGAAGCAACCTTACTGTCCAGCCTTAGGAGATTCATTAATAATGTATCAGAGGGCCAGGTGTGGTGGCTCATGCCTGTAATCCCAGCACTTTGGGAGGCCGAGGTGGGTGGATCACCTGAGGTCAGGAGTTCGAGACCAGCCTGACCAACATGGTGAAACTCCTGTCTCTACTAAAAATACAAAATTAGCCAAGCGTGGTGGTGCTTGCCTGTAATGCCAGCTACTCGGGAGGCTGAGGCAGAAGAATTGCTTGAACCCAGGAGGTGGAGGTTGCAGTGAGCCAGGATCGCATCATTGCACTCCAGCCTGGGTAACAGAGCTAGAGTCTGTCTCAAAAAAAAAAAGTATTCTAGACCATCCATAAACTAGAATATCACAGTGTTTAACAAGTGTGATCCAGAACTATCTTGCCAACAAGGACAGGTGGCCACAATATATATTTTTAAGCATGAAAAGCTAGTTGACAAATGATATGAATAGCATCATTGCATTTTTAATAAAACATTTGGGCCTGGCACAGTGGCTCATGCCTGTAATCCCAGGACTTTGGGAGGCTGAGGCAGAAGGATTGTTTGATCCCAGGAGTTTGAGACCAGCCTGGGCAACATAGGGGAACCCTGCCTCTACAAAAAATAAAAAAATTAGCCAGGCATGGTGGTGCATGCCTGTAGTCCCTCCCAACTTAGGAGGTTGAGGTGGGAGGATTACTTGAGGCCAGAAAGTTGAGGTTGCAGTGAGCCATGATCTTGCCACTGCACTTCAGCCGGGGCAACTGAACAAGACCCTGTCTCAGAAAAGAAAAGAAACAGAAAAAGAAAGAAAGAAGGGAAGGAAGAAAGAAAGAGAAAATTAAAAAACATCTGGAAGGGGCATAGTCCCAGATTAACTCATGGTATACGAGTGTTTTTATTTTAAACATTTGCTTGTTTGTGTTTGCCACGTCTTCACCAAGGAGAATAGATTACTTATGTAATGAAAGAACATTTAAATTAAAGAAACTAATTAAAAAGAAGAGAGGACATGAAGGCTTTCATAGCCTACTCAATATTTTTCACGTATTTTTCTGGGGTACCCAGTGGGGCACCAAGCAGCCTCAGTTGGCCCTCTCTTAGGATGCAATCAATAGAGCAGGCGGACTTTAACAAAGTACACAAATTTCAGGGTGTAACATATGACATGACCAGTGTTTGACTGTTTCAACCTGCAAAGACAGAAATTTTACATGATTCAACCTTATAATTGCAAATCTCAGTAAGTCCTCCCTGAAGACACCAGCTCACAAAGATGTCATAATGACCATCTTTACTATAACCTGCCTCGAGTTGGGAGTGGCTCAAGATTCATGGCCTCCATTTATCCCTGTGCCTCAGTCCTTTTGAGGTCGCAGCAATGGGGCAGAGCTGGTGTTTGAACCTATGCCCAGGTGCTCAGAAAGCATTCCAGCCCAGCGGTCTTTCTCTCCATCTCCCACCACCTGTCTGGGCCCCATTCTCTTGTTTCTCCCAGACCCTTCCCTATTATTCCTGACAGCTCTGGACACCTTAGACCTCCCACCAGCCCACCCCTGATGCTTTGGAGGTGAAAGTAGGAGCGGAGACTGGGCACTCAGTGGGAAGCTATCACTGTGGGCCTGCACCAGAAGCGCTTGTCCCTTGGCCTTGCTGGGGGTCCCTGATGTGAGATGTCAGCCAGCACCTGATGTGATGGACACCCTTATTGCGCTGCAATCTTTTTTTTTTTTTTTTTTTTGAGACAGGATCTTGCTCTGTCATCTAGGCTGGAGTGCAGTGGTGTGATCATAGCTCACTGCAGCCTCAAACTCCTGGGTTCAAGCGATCCTCCCACTTCAGCCTCCCAAGTAGCTGAAACTACAGGCTCATGCCACCACACCCAGCTATTTTTTTTTTCGTAGAGATGAGGTCTCACCATCTTGCACAGGCTAGTCTCGAACTCTTGGTCTCGGGCAACCGTCCCGCCTCAGCCTCCCAAAGTGCTGGGATTATGGGCATAAGGCACCCACTGTGCCTGGCCTAATTTTTTTGTTTTGTAGACATGGGGTCTGACTAGGCTGTTCAGGCTGGTGCAATCCATTTTTACTGCCTCACACGAGCTGCATGGCAGAGAACAATGAATGAGGTTCACGATGATAGGTTTTGGCCCTGGTTCAAATTTCTGAGATGAGGGGTCAGGTCACAAAGAACCCACTGTGGGGGCACAGAGGCCCAGCCTGGGTTTCCCCAGTGGCCCACAGCACCTCTTACCCCAGGAACCCATCCTGGCAGGGGCATCTCACTTCTGCAGAGCGGGGCAAAGTGTAGAAATGAAAGTCTCTGGGATGGAGCTCCAGTCGAGACTCAGATTTAAATCCAGGGGTGGCTCACACCTATAATACCAGCACTTTGGGTGACAGAGGCGGGAAGATTGCCTGAGCCCAGGAGTTCGAGACCAGCCTGGGAAACACGGCGAGACTCTGTCTCTACAAAATATAAAAAATTAGCTGGTGGTGTGTGTCTGTGGTCTCAGCTACTTGTCTCACCTCAGCTGAGGTGGGTGGGGGGATCCCTTGAGCCCAGGAGGTGGAGGCTGCCGTGAGCTGTGATCACGCCACTGCACTAGCCTAGATGGTAAAGCGAGACGCTGTCTCAAGTCAGTCAGTCAATCAATCAATCAATCAATCCAGGAGTGTCCCAAAGATTTCCCAAGTCCAGCCCAGAGAAGCTGAAAGCCTTTCCCCCAGGTGTGGGGCTGAGTTAGATGTGGGTCATAAAGGATGTGGCCTCGAGGCTGGGAGGCAGCTGGGCAAAGTGGGAAGCCTCCCTACTCCTGAGACAGTGATGGCTCAAATCCAGGCCAACCTGGAACATGATCCTCAACTTCTCTAAGTTCACCTTTCCCAGGTGTGAAATGGGTTGTTCTGGGAACTGAGTGAGCTAATGATACACTCCCTGGCACACAGCGAGCCTCAAAACGCTTGTGTCCCCTCCCTACCTCACAGCCCATTTTAGAAGTTTGCTGTCACTTACTTTGGAGTCAGCAAAAACATATTCCTTCCGCAGGATCTTCTCCTTCTCTGTTTCCACCAAGATCACCAACTTATTCAGAAATTTCTGTGACTTAATGAGCTGCAGGACTTAAGAGAAAAGAAATTCATTAATTCATTCATCCACTCATTCAACCAATATGGACGGTCTCCATTATGTTCCAGGCACCTGACTATCAACTCCCGTCCCCAAGCTGAGCCCCGAGTTTGTGTCTGGTCTCCCAGCTCCCTCTGCTTCCAGCTGCTCTTCCCAAGAGAGGCTCATGCTTGGGGAGGGTGATGTCTGGAACAAGCAAGAGTTGGCCTGTCCAGAGCAGAGACAGCGTGATCGTCTTTTCATCTTTCTCCCTGCCTCCCTCCTTCCCCTCTCTCTTCTTCCTTCTCCTCTTCTTCCTCCTCTTCTCCCTCCCTCCTTTCTTCCTTACTCTTCCTCCTTTCCTTCTTTTGCTTTGTTTTTAATTTATATCTAAATTTAATTTTACATTTTACTGTCATCAACAATTAAAAGAGTCAAGTTGTTCTATAAGGTTTTTGCAAACAATAGTCCTCCACAACCCAACCTCTCTTCAATGTCCAGCTCCCTACAGGCAACCAATTTCAACTCTCTTAATGGATTCTTTTGGAATTCTACTCTGTTTCTTAAAAAAAAAAAATGCTTAGATTAATACTTTCCGATGTTTCAGTTTTCATTATGTCCTATTACATTTTTGACTGTCCACTATGGAAGATGAGGTTGAAATTTCTTTCACACACACAACCTGCTCCCCCAACTTGACTCCCTGCCAATGCATAATTTCAGTCCCCACATCATCCTTCTAACAATTATATCATAATTTTGGCCAGATAAGTACTCAGTGTTTGTTATTCTGATTATCAAAATGCTATTGACAGACCAGCCCTGAATGTTTCTCTTTTTCTAGACAACTTTGTGTTATTCCTGGAGTTAGTAATTGCCATACTTTTTTTTTTTATTGTTTCTAATTCTTCCCCAGTTTATAACTCTCTTTTCCATGTGACCAACTACTTTCATCAGTTCCTTTGTCCTGAGGGAGCCTTTCCCAGAGCTTCTGGGTCTTCTCTGGACTGGTGACTTCAAGGGCCGAGGCACAGCCTTTACCTTGGGGCCTTACTTCATAATCCAGGAATACGTTTCTCTCTCTCGTATTAAATCCCATTTCTTGGACCCCAGGTCTTCCTCTTCTTGGTTTACACCCTCATTTTGGTAGAGCAGCATCTCTAGTGGCTTTCCAAGAAAGGAAGAATCGGTGATACATTTTTAGAGGCCTTGCGTGTCTGAGAATTCGACCCTCACACTTAACTGACAGAACTCTAAATTTGAAATAATTCTCCTCCGGACTCTGGAACCTTGTTCCATCATCTCTAGTTTTCAGGATTGCTGGAGAAACAATGTCATTCTGATTCTCTTGTTCAGAAAAGAGTTAGCACAACAGACCCGAGACTGCTGTCCTTAGAAGGGCTTGCTTGAAAGGCTGGCTTTCTGCTGTCATCTGGGAACTTAGATTTCGGGAGGGCTCCCACCACTCCCAGAGCTGATGAGTGGCTTGCTGTGCCTACATTGTTTGTACAAACAATATGGTTTATGCTGAGCACCTGTTTTCCTTTTGGGAGTCTGTAATCTGGGTACCTGCCAGGTAGAGGGTGTCTATGTGACCATTCGCCAGTTAACAACCACATTTCACACATGTTGTCACACCTCACTGGGGGAGGAGGGAAGTGTGTCCTTTGTGACTCCACAGAAGAGTGGAGCCACTCCTAATGGTGGCTCGCTGTACTTAGAAGGAAGCGTGGGCCAGGCGCGGTGGCTCATGCCTGTAATCCTAGCACTTTGGGAGGCTGAGGCAGGCAGATTGCCTGAGCTCAGGAGTTTGAGACCAGCCTGGGCAACATGGTGAAACCCTGTCTCTACTAAAATACAAAACAAAAAATTAGCCAGGCGTGGTGGCGGGCACCTGTAGTCCCAGCCACTCAGGAGGCTGAGGCAGGAGAATTGCTTGAACCTGGGAGGCGGAGGTTGCAGTGAGCCAAGATCGTGTCACTGCACTCCAGCCTGGCGACAGAGTGAGACTCCATCTCAAATAAAAAAAGAAGGAAGTGTGAACCTGGCACTCTGGCTCAGCAGACCCACACACCTGGCCCCTGCCCAGTCTTGGCCTTGTCTGAGCCACAGCCATCTGGCCATCTCACCAGCCACACTGGCTCCTGTCTTGGAACTATGCCCAGTGGCCCCTTTCCCTGGTTTGGGCACAGCCAGCATCTTCCTGACACTCAGGTCTCAGGCTCAGACTCTTAGAAGCTCGTGCCTGGTTTCTTCCAGACTTCATCCTATGCATGTGTCTTTTCCCTCAGCTGATTTTGCTCTATATCCTTTCAATGTAATAAATCACAGCTGGGAATATGATCATCCACTGGGTCTTGTGGGTTCTCTGAGGGAATCACAGAACCTGGGGGTGGTCTTGTGGGGCCCCTGACACAGGGCGTAATCTATCTTTTGCTCTGAACATTTTTAGGATCTTTTCTTGGAGTCCAGCATTGTGAGACTTTCCAGGGTTGTGTGGGCCTCCTGTGTTGTGTGAGCACTTGGCCATTTTCAACATGGAGGCAAGTGTTATTCTGTTCTGAGACTCTTTCCTGAATTCTTTAATAAATTTTCTCAATCTGTTTTCTCTTACTGACACTTATTATTTTGATATTGGGCCTCCTGAACTCGTCTTATTTATTTATTATTTATTTATTTATTTATTTATTTATTTATTTATTTTTTGAGATGGAGTCTCGCTCCATCACCCAGGCTGGAGTGCAGTCGTGGATCTTGGCTCACCGCAACCTCTGCCTCCTGGGTTCAAGCAATTCTCCTGCCTCAGCCTCCCGAGTAGCTGGGATCACAGGCGTGCACCACCATGCCCATCTAATTTTGTATTTTTAGTAGAGGTGGGGTTTTACCATGTTGGCCAGGCTGGTCTTGAACTCCTGACCTCAAGTGTTCCACCTGCCTTGGCCTCCCAAAGCGCTGGGATTACAGGCGTGAGCCACTGCACCCAGCCCTGATCTGGTCTTTTAAATTGTAAAAATCTTGCCTCTCCTATTTTCCATCACTTTGTCCTTTTGTTTTGCCTTTTCGGAGCTTTTCTAAACTGTATCTTTCCACTCTTCCATTGGGTTCTTATTTTTTTTAATTACTGCTATAATATTTTTTATTGCCCCAGAGTTGTCCTTCCTTTCCCTTTCCCCTTCTTCCCCCTTCTCTCTTTCTCCTCATCCTTTTTCACTTTCATTTTATTCTCTTACTGTTCCTTTCTAGATATAATTCTGTTATTCCACAGGCCCATTTCTTTTTATCTGTAGAATCTGATCTCTCCAAGGCTGGGTGCAGTGGCTCACGCCTGTAATCCCGGTGTGGCAGGCCAGGTCTCACTAATTCAGGCCTCCGTGACAACGGTTTCAGTACTGACTGAGTGGTTAAGTTAAATATCAAAAGCCAGTGCCCTTATACAAAGGCTGGAATGTAACAAAAGCCCATCAGAAGTTTTGCCTAGGCGAAGGAATTCTTAACAGGACCAGTTTAGGATTTAACAAGTTTATTGGAGGTCTGAAGGAACTCCCCAAACCTCCGTGATTTAGCAGAAGACAAGATAAGGGTAATCACACCAGCACCTGGACCCATTTAGATGAAGTAAATTTACTGAGGCTCCAAAGGAAGGTCTTCAGGACTCAGACCTTAGTTATAAATTAAAAGAAGTTAATCACTTATATCTTTCAATGAATACACACACGTAGACATACAGATTAGAAGGTATATAAGCTCTGGAAAACTTTGTAATTTTGAGTTGGTCTGGTGATAATTTCCAGGCCTTCTTCCTGTAACCAGTTACAGAAAATAAAACCTGTCTTCCTCCCCAGTTCATGTGCATCTTGTTATTGGGCCACAAGAAATAGCAGCCTGACCCTCAGTTTGGTCCAGGAACACCAGCACTTTGGGAGGCCAAGGCAGGCAGATCATCTGAGCTCAGGAGTTTGAGACCAGCCTGGCCAGCATGGTGAAACCTCATTTCTACTAAAAATACAAAAATTAGCCGGGCATGGTGGTGCATGCCTATAGTCCCAGCTACCTGGGAGGCTGAGGCACGAGAATCGCCTGAACCCAGGAGGTGGAGGTTGCTGCGAGCTGAGATCGCGCCATTGCACTCCAGCCTGGGCCACAAGAGTGAAACTCTGTCTCAAAAAAAACAAAAAGAATTTGATCCCTCCAAGTGTTTTGTCTTTGTGTCCCCTGTTTCCTGTCCCCAGCTTCCCTCCAGTGTCTGGTGATCCTTGGCTGTCTGTGTCCAACAGTGAGGTGGGGTCTGTCGAGCAGGGCTTCTCCGCAGGGTGGTCTGATGGGCTGAATCCTGGGGAAACTGCGTGATGGCAACACCTTTCCATCTTTGCCCCTGGGCTGATCAAGTTTCCCAGAGAAGACTTCTAACTCCTGCCTAGGGAGGGTGGGGCTGGCCAGCAGCATCCTGGGAGCTGGGCAGGGAAGAAGGCTGGGGTCTCAGCACTCAGCAAGTGACTGTCCCTTAGTCCTCTGTTTTCAGTAGGCTCTCCTGCCTGCAGCAGGCCTGGCATCTCCCAGCCCTTCACCTTCTCCAAAGAATATCCAATCTTCTGCCAAAGGAGTGAGGAGGAGCCACTGGCTACATGGAGTGGAGTGTGATCTGTTGGGCTGAACTGTCTTTAAATAGACTTCCATCTGACCCTGCTGTGTATAACCCCACCTTCACCCCACTTCTTGGGGTCCCCAAGGCTCTCAGTTCCTGAGCCCTTTGTGGGTTTTGTGTGAGTCAGTGTCTCTGTTTTTTCTTCCACCTGCTTAGGGTTTCGTTTTTTGGTTCCTACAAGTGACTCTCGCTATCCATCTCCTTTCCGGCTTTCAGAATATTGTTGCTCTCCCATTCTCTCTTTCCCTGTGGGTTTTGCCTTCCGGAAGGGAACTGATGGCAGAGCATGCATTTAACCATCACTTTGAGCTGGAAGCCTCCCCAAAGGGAAATGACATCAGCCTCGTCTGCACCTCAGTAAGCATCCCACAGTCCGATTTCTACCACTGCTAACCAAATGCTGAGACTTTTCCAGTCTGCTACGATCAGGCCATGTCTCCTTCCCCTGAATTTCCTTGCCATCTGTTCGCAGGACTGTGCGGTTGCCCCCAGGATGTGATATCTTGTTTGATCAGGGTTATTATTCCATCAGAGTCAGTCAGCGCCCCACCTTCCCCACGCCCAGTGAAATAACACTAGAAGTTCCGTTTCCCTCGTCCTGTTACATGGTATCGATCAGCAGGTGCTGGCTGGTCTACCTTTGAAACGTTCCCACCCCGTTCACCTTTTCCCATCTCCAGCTGCCACCGCCTCTTGCCTGACTGCTATCATGGCCTCCTAATTGGTGTCCCTGTCTCCACTCTTCCTCTCTTCCCATAGTTTATTCTCAGTACAGCAGCCAGAGTTATCTTTTTGAAGTGGAATCACACCACACCCCCCCCAGCTGAAAACCTCCTAATAGTGGCTTGCTGCATTTGGAAGGAAACGTGAGCTGGTACTCTGGCTCAGCAAGCCCACATGCCTGGCCCCTGTCCAGCCTCAGCCTTGTCTGAGTCCTGGCCGCCCAGCCGTCTCACACGCCATACTTGTTCCTGCCTTGGGACTGAGCCCAGTTGCCTCTTTCCCTGGGTTGGGCACAGCCAGCATCTTCCTGACACTCAGGTCTCGGTTCAAATGGCACAGCATGTCCACAGAAAGGCTTTTCCCCATTACTGTCATATTTTTCTATTTAAATCCCCAGGTCTAGAGTTTATCATTCCCTGACACATTCCTGGTTTGTATATTTGTGTGTTTGTTTATTTTCTCCTTTGCCCTGATTTGAATGAAACTTTCCTGAAAGCTAGGATCCCGGCTGGCTGGTTCACCTTCGCATCCCAAAGCCTGGTACCTGCATAGCAGGTGCTCGGAGCATGAATATTTTATGATTTGAACATACAGCAACTGGCTGTTCCTATGTGTAGAAGACCATGATGCCAAAGCTATTCATGAACATGGTGATTAAAATAGGGTAAGGAAGCTCCAACTCTTGCAACCACAGATTCCCTCCAGGCGAGCACCGCTCTGTCATAATAACCATGGATGGAAACTCACCATGAGCCAGACTCCGCACTAAGGACACACCTTACCCCATTAACTCTCACAACAACCCCTGTAGGAACCCCTGTCTTGTGGAGGCATCATTGAGGCTTTGAGGAGTTAAGTAGCTTACTTGAGATCATACTATTAGCAAGTCATGGAACCAACACATGCATCCGGTTTACCTAGAGCACCCACTCTTGAACCACACTGCCTCTCAGCACCAACTGTAAAGAAGCCACTTAAACATGCATCCATGAGAACTGTATGATCTTACCTGGTTTAGGACACATTTGCTCACTCATGCATAGATTCATTCATTCTTGCCTTCATTCTCTCATTCATGTGTGCATTCATTCATTATTACATTCATTCTTATTCCTGTGTGCGTTCCTTCATTCTTGCATTCATTCACTGATTCATGCATGCGTTCTCTCAATATGCATTTACTGATCACTTACTCTGTGCTAAGCACTGTTTTGGCTCTGGGATTTAGTGGTTAACAACAACGAAAAAATCCACATCCCAGCCTTTGTGAAGCCCACATTAAAGAGGGGAGACAGAACTGGGATTTATGATGGATGACATTGCAAGTGCCTCAGGCAATTGGCAATCCCTGAGCACGCACTTGCTGAGCCCCAGGGCCCGAGCTGGGGCCTGCAGAGTCCAGGGTGTGTAAAGGAAAGACCTTGCCCTTTTTAGGGGGAGGGAATTTGTGAGGAGTCAATTGTGCTCTGATGTGACAGGTGTCACCACAGAGAGGAAGTCAGGCTCCACCATCCTGGATTGACGGGAGGACTGGAGCTAGGTGGGCACATTCCCGGAGAGTGGGCTGGCAGTCTGTGGGCACCCATGCTCTTCAGGGCTCACAAACCTGCTCTGAAATAGCCTATTATTGTTATTATTATTATTATTAATTTTTAGAGATGGAGTCTTGCTGTGTTGCTCAGGGTGAACTCAAACTCCTGGCTCCAAGTGATCCTCCCACTTCAGCCTCCCAAGTAGCTAAGAATACAGGTGCGTACCACTGCACCCATGCATAGCCCATTCTTAACTAGAGCTGGATTTTCTTAGGGCCAGTGATCTCTAGTTTAGCTCTTTCACCCATCCCTGATCTGTTTCCACAAAGGAGAATACCAACTTCTCAGCAACAACAGCTCCAATCCTTACTTGGGCATTCTAGGCTCTGTTCACACCTAGGATGGCGTGCCCAGCGGCTTCTCTCTCCAGAACCACAGTGAGAGATGAGCAACATGTAATGTGTGATTTCACTAACCCCCTGTCCCGTTCCCTGCACACCCCATTCTCTCAGTACCAGTGCCCTCCCCTGCCTCATGCTTGGCAAAATCCTATTCATCCTTCAAATCCCGGTCAGAGCCACCTCGGTGGTGTGAAGTCTCCTGCCCTCACTCCCCAAAAGAGCTAACCAGTCCTCCCTCGGGACTAACCTCCCTCTGGAGCACATTCTAATACCTGCCCATGTGCCAGCGTTCCCTTCTCCACAGCAAATCCTTAGAGGAAGCGTTCACGATGAAGGGCTGGCCCATAGAAGATGCTACGCAAATATCTGTTGCATTAAACCGACAAAAGTTCACAGCACTTCTGAGAACCCTGGGAGGTGTTTCTTTCAATCTTAAGTTTTTTAGTAATCAGGTGCTCTGACAGTCTTCACTCATCTTAACGTTTCCATCTCCTCTTATCCAAGTTGGGGCCACCCCTCTCTCCTTAACAGATGTATTAGTCTGTTCTCACGCTGCTAATAAAGACATACCCAAGACTGGGTAATTTATAAAGGAAAGAGTTTTAATGGACTCACAGTTCCACATGGCTGGGGAGGCCTCACAATCATAGCAGAAGCAAAGGAGGAGCAAAGTCACGTCTTACATGGTGGCAGGCAAGAGAGCTTGTGCAGGGGAACTACCCTTTATAAAACCATCAGATCTCATGAGATTTATTCACTACCATGAGAACAGCATGGGAAAAACTCATCCCAGTGATTTAATTACCTCCCCACCCGGTCCTTCCCATGACAAGTGGGGATTATGGGAGCTACAGTTCAAGATGAGATTTGGGTGGGGACACAGCCAAATCATATCAACAGATAAGAGGAAACCATCACTCTAAGCTCACTTTCCACACAGCCTTTCTGTTCAAATCATCAGTGACTCCCCATTTCTCCTGCCCAACTTGCCACTATACACAGGGGCCACCATGATGCTATGAGCTCCCCTCTGCAGGACTATGACAGCTATGATGTCACCCCCAGCCATTCCCTGAGATCAGCCTCCCTCACGGCTACCCTGGAAGGGTAATAATAATGGTGGTGGTGGTGGTGACAGTCAATGATATTGAGCACTCCCTGGAGGTTGGGCACCAGTTGCTTTGATGTTCACCCACATAAGACTCATGAGAGCCCTGCAAGATGCTGCTACTATCCCTGCTGGACAGAAGAGTAAACTGAGGACCAGAGAAAAGGCACCAGACCCAAGTCACAAGTGGCTGACCTGGGACTCAAGACTGGGCTACTTGCACCCCACTGTGCTATCAGTGGGGTTCAGGATGCACTATTGCAAAATATGGCATCCTAAGCATGTTGAATATTTTCAGCTGAAGGAATTTGAGCAATGGCAGGTGCAGGAAGGACCCTCTGACATTCCTCTAAAGCAGGTTATAGAGCCTCATATGAGAGGAGCCCTCCCTATACCTGGGGGACAGAGCATCCTGTCTCCAAGGACACAGGGACAGAGAGGACTCTGAATGCACAGGCCCTGCCAAGGTCCTCCCAGTTCCCCATACTTAGTGCATACGACTTTATTAAGAACAAAAGATGGCTGAGCACAGTGGTTCATGCCTGTAATCCCAGCACTTTAGGAAGCCAAGGCGGGTGGATCACTTGTGGTCAGGAGTTCGAGACCACACTGACCAACATGGTGAAACCCTGTCTTTACTAAAAATAAAAAAATAGCTGGGCGTGGTGGTGGTCCTGTAGTCCCAGCTACTCGGGAAGCTGAGGCAGAAGAATCACTTGAACCCAGGAGGCGGAGGTTGCAGTGAGCCAAGATCGTGGCACTGCACTCCAGTCTGGGTGATAGAGCGAGACTTTGTCTCAAAAAAAAAAAAAAAAAAAAAGGTGCTGATCATGCCTGAAGAAGCCAGATAAAATACAGGAGACCCAGTTAAATTTGAACTTCAGAAAAACTGTGAATCATTGTTGCATATAAGTATGTCCCAAATATTGCATGGGACATACATATAGTATATCGGTTGTTTATCTGAAATTCAAATTTTACTGGGCCTCCTGTATTTTTATCTGCTAATTGTGGCAACCTTAACCATGCCCTCTAAATGAACTTTGAGACACTAAAGAATAAAAAAAAGTGTTGTAGCCACAGAGACTTGGGGGGCTTCATAGTGGTCTTAAAACCTGACATGGGATGCAAACTGTTGTGTGAAGGTTGGGATTTATCTGAGGCAAGGGTCTACGCATTGATCAGGTTTCTCGGGGGAACCCATTGGCCACCCAGATGAAGAAAGATGTCCATTCGCCATCAGCCAGAACGAGAGGCTGCTCAGGAAACTCTCATGCTTTCGTCAGCCCTCTGGTCCTGTCTGCTGCTGTTCTCCAGCCCCATGTGGCCCCGCACTGGGCATTGCCTACCCCCCTGCCTCCTGACACCCTGCCTGGCCTCCCTAACCTGGGCCCCAGTGCCCATCTCCCAGCGTTTGCACATGCTGCTCTGCTAGCTGGGATGCTCTTCCCTCAGACCCCTGCCCGACTGGTTGCTTCTCAGCCTCGGGGTCTCCGCCAATGTGCCTCTTACTCAGAGGAAACTTCCATGTCTGCCCTTTCTACACTATCCCCTCTTGCCAGTTAACCTCTACCCCTTTGCCCTGTTTTGTTTTCTTTGTAGCGCTTTTCATAGCTGGATCATCCATCTGATCATTCATCTGTATTGACAGATGTATTTGAGTCTCTATCGGCTACTCAATGCACCAGAATATAAATTCCATGTGGGCAGGGGCCTCATCTGCCCTGCTGGCCCTGGATCCCCTTGTCTTGCCCCACTGCAGCTTCTCTATATGCATTTGTTGTGTGAAGAGCTTCCATTTTATGGATGAGTTGATTTGATGGTTCTCAGAATCTACTAATAACAGCTGACTCTCAAAGTGGCCACTACATGCTGGGCTCTAGCCTAAAGAGCCTTGAGCATATTATTCACATAATTTTTATCATCCCCATTTTACAGATGAGGAAACTGAGGGCTAGAGAGGTCATGACATGTCCCAGGTCACACAGCTGCTAAGTGGCAGAGCTGGGACGTGAATTTAGGCAGTTTGGTTCCAGAGTCCATGTACTCACAGTTTAGTTTATCCTGTGCTACAGACACTACCCAATTGTCAACAAGACCTCATCTGTGCAAGGCTTTGTGCCCGGCACTGAGAGGTGATAGCATGGATCACACTGGGTCTTGGTGGGGAAGAGAAGAGACACACACACACACAAAAGCATGAGCGCAGGCGCGCATGCGTGCGGAAGACAGACCTGCAGGGCAGGCCTTCTGAGAGGTGAGCTGAGAGGGCAGGAATTCCACAGGCAGGTGAGGGGCAGTGGTTGATAGGCACGAGGGGTCTTACTTTTCTTGTGGCTGTAGAACTTGTCCTCAGAACCATCCTTGGACTTCTTAATGATCAGTTTCCCAGACTCAACGTCGACTTTGAGCTGCATTTTCTGAGGAATCCCCAGAGACTCTGCCTTCACCTTAGAAGAGAAGAGATGTGTCACTGATTGATTTTCTGCCTGGGCTTTTGCAAGGCTTCCCCCGCCCGAACCCCTTGTCTACATGGCTGGGCAACCTCTGGTGTGCGTCCTTCGTGGGGCCACTGGGCTTCTCTTGCCCCAGCGGCGCACGTGCATGTTTCCACAGGCGTCTCCCGGGAATCACAGAGACTCTAGGGGCATCCCCCTCGTCCACTGTGTGTGGGGGAGCCGTTCTGCCAACAGGTTTGCTGGCGGAAACAGACGAATTGCTGGAAATGGTTCATTCACTGATGACTTTGACAACACTCATTAATCTGATGTGTCACCTACTTCCAGAAAGGATTTTAGTAACAGATTTAAACTCCCAGGCCTTGTTACAACCACTGATTGAACATTTACTGATAATAATAGAAAAGAAAACCCACAACAGTTGCGTAGGCATGCTCAGAAAATGGAAATTTATCTTAATAGAGGATAATCACCAGGTCTAGAACGGACTTTGGGGTGGGGAATGTGTGTGTGGCGGAGGGGGTGCGGGTCTCACACTGGATTCCTGAATTTGGGACCAGTGCTGGGGTGAATATACTAGAATCTCTGGGGATTGTAAAGAAGAACGCATTTTGGGTCAAGCCTGGAGATTCTAATCCAGTCATTCTCATGGAAATCACAGGAATCGCACGATTTTTTTTCTGAATTCCCCACCCCCTTGAGGCAGTACTTTGCAGCCCCGTCTGATGTCACTCATCTCTGCCATTTTGAGAAGGACAAAGTTTACATGGTGCCTGGCCCAATGAGACACTCCTCCCTTGTAGCTTCCCTCCGAAGGGGATTTCCCAGTTGTCTCTGGGTGCCCGTTCTGACGTTGAACCGCCATCACAGCGACAAAGGTCAACTGACTGCCATTCTTGGCTAATGCGCTCCCTGCTCTTCCCCAGCTAAAGCCCCAATCCCTCTTTCCACAGGAACAAGAACATGTCTCTCTGCCCAGCTGTGGAGCCCAAGCCCAGGCTCTGCTGTCCCATGGCCACTTACCTCAAAGGTGACTGGAGGGATAAGGGAGGGCCGGTGCGGAGACTCAGGACCCTCGTGCAGCAAGGCCTTGACCTGTGGGCAGCAGCGTTAGAGACAGAGGGTCAAGGGGACGCCGAGCCTGTGCATCTGGGCATTCTCCATGCAAAGAGGGGACCAAAGAGGAGACCAAGAGAAGCCGCAGGAGCCCCACACGTACCTTGTCTTCAATGGACGACAACAGGCTTGTCAGTTGGCTGAGCTTGGACACCATGTTGATGGGATTGGCCTCACCAGGAACCTGGGAGAGGAGGGAAAGAGGATCAGGGCAGCATCACTGAACCTGAACCATCGAGAGGCAATGCTCTGGGTTCTCTCTGCACCTCACCCCATTCCAGCCTCCCCGCAGCCCCACAAGTTCTATTATTATCCCCTTCTGGCAGATGAGGACACAGGGATCTCTACAATCTTCTCAGAATTCACATGGCCAAAAAATAGATCTTCATTTCTTCTTCCCTGTAAATCTGCCTCTCCCCCGGTGCTTCTCACCTCACCCACTCCGTTGCTTAAACAAAACTCGAGGACTGTCCTTGCATGTTACCTTTCCTCCCTCCTACACCTGCTGCATGGTGTTCCCGTCCTACTTCCAAAATAGACCCAGCCCTGCTGCTTGAAACCCCAGTACAGTTCTTCTCCACGTAGAGGAGAAAATGATCCCGACCCCTTCCCTGCCCTCCGAGGTCCTATATGATGCAGCCCCCCACCTCACCCGCCCCACCAAGATCTGAGCCACTCTCATCCTCAACTCATATCTGCCTTGAGCTTCCCTTCTGAGGAATCTCCAGAGACTCAATTTCCCCTGGGAGGGGCAACTCCTCATCATTCAGGTCTCAGCCCCACAAAGAGGTCTTCCCTGACCACCCTGTCTAAAATAGCCACCAGGTCACCTCTATCAAGTTGCCTTGTTCTGTTCCATTTCAATCACCACGAGCTAAAGTCATCTCCTTCCAATATGTGTTCATTGTTTGTCTTCCCTGCTGAATGGAGGCTCCGTGAGAATGGAGATCAAGAGGACTGTGTTCAGTACTGCAACACTGGGGCTCAGAACAGTGTCTGGCCAACGAAGATGCTCCGTTAAGTTGTTCAGTACATACAGGGCCCAGAGAGATGAACTAACTTGTCTGAGGTCGCACAGCTAGTAAATGGCAGAGGAAGACATGTATCCTGTCTACCTGATGCCAAGTACATGGTCTCATGCACTTATTCACAGAAGAAACATTTACAAAGCATCTATTCTATGTTAGACATGCTGCCAGGTGTGGAAATGTAGAGTTAATAAGATACCTTATTAAGTTATTAATACCTTATTAAGTTCATAATAAGAAGTGGAATGAGAAAATCAGACACATGTATGGCTAATGTGAATACAAAGCAGAATGGAACCAGGGTTATCACCAGGCAGGTGATGTCCCTTTACCTCACCCCTTGCTCAATATAGCAGCCAGGCTGCACTTGCTTTTGACCTCAATTTTCCACCCAGCTACTTTAGTATACTACTTTTACTATCACCACCTCCATTACCACTGCTGCCTCTGCACAATGATCAATGGCACTGACATGATCAATAGGATCCCCTTCAACAGCACCACCAGAGTCATCAGCATGGCCACCACAATCACCACCAACACCACCATCACTACCACCATCTCCACCCCTATCACTCCCACCATGATCATGCCCACCTCCACCATCACCATCACTACTACCACCTCCACCCTCACCATCACCATCACCACCACCATCTCTACCCCATCACTCCCACCATGATCATAACCACCTCCACCATCACCATCACCACTACCACCTTCACCCTCACCATCACCATCACTACCACCATCTCCACCCTCACCATCACCACCACCACCTCCACCCTCACCATCACCATCACCACCACCATCTCCACCCCTACCAGTCCTATCATGATCATGACCACCTCCACCATCACCATCACTACCACCACCTTCACCCTCACCATCACCATCACTACCACCATCTCCACCCCTATCACTCCCACCGTGATCATGACCACCTCCACCCTCACCATCACCACCACCATCTCCACCCCTCCCACTCTTACCATAATCATGACGACCTCCACTATCATCATCACTACCATAATCTCCACCCCTACCACTCCCACCATAATTATGACCACCTCCACCATCACCATCACCATCACTACCACCACCTCCACCCCTACCAGTTCTACCATGATCATGACCACCTCCAACATCACCATCACCATCTCTACCCCTACCAGACCCACCGTGATCATGACCACCTCCACCATCACCATCACTACCACTATCTCCACACCTATTATTTTCCATGATCATGACCACCTCCACCATCGCCATCACCACCACCATCTCCACCCCTACCACTCTCACCATAATCATGACCACCTCCACCATCACCATCACTACCACCATCTCCACCCTCACCATCACCATCACCACCACCATCTCCACCCTCACCATTCCTACCCTGACCATGACCACCTCCACCATCACTACCACCATCTCCTCCCCTATCACTCCCATATGATCATGACCACCTCTACCATCACCATCACCATCACCACCACCATCTCCACTCCTACCAGCCCTCCCATGATCATGACCACCTCTGTCATCACCATCACTACCACCCTTAGACACCACACCATTCCCCATCCCAATAACCATCACTCCACCATCACAGCAGTTAATAATTGTCAGTGCTTTCTCTAACCACTTTTTGGTCTTTCCCTTGCTTCTTAATAAAGCTTACAATTCTTCTTTAGTTATTGTCAATCAGGAAAGTGGCTTGAAGAGGTGGTGCTAAGACTCAGGGAAGGGAACAACAGAATGGCTGCCTGTTGGTTGAGAAGAAAAGCTGGTCAGGAGATGGGATAGTTCAGGATTCCCTTGTTTTAGGGTTATTTATCTCATAAATAATTGAAACGGTAACACAGATTCAAGCCTCCTCCTTTTCACAGTAGAGAACATTTGGAATGACCTGCCTTCACCCCGGGCAGTCACCAATGCAATTGCAGGTCCCCCGCCCCCCACCGGCTCTCTCTTTGGATTTGTGACTTTTGGGAGGGGAGATATAACAAGATCTTAGAGAACATAAATGAAGTTACTGACAAACAGGGCGTTCGTGCTTGAAAGAAAAAGTATTAGAAAAATGCTGGAGCTTTCCCCATACTTCTGCCTAATGATGATTTGATGAGTTTGTATGCTATGCCAAGCACATCTGAAATATATTAAGTCATCTAATCCTCACATGTCTTGATTTTTCTAATCCTTGTTTTGCTGATGGGGGAATAGAGTCAGAGTGGTGAGTTTACAGCTAGTATAGACCTGAGATGTGAATTGGGGGCTAGCCCAGTGGTCCTCAGCTGGTGGCGATTTTGCCCTCCAGGGGACATTTGGCAATGTCTGAGACGTTTCCAGTTGTCACAGCTGGGGGATGCTAATGGCATCTCATGGGTAGAGGCCAGGATGTGGAGGACTCCTAGAGTGCACAGGAGTCCTCCACGACAGAGAACAATCCAGTCCCAAATGTCACCAGTGTCGAGGTTGAGGATAGAATTCACAGCTTAGCCTGTTAAAGGGTAGACTGGTCTGACTGCTACCTGAGGGTTTACATCAGCTGACCCAGTTTTTTCACTTTGCTTTTCAGTTGCACTTTTCAAAAAAAAAGGAAGTGGGCGCCAAGGCAGGTTAACCATCCAAGGGAGGTTACCGGCTCTCCTTTCTCACACAGGGTGGACCCAGGTCTCCCCCATCCCCCAGGCCAGCCAGCATTTTGATAACATTGCATTTCACACTTCCCAGCAGTCCTCAAGTAACCACACAGGGGTTTGGGTGTCCCCAGCTTGTCTTGCCTACTTAAGGGAAAGGGCCTCATGTTGGTGAGAGTCTAGCAGGGTCAGACGTCTCACGCACCCAGTTTCACTCACTCCTTAACCAAACCCTGCAGAGATATTACTGTCCCCATTTCACAGATGGGGAGACTAAAGATCCAGGAGGGTGAATCAGAATTTGAACTCAGGTGTTTCTGATCCATGGACCAACGTTCTTTCCTCTCCTCAAGGCAGCCTCAACTCCCTCTTGATTTCTGAATTCCTAAAGACAAATCAAGAACAACCTTTTCTGTTTTTCTTCAAGACTCAGGGTCTCATAAAGGGGAGGGGAGTGTGGCAGCATGACCCACCCTCCACTGGGTGGCTGCTCTGTCCTGCCACCAAATGCAGAGACTGGCCTCCACCAGGCAGCACCGTAACTGGGACTGCAGCTGGCCTCTCTCACGAGGCTTTTTCTCGCTTCTAATCTACTTCAAAGACTTGACTGTGTGTTCTTCCACTCAAACTACTTAAGTTCAAGTGTCGGGCAGAGCCCCTGTTTTATCTAGATTTGCTTTTACTTTCTTAGAAATTAACCCATCATTCACTTCAGAGAAAGCAAAAATTTTTTTTTCTGAATTTTGAAAGTTGCACAAGTAAAATACAAATTCGTGTTCTCCGTAGAAAACCTAAACTAACAATGTGGGCAAACTCAAAATCCCCCTTGGCCCAGTCCCCTTCTCCCCAGTCTCATCCCTGAATTGTGGTGACCAGCGTGGCCCTTTGGGTTTAAATCCTTCCCATCTGATTTCCTCGTGGAGACTTCCATCAGAGTTTCTATATCATCCTGCCATTTGCTTTTCCACCTAACAGTAGTCTTGGAGATCTTTCCAGAGCAGTGTTCACACCTTAGAATAGAATTCTGCACCACTGCAGTTCACCAGCTCTCCATGTTTATGTGATTTTCTTTTTTTCTTTTTCCTTTTTTTTTTCTGTTTTAGATGGAGATGGAGTCTCACTCTGTCACCCAGGCTGGAGTGCAGTGGCGCCATCTCGGCTCACTGCAACGTCCACCTCCCGGGTTCAAGCAATGCTCCTGCCTCAGCCTCCTGAGTAGCTGGGATTACAGGCGCCCGCCACCACACCTGGCTAATTTTTGTATTTTTGGTAGAGACAGCGTTTCACCATGTTGGTCAGGTTGGTCTCAAATTCCCGACCTCAGGTGATCCACCCGCTTCGGCCTCCCAAAGTACTGGGATTACAGGCGTGAACTACCACGCCTGGCCTGTTTATGTGATTTTCAATGTTTTTTTCTGTTACTCTTTGTGTACTTGTAGTCCCTAAGAAGCTGCCAACATATGGAACTGCGGGCTTGAGGGATGCCTGCAGTTCACATTTGCATACAAATGGCCAAACTGCCGTTCAGAAAACCCATTTCCATTCCCAACAGCAGAGGAGTGAGCCCCTGTGAGCACCTCCTCCACCCCACATCCTAGCCAAGTCCTGACTCAACCATCAACTTGAGCATCAACTCTTTGTCCATCTAATAGGCAAGAAGAGGCTGCCTAGTGTCAAATGTCATTTCCCAGTTACTAACAAGGTGAGGTTGAACGCCTTTTCATATCTATACTGGCTATTCCCTGTCCCTCTTCAGTGAACCGCCTTGTTTATAGCCTTTCCGCATTCTAAAAACTGGATTGTTTTTACTTAATTATTTGTAGGAATTTTTTTAAAAATGGCCAGGCATGGTGGCTCCCACCTGTAATCCCAGCACTTCAGAAGGCTGGGGCAGGAAGATGGCCAGAAGTTTGAAACCAACCTGGGCAACACAGTGAGATCTGTCTCTACAAAAAATTTTAAAAGGAGACTGGCATGGTGGCATGCACCTGTAATCCCCAGCTATTAGCTGGTGCAAAAGTATTGCAGTTTTAATACATGGGAGGCTCAGGTGGGGTGGATCGCTTGAGCCCCGATGTTTGAGGATGCAGTGAGCTGTGATTGTGCCACTGCACGCCAGCCTGGGCGACAAAGCAAGACCATGTCTCAAATAAAAATAATAATATAAACATGAATACTTCGTCTGTAATCCTTTGTCCCTAAGCTTTGTTGCAGGTATTTTCTTCTGAGATACAGCTTTTGCTTTTTTAAAAAACTTGTTAAAACTTTATTGATGACACCTTTTGTTACACAGACATTTGCTTAATGGGCAACACGACCTTGGCCTCCTGCCAGGCCATGAGCAGGTGCGGGGGTTGGGGGGCACCTTCATCCTGCTCCTCCTGGGACAAGAGGCAGGATCAAGAGTTTAGGCATCTCCTCTTTTTCTTTCCTTTCAGTTTCTGATAAGAAATGATGGGAACAGGCCCTGCTTACCCCCTTATTTGGCACAAATAAGTTTTGCTGATGAGTGCATAATTTGAAATCTTTATTCCTCAAATCAAAATCTGGCAGTGGGAGATGGCTTCCTGGAAAGGGCAGGGGCTGAGGCTCCCACCCCCAACCCATGCGTACCTGCTTGCTGTTGCCCAGTGAACACACAATGGGCAGTGCTCCCCTCTTCCTCCTGAGCCCTCAGGACTGGCTAACTCAATCCTCCTCCCTGGGGTATTAATCTCACCTTTTCAACCCCAAGACCCTTTACCTGAGGACGTGGACGGAGGCCCGGGGAGAGCTGCTGGTCAAATAACCTCTGCAGAGACTCCAGGGATGGGAGGGTCCGGATGACTTCTCTGGGGGCAGGGGACAAGGTGAACATCAAGGATTAGTGGGCACCGGAAAGAGTCTTCCATGGCAGCACGGGCTCTAGCCAGAGATGAGGGCACCCTCAGTCCAGCAGAAGCAGGTAATTCTCCCCAGAAGGACAAGCCCGGGCAAAGATCAAGGCTTGCCAGCACTGGCCCACCCATCCCTTCCCAACCCACAGCGAACTGGAATTGTGTAGTCCTGACTGTACCTAGGTTTTGCTTTAGCCAAACTGCACTCTATAGCCTGTAGAAAATTCAAATCTGAGTGACAAAATGACTTCACTTAGTTATCCATGGTTCCCAACCTTCTGTGTTTATAAAACACACACACACACACACACACACACACACACACACACAGGTGTTAACAATGCAAATTTCTGGGCTCCCGCCTGATTGAGTCTAGAATCTGCATTTTAAATATTAGGGCTGCCCAGTGCTGGTGATCTGTGGATTCTGATGCAAATCCCCTCCTAGCAGCCCAAATGCAGGCTCAGACGGATTTTCCCATTGTCACATCCATTGACAACTCCAATCCTCGGGCTTTATGCGCTCTTTGTTCCCAGCTCATCTTTCTCTATTGTTTTAACATAGTGGGGCAGACAATTTTGAGTTCTACTTTTCACTTATTGTTTCATCAAAAACTGTTCATGTTTTTACATATTTAACATTCTAATGATTTGAAAATAGTCTATTGAGTAAATGTGCTGAAATCGATTGCTAGATATTTGGGTTACTCTGAGATCTTTGTTATATGAATAAAGGCTGCTCTGGGCCAGGCACGGTGGCTCACGCCTGTAATCCCAGCACTTTAGGAGGCTGAGGCAGGCGGATCACGAGGTCAGGAGGTCGAGACCATCCTGGCTAACGTGGTGAAACCCCCGTCTCTACTAAAAATACAAAAAAAAAAAAAATTAGCCAGGTGTGGTGGCGGGCTCCTGTAGTTCCAGCTACTCGGAAGACTGAGGCAGGAGAGTGGTGTGAACCCGGGAGACAGAGCTTGCAGTGAGCCGAGATCGCACCACTGCACTCCAGCCTGGGCGACAGAGCGAGACTCTTGTCTCAAAAATAAAAATAAAAATAAAAATAAAAATAAAATAAATAAAACCTGCTCTGAACAACTTTGTTCATATAGCTTTTCTAATTTTTAATTACAGAATTAGGATAACCAGAGATTACGGCTCTTGATCATTATTGCCAAACCTGTGAGTACTGATTATATTGTCCAGACCTGATTACCCAATAGCTCCAATGACTGTACTTCTGTTCTTTCTCTCTCTTTTAAGGGACATAACATTGCACTTCAATACGGATGAATAAATTTGCATATCTTTAATTTCTAATGTCATTGTTTTTCTATTGCTGATTTCTAGTTAATGGCTACTGCATTTCTCTCATTTCTCTTTGTATAAACTTTTTTGTTTTTTCTCCCTTGCCAATTTTCTGTTGGGAATTTTGTTCATATTTTTATATAGTGTTATAAACTTTACATATTGCTTTGCTTTTTTTTTTTTTTTTTTTTTAGACAATCTTACTCTGTGGCCCAGGCTGGAGTGCAGTGGCGTGATCCTGCCTCAGCCTCCTGAGTAGCTGGGATTACAGGCATACACCACCACGCCCAGCTAATTTTTGTATTTTTAGTAGAGACGGGGCTTCGCCATGTTGCAGGCTGGTCTCAAACTCCTGACCTCAGGTGATCCGCCCACCTCAGCTTCCCAAAGTGCTGGGATTAGAGGCGTGAGCCACCAGGCCCGGCCTACTTTGCTTTTTATTTAATCTAGGTGCTGTATTTTTTTCTCATTACATTATTAATATAATATAATCTCATTACATTATTAATACAATATAATCTCATTATATTATAATATAATATCATTATATCATAATAATAAATACTAACATATTATGTGTATGTGTGTGTGTGTGTGTATATATATATATATATATATATATATATATATATATATATATATTTTTTTTTTTTTTTTTTTTTTGTGATGGAGTTTCGCTCTTGTTGCCCAGGCTGGAGTGCAAGGGCAGTATCTCTTTTTCTTTTGTTAAAATGTTTAATGGGGCCAGGTGTGGTGGCTCACACCTGTAATCTCAGCACTCTGGGAGGCCAAGGTGGGTGTCACCTGAGGTCAGGAGTTCAAGACCAACCTGGCCAACATGGTGAAACCTCATCTCTACTAAAAATACAAAAATTAGCCGGGCATAGTGGTGGGCACCTGTAATGCCAGCAACTCAGGAGGCTGAGGCAGGAGAATAGCTTGAACCCAGGAGGCAGAAGTTGCAGTGAGCCAAGATCCTGCCACTGCACCCAGCCTGGGGAACAGAGGGAGACGCCACCATCTCATAAAAAAAAAAAAAAAAGTTTAATGGAATGATTTTAATGTTTCCCTATCGATTGTAATTAGTTTTACTTTGATTCATATTGCATTATTAAGGAAGTATCCTTCTATTCCTTTTTTTTAAAAATGATTTTTAAAAATTAGAGATGAATTTAAAATGTTATCTATGTAAATGGTTTCCGTTTATCTTTTAATCTACTGCAAAATTACAGTGCTTTCTTTTTGTTGACTCATCTTTGGAGTGACCTAGATAAAGCCTCCATTTTTCATGTCACTAAATTATATTTGCTGGGATGTTACTGAAACAATATGCATTTATATTAATAAGTGAAATCAGAGATAGAGAGTTTTATTTCAGGCTATTATCTTGATTAGCTTTTTGGATTTAAATCATATTTTTCTTGAAGAGAGAATTAGGTGACTTTTTTGTCATTCAGGAATAATCTATACCTTATGCTCACTATTTTTTCCTTGAAAGTTTAAAGGACACTCATGGTACTTTTAATGTTTTATATTTTACGTAAACTATGTGTTCCATTTAATTATAACTTGAAGATCTGTAGCTACATAACTGTACACTATTCTTTAGTGACTTCCAAATCTTTAATGCAGATTATTAATTCTCCTTTGACATTTCTCATGTTTAAAACTTTCTTAATTGACAGTTTTTCCTGATGTATCTCTGTTTTTATTTTTACCATCTTGTCCTCCTCGTCTCCTTTCTGGCTGTTGTTATTGCTCAGTTGCTCAGCAGAGATTTCTTAAAGATTCTGTTTTATTCACTGCTGTATTTCCAGCTCCTGGAACAGTGCCTTGCAGATAGTTGGTACACATTGGATCTTTGTTCATGAATATCGAATAAATCAACATTTCATGTACTTTGCTGGGTCCTGGAAACATCAAGGGGATTAGGACATGACCCATAATGTCTTCAAGAGATTTACAATCTGGACTCAGTTTGTACATTTGACTTGTTATTCTATTTCCTTTTTTTTTTTAAACGCGGTCTCGCTCTGTCATCCAGCCTGGAGCACAGTGGCACCATCTCGGCTCACTGCAACCTCCGTCTCCTGGGTTCAAGCGATTCTCCTACCTCAGCCTCCTGAGTAGCTGGGATTACAGGTGTGCAACACCACATTCAGCTAATTTTTTGTATTTTTAGTGTAGATGGAATTTCACCATGTTGGCCAGGCTGGTCTCGAACTCCTGACCTCAAGTGATCTGCCCACCTTGGCCTCCCAAAGTGTTGGGATTACTGGCATAAGCCACTAGGCCCGGCCTTCTATTTACTTTTTAATAATAGAGCAGAACTTTTAAAGCTATGGTTTTTCCTCTAAGTGGTGCTTTGGCTGCATCACATAGTGTTCTGATATGCAGTGGTTTGATTACTCCACTCTGTGCCTCCACACCTACCCCATGTATTATTGTGTCAGTTTCTTTCTTAATTAGCTGTAATTTAGAAGGTGATTTTAAAATGTACAGGTAATTGGGTGGTTGTGGCTAGTTTTGTGACTTATTTCTATTTTCATCACAGTGTGTTATGGGAGTACAGAATGAACACTTTCTGCTTTGAGTATATTCATATTTTGCTGCTCAGTAAGCTGCAGGCTTCTTGTTTTTAAGATCACCAGGACTATAAAATTTCTGAAAAACAATTTTTGGATTCCTTTTGAGTAAGGCATTTGATTGGTACATTTTTAGGAACTTTCTGAAAAAGATGACTTGTGCTCTTGAATGAGCTAGGCTTAGCTTTTCCAGGTCAGTAGCCTTTTTCTTGGAGACATGGCTTCAGAATCTTTATTATACTGTCAAGGAGTTTGAATTTTTAAATATTAAATATATTAAATATAAAATATTAAAATATTAAATATTTAAAAATATTTAACATTTTAAATGTCGACAATTTTAAAGCTATGGTACTGTTTGTAACAATCTGTTTGTTGAATTTATCTTTTCTTGTCATTTAGAGACATTGTAAGAGATTTAGGCTTGGCACAGTGGCTCACAACTGTAATTCCAGAGCTCTGGGGAGCCAAGGCTTAAGCCCAGGAGTTTGAGACCAGCCAGGGCAATATAGTGAAACTCCATCTCTAAGAAAAAAAAAATTGTTTAATTAGCTGGGCATGGTGGTGCATGCCTGTAATCACAGATACTCCGGAGTTAAAGGCAGGAGGATCACTTGAGCCTAGGAGTTCAAGGATGGATAAGCTATGATCCCACTACTGCATTCCAGCCTGAGTGACAGAGTGAGATGCTGTCTCTTTATAAGAAAAAAAAAAAAAAGATGTTTCAGTGTTGCTGTTTGATTGTTGTATTATTTGGATCATTATGGAGCTTCTCAAAACTTAGATTTAGCTCTTTTGTAAGCCTGGAAATTTTTTTTTTTATTGTATACATTAATTGGCAATTTTTTCCTACTTCTTCAAGAACATATCCTGCCAGCTACAGGTAGCACCTCTGAGCTTTGTCTCCAAGGACTGTCCATTTTTACCACACATTTCCTCATCTAGGTTTGCTTAATCTTTTCATGCTTTTGATATACATGTTTCTGACACTCTACTCTGTTTTGTGATTTAATTTTTGAAATTTGATTGGAAAACTATGGGCTTATTTTATGGCCTCCAATGAAACAGTTATAATGGTAATGAAGTATTTTTGGTTTTGGTTTGTTTATTAAAAATCTTACCCTGCTCTCATGTAATAGATATTGTATTGATATTCAGACCTTTGATCTTTTATTTTAAATTCCACTTGCAATCCTTTCCGTGTCTCCATTTCAGGAGTTACCAAATATTTCCAGTCTCTGGTTCCTTATTCTCTCTCTCTGGAAAAGTTTCTGTCTGGCTCTAGGGAGCCTAACCTGGGGTTGCAAATCTTGCCTGATGCTTTGTACTGCAAAGAGATCTTCACGCCAGACCCGCACGGGGACATCGTCACAACATTTCTGCAGAGGAGGCTCTGGCACTTCTCCTTACTCCTCAGTGCTCAATGTCCTTCTCATTCACACTTGGGTCCAAGCAAATAGACCTGGACATCATTGATGCCATTCTCAACCCCCTCCCAGCTCCTCCTTCTCCATCCCTCCTCTAAATCTTGAGCCTGGCTCTATTCTCCTCTGTCTACACTCTCACCTGCAGTGACCTTACCCCCAGCTTTCAGTGATTCCCCATATGCATCCCCCATGATTCCCCAAATGCATCCCCCACATCCTAGCTTCTTAGCACTAGCTCCATGGCTGGTGACTCCACTCAGATGCCTCATGGCCCCTCAAGCCAAATGTAGCCCAGAACTCTCCTCCCACCACCCTCTCCTTCCTCCTCCTCCTTGACTTTCCCTATCCCAGGAACTGGCATCAGCATCCACTCAGCCCCTCACACTGGGAACCCAGGGGTCACCCTAGATTCATCTTCCCTTCACCCCACATCCAATCAAGCGGCAAATCTGACACCTTTGCCATGCACACGTGTCCCAGGTCACACCAGTTCTCAGCATCTGCACGCCCCCAGCCATTGGGTCATTTACCTAATATCTGTTGAGCCGCATGTGCCAGAGCCTGTGTATAACCGGGGACTCAGCAGGAAGCAAAACAGACACAGACCCCTGCCCCTGCTAGCCACCTTCCTCATGGACTGCCATCCTGTCTCACTTGGACAACCACAGCCACTCCCAGCTGGTCTCCTGCTTTGGGCAGTGCCTCCTAGGATGCATCCTCCACCACTTGAAAATCAGATCATGGCCCAGCCCTGCACAAACTCTATAGGGCCTCTTAAGCCTTGCGTGATGTGGCTCCTGCCTACAGTGACCAGGTAAAACACAGGACACCCAGTGAAATTTGAATTTCAGATAAACAATGAATAATCTATTAGCATGAGTATATCCCAATATTACATGGTATATACTTATACTAAAGAAGTTGCTGTTCACCTAAAATTCCACCTCTCTGGGCAGCCTGTGCTTTTACTTGTTGACCAGCTTTTACATGTTACACCAGCCTCTCCCCAACCTCTGTTCCTAACACTCACTTGCCACACAGACTTCCTGTTCCTTGAGCAGGCTGTCTTCATTCCTGCCTCAGGACCTTTGTACTTTGTACTTAATGTCCCTCTGCCAAATCACTGTGTGGCAAGACCCCAGTTCTGTCACCTCCTTCACCTCCAAAGGAAGCTGGCACTCTCCCACCCAATGTCTCTTCCTCACATCATCGTGTTTTATCTTACCATGACATTTACTAAAATTACTGTTTGAACTGGGCATGGTGGCTCATGCTGTAATTGCAGCACTTTGGGGGGCCGAGGAAGGCAGATTGCTTGAGCCTAGGAATTGGAGACCAGCCTGGGCAACAAGGCAAAACCCCATCTCTACAAAAAATATAACAATTAGCTGGGTATGGTGGCACATACCTGTAGTCCCAGCTTCTCCATTGGACTCGGGGGAAGCAAGTGAGTGGGGGGACTCAAGGATAGGGGCTGAGAGGTGGGAGGCTCACTTGAGCCCAGGAGGTTGAGGCTGCAGTGAGCTGAGATCTCACCACGGCACTCCAGCCTGGGTGACAGAGCGAGATCCTGTCTCAAAAAAAAAAAAAAAAAAAAATTCTTGTTCATCTGGATCCTTAGTCTACTGTTGTGTGCCTCACTGAGATGTTAGATCCAAAAAGGCCTAAAAGAGCAAGAGGCTTGTGCATTGTGTCTGTTGCTACATCCCAGCACCCAGAACAGGGCTCAGAGGAGGCCTCCAATACATGTTTGTTCGATGAACGAATGAATGAAGACCTATTCTAATCAAAGCAGTTTGAAAATTATGGGTTTACAATTTGAGGGATGAGAATCTGCAGGGATTCTGGCAGGAGAAATGGGAAGCATCATTTTGTTCCTTTCTACAATTTCCTAAAATGCCAAGGCTGATCAAGTCTCCAAGCCTGGCTGTCGCCTTACTGATGAAAGCAAAGACGAGTGTGCAAGGGAAATTTAGAGCATGACGGTGTCTTTAATTCTAAATAGAGTCATGGAGCAGCTAGAAGCTGAAGGAAGCTCTCTCCATCGGCACTACATACCCGAGAAGAAGACAAGTTGGGGAAGCTGGCACCGCCATAGTGATGAGGTGACTTGGCTCCTGGGAAGTCCAGGTAGTGTTGAGGTGTTAGGGAAATCTAACAATGTGCAGAAGTGTCTGGGGAAGACTGAGGGAAGCCTCGTGGAGAGACTTAAAATACATTTCTTTCTCCACAAGGAAGCAGGGAAGAACAGAATCTCCACTGAAGCAGAACTAAGAGCTTGTTATCAGCCATTGTGAAATGGTGTTTTATAAAAAGAAAGTGCTGTATGTGTTTTCCCCTAGTGATAAAGTGATTCATAACAACAGCATCAAATGGAACAAAATCCCTCCATGGGAATCTATAAAAATGATAGCTCCAGGTCCAATTAGCTACAGCTGCATTAGTTGAAAGCCAATTCATTGAAATTAAGCCCAACTGGCCAATTTGGTGAGTGCTTGATTTGTCAAAGAAATTATTTGTTAAATTTACCGAATGTACTGATCGTGCTTTTAAAAGCCTTTAAAAGGAAAGTCGAATTTGATTACTGATGATAAAAGAGTGTTTTCTGCATATTAACTAAGCTAAGATTGAAACAGCCCCAGAAAAATCAACAAAGGAATCTTGAAACGGCTGTATGTGTAATAAAACACAAAACAGCACAGACTACAAAACCGTTGCCAGTATGAAATCCCATTTTTCCAATCAAAATGTTGACCTTTCTTTCCTTTGTTTGTTTGTTTATTTGAGACGGAGTCTTGCTCTGTTACCCAGGCTGGAGTGCAGTGGCGAGATCTCGGCTCACCACAACCTCAGCCTCCCAGGTTCAAGTGATTCTCCTGCCTCAGCCTCCAGAGTAGCTGGGATCACAGGTGTGTGCCACCACATCCAGCTAATTTTTTTTTTTTTTTTAGTAGAGACAGGATTTCACCATGTTGGCCAGGCTGGTCTCAAACTGCTGACCTCAGGTGATCCACCTGCCTCGGCCTCCCAAAGTGTTGGTATTACAGGCGTGAGCCACCACACCCGGCCTGACCTTTCATTTGTGATGGGATTGTTTTGGCTCCCTGTGGCTTTGTTCAGATGCTCTGGAATTTTTTTTGTTTTTTTTCTCTTCCAAGCTTTTGGCATTTAAAATATTCTTTGCCAATTCTTTGGATGGCATATTAGCCTTACTTTTGCACTTTTAACAATTAAAATGTAATTAACTTGAAATTAACTTTCATCAATTAAATTTTAAAATGTAAAACCAAAAGAATCTAAAAGAAATCAGAACCTTTACCAGTTGGTCATTCAATGGATCGGACATCAGAAAATTAAAGTTTTGGTGAATCATCTCCCTTTGAAAAATTGACATCACTGGAAATCTTGGGCCATAACCACCCACGCAGAAAATAGACTAACTTTAATTTATTTCCTTTTGATGCCTTTCTGTGCTTGTCAGGTGTAATGGCTGCAGCAAACAGCAAGAGCAGCAGCAAAAATCTTAAGAGCTGGATCCTGTGCAAGTGAGAAAGGGCTGGCCATGTCCTCCCACCCCATCCGCTTCCCAGAGCAACTGGCCTCCAATTAACTTTAGTTGTAAAAAGCTGCAGCACACACAAGCTACTGTTCAAATTCCATGATAACAAGACCTCCAAACAACCACAGAGATTTCCAAGCTGTGCTCACCACTCAATTATTGTGAGTGCGGCAGAGGCATTTGTTCAGCCAGGCAGAGGCAGAGGTCGCTCTCATGAGCTGTTTCTCTCACCTGGTGGCCGCCCCCACCTGCCCGCCCCCGTGGGCCAGCCATTACCCATAGAGCTCCTTGCAGAGCAGTGTGGTCAGTTTCTTCAGGTGAGGAAGACTGCTGGACCCTGTCTTCACAAATTCAGAGTCCTGGGCGAGCTGAGTGCTTAAATAATCTTGGATGGCCTTAAGATGCTCTTCTGGAAGCCTAAAGAAAAGAAAAAAGAAACAAACTATGCTTGCCTGTTTCTTTTAGCCACCATCACCAATGGGAACAGCAACCACAATAACAAATCCTCATCCTCAGAGCCTCCAAGGGGACACCGTCCTTCAGAAGAATGTTTGCAAACCTGGACGAAGGTTCCCGTGGTCTCACTGATGGGGTAGATTAGCAGGTCAGAGCAAGAAGAAGTGGCCCAGCAGGAAAAGGTGCCTCTCAATGAGCTCCTTTGGGTGCTGCTGGGAGGAAGTGGTTTTGGCTGGGGGTCTGGGAAATGGTTATACTTTAAAAAGGAGACCAAGGCTGGGCATGGTGGCTCACAACTGTAATCCCAGCACTTTGGGAGGCCCAGGTGGGCGGATCACCTGAGGTTAGGAGTTCAAGAACAGCCTGGGGGGAAACCCCGCCTCTACTAAAAATACAAAAATTAGCCGGGTGTGGTGGTGGGTGCCTGCAATCTCAGCTACTTGGGAGGCTGAGACAGGAGAATCATTTGAACCCGGAAGGCAGAGGTTGCAGTGAAAACAGATCGTGCCATTGCACTCCAGCCTGAGTGACAGAGTGAGACACTGTCTCTCACACACACACACACACACACACACACACACACAAAAGGAGGCCAAAAGCTTTGGAAAGTGTAAGTGGAATTGTTTTCCTACCTTATCTACTTATAAAGATAGGATCTGAGGGCTGGAAGGATGATGGGATCTAGAGATAACAAATGGCTTTAGCTCCCATGCACTTTGCAATTTCACGGCCAAAGGCTACCCAGGGCACTGTGTTCAGAGAGTCTGGATTCATCTCAGGCTCTGTGGGGGGAGTCTGAGTGATTAGCGATGGGGCTGGGGATATGGAATGAGGTAGTGCAAGTGGCCGACTTTGCCGTGTGGAATCTGCTCCAACCCCTTCAGTGTACAGAGTGAATGGGGCTGAAGGCAGGATTTGTTCACTGTGCAGATCAACCCTGGTGGCAGAGGCACAGGCAGAGAGCCCAGGCCAGTCCCACGAGGGGCGCCCCCTAAAGTCGGATCAGCTGTCTGCATTCTATCTTCCAGCACCTTTTGTTCTGGGTAACGCTTGAGTGTTTGTTCCCATAATGATGGAAATTGTAATTACAGCAAGTATTTCCTGAGCACAGCATACCAGACACTATGCTAAGCACTTCATGCTCATTTTCTCCATTAACCCACAAATCAATTTTATGACTCAGATATTATTACTAATTATTCCTGTTTTACAAATCAGAGAACTGAGGCTTAACCATGTTAATTAGCTGTGTGGAAAAAATTATTACAAGCCTTCATTTATTTATTTATTTATTTATTTTTTTGAGACAGGGTCTCACCCTGTCACCTGGGCTGGAGTGCAATGGCAAGATCTCGGCTCACTGCAACCTCCAACCCCCAAGTTCAAGTGATTCTCCTGCCTCAGCCTCCTGGGTAGCTGACACCACAGGCACATGCCACCAGACCTAGCTAATGTTTGTATTTTTAGTAGAGGTGGAGTTTTACCATGTTGGCCAGGCTGACCTCAGGTGATCCACTGCCTCAGGCTCCCAAAGTGCTGGGATAACAGGTGTGAACCACCCTGCCCAGCCGCCTTAAAGATTTTTATTCCAGGCTTGATATGTAATCAAATTGAAACTAAAGGCCACAAGGCTTTTCCTGTGGAATCTGTGAAAGAATGAAAAGCCGTTGCTCTTAAGATTGGACAGGAATTGCCAGGCATGGTGGGTCACGCCTATAATCCCAGCACTTTGGGAGGCAGAGGTGGGCAGATCACCTGAGGTCAGGAGTTCAAGGCCAGCCTGGCCAACATGGTGAAACCCTGTCTCTACTAAAAATACAAAAATTAGCTGGGCGTGGTGGCGTGCGTTTGTAGTCCCAGCTACTCAGGAGGCTGAGGCGGGAGGATTGCTTGAACCCAGGAGGTAGAGGTTGCAGTGAGCCGAGATCGCGCCACTGTGTTCCAGCTTGGGTGACAGAGCGAGACTCCATCTCAAAAAAAATACTGAACAGGACTGGCTTACCCATTTGACTTGTTAGATTGAGAAGAGAACATTTACATTTAAGTTCTTCTATATTTATTCTGGGTCTTGACATCATAAAAATCCAGTTTCTGCCTGAGTCTGTTTACTAAAAGGGACAAACATCTCTTCTATAGTATTAAAAACAGTGGTCCCCAACCTTTTTGGCACAAGGGACCGGTTTTGTGGAAGACAATTATTCCACGGATGGGTGGTGGGGGGATGGTTGTGGGAGGAAACTGCTCCATCTCAGATCATCAGGCGTTAGTTAGATTCTCCTAAGAGGCGTGCAGCCTAGATCCCTCAAGTGCACAGTTCACAACCGGGTTCACACTCATGAGAATCTAATGCCACCGCTGATCTGACAGGAGGCAGAGCTCAGGTGGTAATGCTCGCTTGCCCTCCGCTCACCTCCTGCTGCCACCCAGTTCCTAATAGTCCACAGGTTGGGGACCCCTGTATTAAAATATGTATCTTAACAGGTCTAATTACTATTGCCTTGTGACTTTGATACCGTGAGTCTGTATTACAGGCAGTTCTATTTGTTAAAATGTTTGTGGTAGGCTGGGCACAGTGGCTCATGCCTATAATCCCAGCACTTTGGGAGGTCGAGGCGGGCAGATCACCTCAGGTTGGGAGTTCGAGACTAGCCTAACCAACATGGAGAAACCCCGTCTCTACTAAAAATACAAAATTAGCTGGTTGTGGTGGCGCATGGCTGTAATCCCAGCTACTTGGGAGGCTGAAGCAGGAGAATCACTTGAACCCGGGAGGGGGAGGTTGCAGTGAGCTGAGATCGTGCCTTTGCACTCCAGCCTGGGCAACAAGAGCAAAACTCCGTCTCAAAAATAAAAGTTTGTTGTAGAAAAGTGTTGACATAAAGATGTAAACTATGTTTATTTGAGAAGGCTAATTTTACTTAGAAATGTGATAATTAACCTACTAAGACCTAACTGATGAGATCTGATTAACTTGCAGGAAAGACTGTGCAAGTTGTCATTTAAAGAAAAATAATCAAAAGGCAGTCCTCTATGTGCAAAGCAGCTTGACAAGCGAAATAGACTGATTTTAAAACACAATGTGGATTCCCAGTTTTCCTTGACCCTGAGAATGGAGGGCGGCTCTGTGTCGCCGCTTTCCTTGGTCTCTGCACATGCCCCCTTCACTCATTCCCATCTCCGAACAGAAGTTTTAGGAAGGTTCCACTGACATGATAAGCAAAGATAGAAAAAGCAGGGCTCTCTGCCCATGAACCCTCAGCCCATGCCCCGACCCTAACCCCTCCTGGAAAGCTGCCTGGAAGCTCGGCTTCACGCCCCTGCTGGTCCCACTGAGGCAGAACCCCATAACCAGGATGGAGGGGCTGATGAGGAGGAGATGGAGTTGGCGGGAGGTGTACGAGCCTTAGTAGGAGAGGTCAGCAGGTGGAACCATGGGGCCTCCCCGACTCTTCCCCATCCAGTTTACTGCACTCAGCATCCAAACCTGGGAAGAAATGGAAACCCTGGGGAACTAAACAATGGGCTCGATGTGGAATTTTTTTTTTTTTTAGACGCAGTTTTTCTCTTGTTGCCCAGGCTGGAGTGCAGTGGCGCAATTTTGGTTCACTGCAACCTCTGCTTCCCAGGTTCAAGCTATTCTCCTCCCTCAGCCTCCCGAATAGCTGGGATTATAGGCGCCCGCCACCATGCCCAGCTAATTTTTGTATTTTTAGTGGAGAAGGGGTTTTGCCATGTTGGTTAGTCTGGTCTTGAGCTCCTGGATTCAGGTGATCTGCCCGCCTGGGCCTCCCAAAGTGCTGAGATTACAGGAATGAGCCACCGCGTCTGGCCTATGTGGAATACTTTCAAAGCATCTGTTATTTAGACACATATATAGAGACAATCAACATAGTAGCAACACTGGATATTCGGCTATTTGATAAATAGCACAAATAAATCAAGGAGCGTGCACAGAATTCAGGCTGGAGAGCCCAGGGAAGAACCAATGGGTATGTCCAGGTGGAAATAGGAACACGCCAAGTATCATAGCAACCCGGTGGCGTATGTGTCCCATCGGCATCTACTTCATATTTTGCCAAGTGAGAGAGTAGGAGGAGGGCAGCCCTGGCAGCCTCAGATGGATCCTTCAAGTTGGAAATGCGGCTTCAGCCCTGTCATTAGGATTTCTTTGGGGGGCAATGGAGCGTTTCTCACAAAGAAACAAAAAGTTATATTTACTAAGGCATGGAGATTACCAGGTACTAACTTATTAATTAATGTAGCACATATCCAGTGAGTGCCCACACTATGCCGGGCCGTGCCTGGAGACGGAGTGCTCCCCCACCCCCGTGGAGCACTTTTCCTGTTAAGGCCCATGCCCCTGGCCTTCTTGAAGCCAATGGTGCAAAGGCCTCTGGGGTGCAAGATGACAAGCACTCTTCTCTGGAGACCTCCCCATCTCCCTCTGGTCACCAGGCCCATAACTAGGATCGAAACCCAAGCCATCCAGCCCTGCCCTGGCTGGGCTCACTGCAGATGAAGGCCCAGCTGGACTTGAGTGGGGACTCACCCACTGGTGTCCATGCTTTGCAGTCGCTGGAACAATGTCTCGGAGAGGCTCGGCCGGCTGGTCTCGGTCGCTCGGGGATTCTCGTTTGAAAAAGGAACCTCCTTGGCCTCACAGGAGCTGGCAGTCAGCGGGATGTTTCTTGGGGGCAGCTCGGGTGGAGACACGACACTTTCTACTGGAGAGAACAGCAGGAAGGCCATTGGTGAGGACACTGTGCGCACAACCCGGCCTTCACCGCAGCCCCATGGGGTCCAGGCCACGACACCCACGTTATTGATCTCCATCTGCGTCCCCGTGTCCCTCGCTGACTCCCTCCTGGAGGGAGAGCCTCCTGCCACAGGGCCCTGGCTAGTGCAGTGTCTGCCCCACTGTGGCCATCAGCAAACACCTGCCAGGGCCAAAAGGCCTTGCTCCATGGAGGGTCTGGAAGGCCTGCAGGGCTGCTGACCTTGGATGGACTAAGCCCACAGCAGCAGGCAGGTGAGCAGGATGAGTCTGGCTCTCAGACTTTCAGGGGCTGAGACACCTGTCTCATGATGGCTGAGCCCTGGGCTAGGCAGAGGCCCAGTTCCCAGAATAGGCCAAAACCATGGAAGGGGACCAGGGGTAAGGAGACAGGCAGGCCTAGCCACACTGCCCCTCTCCCTCTCTCCCTGGTCCCCTCTCTCCAGCCTCTGTCCTTCCTTCTCTCCTCCCCCAGACTCTCAGAAACACATAAAAGAAAGCGAGGGGGTTCCCTTCACTCAGAGACATTCAACAAATGACTTGAACTTGGCCTGGGAGGTGGGAGCCCACCCATCGCCTTTAGGAGAAGGTTCATTCTGTACGTACACGAATGGAGGGTCCAGAGCTCTGTCTGAGCCTCTTCCCACACAGAGCGGCTGCCTCTGGCCCAACCACAGTGGGCCCCGGGGGACCTCCTCTTTAGAGAACAGGCCCTTCACTTCCTCTGTCTGGGGTTCTGAAGACAACTAGGAGTCTGCTTCGAGCTCCACGGTCTGGCGGTGCCTCAAGAGGCCCTGGGCCCAAACAGACCTCTTGGACTGCGCGGGCCTCATGTCGCATTGCTCTGGTTCGAGCCGACAACTGGGCGACCTCGTTTGCGGAAGTGAAGCCAGCAGTCATGAGACTGAGGTTCTTTTTTCAGCCCTCACAGAAACTTGTCGGGATCTTCCTCCAGACAGCCATGCCCAGAGGGGCCCAACTAGCTGGGATGGGCAGCCCGAGGGGAGTGAGGGTGTTTAGTGTGGAGGGCGTTTCTGCAGAACAGCTTCTCAGCATGGCCCTGGGCGCCTGGGGGCAGCTGTTCAGGTGCAGCCAGGGCGCGGTGCTGGTGAGTGACCTTGGGCTCACAATGGGACAGGTCAGCCCTAGTTCTTCCACAGCCTGACCTTCCTGATTCCAGAGGGCAGTGCTCACTCAGACCAGGGAGGCCAAAAGGGACAGGGCCTGCCTGGGACCCTTTCAGCCTCCATGGAGCTGCGGTCCTTTTGGAAACGAACAGCTGCACAACCATGAAAAGTGTGTTTCCATGAGGGTGGGAGGGAGCAGGGGGCCCTGGTGGCCCACAAGCCAGCCCACAGGTGAGGGAGAAAAAGGATGCCTGCAGCAAGCCCCCAGAACAGGCAGGAGCCAGGCAAGGGTCTCAGCGTCTGTGGACAAATCTCTCCTCTCTTCGGGGAGAGCCTGGGGGACCTGGTAGTCTCCACCTGCTGGAATTCAGGAAGAGCCCTGGCCAACTGAGGGGCCCGGTTAGGTATCTCATGGTTTTCTTTTAGGAAATAAGCCTTTAAAAAAAAAAAAAAACTTGTATTTTAAGTTCAGGGGTACCTGTGCAGGTTTGTTACATAAGTAAACTTATGTCATGGGGTTTGTTGTACAGATTATTTCATCATCCTGGTATTAAGCCTAGTACCCAATAGTTATTTCTGATCCTGTCCCTCCTCCCACCCCCTCAGGTAGGCTCCAGTGTGTGCTGTTCCCCTCTTTGTGTCCATGTGTTTTCATCATTTATCTCCCACTTAAGTGAGAACACGTGGTATTTGGTTTTCTGTTCTTGTGTTAGTTTGCTAAGGATAATGACCTCCAGCTCCATCCATGTTCCTGCAAAGGACATGATCTCGTTCTTTTTACTGGCTGCATAGTATTCCATGGTGTATATATACAACATTTTCTTTATCCAGTCATCACTGATGGGCATTTAGGCTGATTCCATGTCTTTGCTATTGCAAATAGTGCTGCAATGAACATACACATATGTGTCTTTGTAACAAAATGATTTCTATTCCCTTAGGTATATTCTCAGTAAATCCTTGAGGGGAAAAGTGGGGCATCCCCAGGTAAGCTCCTTCTCTGCAAGACTTTCTCCATCTGACTGTTGCTCTATTGGTCTTTGTCCCTATGCTGTAAAGGGCACCCTTAGTCTCACACACTTTTTAGGGACTGTATAATTTTTTTTTTTTTTTTTGAGACGGAGTCTCCCTCTGTTGCCAGGCTGGAGTTCAGTGGTGCGATCTTGGCTCACTGCAACCTCCACCTCCTGGGTTCAAGCGATTCTTCTGCCTCAGCCTCCCAAGTAGCTGGAACTACAGGCGCGTACCACCACACCTGGCTAATTTTTGTATTTTTAGTAGAGATAAGGTTTCGCCATGTTGGCCAGGATGGTCTCGATCTCCTGACCTCGTGATCTGCCCGCCTCTGTTTCCCAAAGTGTTGGGATTACAGGCGTGAGCCACTGCACCTGGCTGGGACTGTACATTTTTTTCAACATATTTTTAGGGGTTGTATTTCCCCCTCCCCCTTTTAATGATGACATAAAGAAACACCTTCCTCATCCTTCCAGTTAGGTGCAAGGGTCTCCTCCTTCACTCTCCTCTCAGTGAAATTCAGCAGATTGTAATCATGCTAATGACCGTAGCTGCATTTATGGAGTGCTTACTATGAATATGTACCAGGCTCTGGGTGCTACATTTCTCAACTCATTTGATCCTTGAGATACCATGAGAGGCAGGTACTATCGTTATTCTCTCTCTCTGTCTTTTTAAAGGCTAGTCAAGTGAAGCAGAGGAAGTTCAGTCTTTACTGTCTCTTTCTCTCTCTCTCTTTTTTTTTCTTAGACAAGGTCTCTTTCTGTCACCCAGGCTAGAGTGCAGTGGTGCAATCATGGCTCACTGCAACCTTGAACTCCTGGACTCAAGGGATCCTCCTGCCTCGGCCTCCCGAGTAGCTAGGACTACAGGCCTGAGCCACCATGCCTGAATAAATTTTTTAAAAAGCTTTTTGTAGACACAGGATTGCCTATGTTGCCCAGAAGGGTCTCAAACTCCTGGCCTCAAGCGATCCTCCCACCTCGGCCTCCCAAAGTTCTGGGGTTACAGGCGTGAGCCAGCAAGCCCAGCCTTATTTTACTGTCTCTTTAAAGAGAAGTCTGTGATTCAGAGAGGTCAGGTAATTTCCCCAAGGTCACCTGGCTAATAAGCTGGGGAGGAGGAATTTTAACCCATGTCTGCCTGACCAGAGAGCCTGTGTTCCTAACTTGTCCTTAACCCCCACGCCAACAATCTCCCTCTGATAATAGGACTCACCTAGTCTACAAGCACTCAAGGTGGGTGCAGGGCAAGTTCCCAAAAGTACCTCCTGCCGTCCTGTCCCTCCCTCCCTACCTGTGTCCTCCTCAGGGTCGTCGCCTGTGTCCTCTTCCTCCAGCGGCACAGGGTATTGCAGATGGGTCACCAGCCCCATGTTTTCCTTCTTGTAAAACTCGATGAGCTGGTCCAGCTTGGTGAAGAACCTCATGGAGACGCCTTCGGATGCCTGAGGACAGAACATCCAAACAAACGCACATGTTAACCAACTAGAATGTCAGCCAACCACAAAGGCCAACTGCAGCAGAGACCAGCGAGGCGGAGGGAGTGACTGCGATCCAGGAAAAGCCTTGGGCTCCTACGCAGGGTGTGTGACCCTCATGCCCACACCTCACATCCTGCAACCAGCAGCTGCCAAGGGCCCTTCTGCAAAAGGCACACAGAGGATCGTTCCTAAGATCTGTTTTTCTTTCCGTTTTTAAAAAACTTTTATTTTTAAAAGTGTTTTTGGGCCAGGCACGGTGGCTCACACCTGTAATCCCAGCACTTTGGGAGGCTGAGGCAGGTGGATCACCTGAGGTCAGGAGTTTGAGACCAGCCTGGCCAACACGATGAAACCCCATCTCTGCTAACAAAAAAAAAGAATACAAAAATTAGCCGGGCGTGGTGGCAGGTGCCTGTAATCCCAGCTACTCAGGAGGCTGAGACAGGAGAATCACTTGAACCTGGGAGGCAGAGGTTGCAGTGAGCCGAGATTGCGCCGCTGCACTCCAGCCTGGGCAACTCAGTCTCGAAATAAAATAAAATAAAATAAAATAAAATAAAAGTATTTTTATACAAATAGTACATTTATATTATGGCAAAATTAGAAATATGGATTTTTTTAAATAAGAAATTTGTCTGGGTGCAGTGGCTTGTGCCGGTAATCCCAGCACTTTGGGAGGCTGAGGTGGGCACATCACTTGAAGTCAGGAGTTCGAGACCAGTCTGGCCAACATGATGAAACTCAAACCCAGTCTCTACTAAAAACACAAAAATTAGCCAAGCGTGGTGGTGCGCACCTGTAATTTCAGCTACTTGGGAGGGCGAGGCAAGAGAATTGCTTGAACCTGGGAGGCGGAGGTTGCAGTGAACCAAGATCACACCACTGCACTCCAGCCTGGGCGACAGAGTGAGACCCTGTCTCAAAAAAAAAAAAAAAGAAAAAAAAAAAAGAAAGAAAGAAAGAAAGAAAGAAATCACCTGTAATCCCACAACCCCAAGATACCTATTTTCCAGTTTAGAATGTGTTTTTCTAGAATTTGTGAGTGTGTTTGGTGGGGAAGTTACTTTTATTTTTTCCTGCACGAAGAACTTTTTTTAAAAAAAACACAGGAAAAAATCAATTCCAGCAATTGTTTTGCTTTTATTTTTATTTTATTTTTTTCATTTGTTATAGTTGTTTTTGTCAAAACTCAGTAAATGATCTATCTGGTTTGTATCTGTTGCTGATAGCAGAGGACCTTGGGGGTAATTGTGCTGGCTATTCAAATGCCCTGGGGCAGATCCCCTTCCTGTAAGCCCTGTGGCTCTAGCCGGTAGTTCCAGGTGGTCCCTGAGCAGCCAGCCCCACCCCTACCTCACCCTTTACCTTCTTGCCAGGCCCTGCCCTCAGGGGCAGCTGAACAGGAGCAAGGGGTCAGGCTGTTGGTAGGTACAGGAATGAGCCCCAAAGAGGCACCCCTTCTGGGTGGGGCCTCCCTGGCCTGGAGGAGCATAGCGCCCCTGGCAACTGCTAAGTGCCTGTGATTCACCCTGTCCTCATAACAGCCACCATGTCAGTGACTTTCAGATTGTTTATTTTATTTTATTTGAGATGGAGTCTCACTCTGTTGCCCAGGCTGGAGTGCAGTGGCACAGTCTCGGCTCACTGCAGCCTCCACCTCCTGGGTTCAAGCAATTTTCTGGCCTCAGCCTCCCAAGTAGCTGGGATTACAGGTGCCCGCCACCACACCCAGCTAATTTTTGTAATTTTAGTAGAGACGGGGTTTCACCATGTTGGCCAAGCTGGTCTCGAAATCCTGACCTCAGGTGATCCACCCACCTCAGCCTCCCAAACTGCTGGGATTACAGGTGTAAGCCACCACACCCAGCAACTTTCAGGTCATTTTAAAATTAGTTGAGAAGGCGCCATCCTTGGAGTTAGAAGTCAAGGATCTCACTGCTCCTCTGGGGGCTGCCAGCTACCTTCTTTCTGGAGGGAATGGGACCCATCGCCTGTAGGAAACAAGACCCACAGGCAAGTAGAATGGAGGTTGAAAAGCCCACCCTGGTTGGTGAGCAGGTGGCATCTGGCCTGAGCGTGGCTGGGCCAAGCGTTGGCCTTTCCGCCTCCAAGTCAGATATCTACTGGGATTGGGATTGACGTGGGCAGGTGGGAGGGTGCCTGAAGGTCTTCGGGATTACAGGTAAGTGGAATCAGGAGAGATGAGGCAGGATGACCCAGACTGGGACAGATTCAGACATCAGGGAGCAGGGTTAGGACTCAGACCTGTTCCCGAGCCCTTGTGCCTGGGTGGCTAACTCCAAGTCCTAGTGAGGACACATACGCCTCTTTCAGTGACCTGTGATTCAGGGCTGTCCATCTGGGCTCTGGCTCTGTCTCTGTCTTTCTCTTTCCAAGTGTGTTTTTTTGTGTGCATTGCACACATATGTAAGTCTATGCCTGGGCGTATGTGTGTGTGTGTGTGTGTCTTAGTTAGTAAATTTATAGAGAGTTAAGCAAAAGGGTGTTCTAAATTCTTTTCAATAAATTCACTTGTTTTCACAAAGCCCCGTGTTAAGCAATCTCTTTCAAACATTATTGAACCAGAAATATCTGAGCAGCAGCAGCCAGGCCTCTAAAAAGTAACATGAGTAGGTTCAAAAACCAAAGTGAGCAGAATAACAAAAATAATTTGACATGATACAAGATCTATGAACTCAATTCAGTTAAAGCAGTCGTGAAAAGTGTCAGACTGTCAAAAAATGTACAGCTAATAGATGACAAGCCATTAAGAGCATGGAAAAGGAATATGAAAATACCAAAGAAAGCTGAAGTTGAACGCCTCATGTGTGAATCCAGAAAAGGATTCTCGGCTGGAGGGTATCTGAAGAACGCGTGTTTGAGTGAGCATGTGAGATTTGGGAATTTAAGACGCACCAATGCTAAAACCAAGTAAGACACGTTATTTTATGCACTGCTAAGAAGCTGAACCACAGACTATGTTACACATTGATTATAGACTTATGTGACTCCAGAGATGTGAAATCTGAAAGGTAAACATCTTAGACTTGATGACATATGCTGTGTACTAGGAACAGAGCAATTTAAAGGAGTCCCTGTGGACCCGGTGAGGCCACCGCGTGTGCCTGGCCCGCTCCCAGAGGCCAGGGAGCCAGGGTCTGGCAAACCAAGGCTGCCGGCTGCCCGGGTTCCCAGGAAGGGAGAGAATGCAGGGTAGAAGCCAAGCCTCATGGATGGCAGACAGGTGGCAAGCTGATAATGGCCGCTGACAAGTGTGCTGAGGAGGGAGCCTTCCTCCACCTCTCCCCCTCCGAGGGGAAAGCACCCAGGAAGAACACAGCAGGTCTACAGGAAGCAGATCCACAGGGACAGACCCCACCTGAGGGAAAACCTGCTGTGTGCAGTGGGCCCGCAGGAAGCACCCTGTGCCTGCAGGCAGTGCAGACAGGAGATGGCAAAGGCGGGGCACCAACCAGGCAAAGGCAGGTGTCCCCGGAGAAAATGTCCAGGAAGGTGTCTTCATAAGGCTTTGCTCTTGGCCCTAAGCTTTGACAAGGAAAACAGAGAACTTACGTTCAAAGCACATTCTAGAACAGGAAGAGAAAGAGTCAGAGCCCAAGAAGGGGATCATAGAAGCTACAGAGCCGGCCCAGACAGCGGAGGGGTGGGGAGCGTGGTCTAGACGGGTGGGTGGTGAGGAGCATGGTCTGGCCTCAGTGTGTGCAGTGCAGAGAGGAGCAGCCCACACATGGTGTTGCATTCTGAACCTGGGCCCAGAAAGGTCCTGCATCAGGGTACGATGGCCGAGGGGACAGGGCAGAGTGGCCGGTAGGGGGAGGAGTCTGTTTGAAGGGCAACCGTGCCTGGGTGTGACCTAACAATCCCCACCCAGTCAAAGCCAGGAGGGGCTTCCAGGTGGACAGTGTATTGACATCCACAGGCCAGCAGGAGTAGGTGGGTCCTGCTGGGACAGGCCTGGGGGTTCCCACCCACAGCAGGCCAGGTCCATATCCACCCAGCTGTGTGCCCACAGTCAGGACAGGTCTGCTCATGGCTGTGCCATCCCCAGACTGTGCAGCAGGGCCTGGCAATTGGAGCAGCATTTAGTGGTTCCATGGATTTGCCGCCTTGGGTCAGGATGACAGACAAGAGTTGGAGCCAGGAGGAGGGATGGTCAGGGAGGGTCTTCCATGCATCTGGGACTGGGGATGCAGAGAAACAGTGGCAAGCAGGGGAGCTGCCCTCACTCACATCCCCCAGCACGTTGCTAAAGGTGGTGCCTTTTCAGCAACTGTAAAAGGCAAAATGTGAACAAGGTGTCATGTGCGTTTTTCATGTGCACGATCCAGAGTCCCGGCAGGAGGCAGATGTCTCATTAAACGGGGGAACTTGGGGAGAACATGTAGGGACAGGGCATAGGGATACCAATAACAGGCAGTACAGCCCCCCCGAACTCATAGTAGTTACCACCCTGGGAAGATCACAGGCAAGAAGCAGGTGCTGGAACCCAGAGGGGGCCGCCCAGCAGGCGCTGTGGCCTCCCGTGGAGCTACCATGGAGACCTTACAGGATGCGAGCAGGGCAGTAGATCCCCTCCCCCGCCAAAAAACTTTCCTCTCATCTGGCTGCGGCTCCCATTGGCCAAACCCAATGAGAAAGCAGGGGGCAGGGAAGCGAATGAACTGGGGAGCAAATGGAAGATGCTCAGCACGTGAAGGCCATGGTGAAAAGGCGCCCAAGGAGACAGAGGGAAAACAAATGCCTGCGTCCCCCGATGAAGCGTCCAGGTTCGAATCGGGAGGTTAGCACCAGCCACACTTCTGACCAAGGAGGGGACTGCCCTTGGTTCCTAATGGCCCAGGCTGCCACACTTCGTTCCCCATTCCACAGCAGCCGCCTTCCTGAAAAGAGTTGTTAAGTCATTTTGAAACAGAGAAGGAAACCATGAAGGCCCAAGTCAGCCGGGACATGATCCCCGCAATGGTTACCGGCGGCCCCCAAGTGATGCCCTCGGACACGTGGATTTCTGCCGTGGCAACTCTCCCTTTTCCCTGGAGTGAACGCCTCCGCCCGTTAGCAGGTAGGTAACTAGAGCACAACACAGGAAGCCTGATTTTGAACAAAACCAAGAGCAGCATTGCCTTATTTAAGTAGACTTGTTAAATTATGACATCTTGACCAGGTAGGGTGGCTCACGCCTGTAATCCCAGCAATTTGGGAGGCCGAGGTGGGTGGATCACGAGGTCAGCAGTTCAAGACTAGCTTGGCCAACATGGTGAAACCCCATCTCTACTAAAAATACAAAAATTAGCCAGGTGCAGTGGCAGGCGCCTGTAATCCCAGCTACTCAGGAGGCTGAGGCGGGAGAATCGCTTGAACCCAAGCAGCAGTGGTTTCAGTGAGCCAAGATGGAGCCACTGCACTCCAGCCTGGGCGACAGAGTGAGACTCTGTCTCAAAGAAAAAAAAAAATTATGAGGTCTTGGTCAGACATGGTGGCACACGCCTGTAATCCCAGCACTTTGAGAGGCCGAGGTGGGCAGATTGCTTAAGCCCAGGAGGTGGAGACCAGCTTGGGCAACATGATGAAACCTGTCTCTACAAAAAATACAAATATTAGCCAAACGTAGTGGTGCACCCTGTAGTCCCAGCTACTTGGGAGGCTGAGGTGGGAGGATTGCTTGAACCCAGGAGGTGGAGGTTGCAGTGAGCCACAATCACACCACTGCACTCCAGCCTGGGCAACAGAGCAAGACCCTGTCTCAAAAAGTATCTATATATCTATATATCTATATCTATATCTATATCTATATCTATATCTATCTATCTATCTATCTATCTATCTACATATATATCTACATATATATCTGACATCTCAGGCTCAGAGTAGCCCTCCCTTCAGAGCTTTTAGGATCAGCAGAATGGGCATGAATTTGTGCTCACAGCCAAGAGTCAAGCAGAAAAAACAAACAAACAAAACATGGTAGGAGTTAGTTCAGATTGTGAAACAAAATACTCTTCTCTTGCCTCCCATTATAATTTCTAGGTCTGTGGAAAGTTCTGGGTGACTTCCAGCAGGATCATTTTTACAGAGTCTCTGCAGACAGCTCCCCACCAAGCCCAGCTTAGAATCAGCAGCTCACTCTGCGTCATGTCATAGTTGCTGTGCCTGCCTTCCCCACAAGCTCATAAGTGGTTGAAGGAAAGGAACCCTGCTTGGCTCAGCCTCGTAGTCCCCCAAGTCTCCTTGCAGAGAAGTTTGGTTGCAAACATAATGACATAATGGCAGCCCCCACCACTGTGTTGAGGGGCATGTGCATTGCAGAAAATGGACCTCTCCATTGAAGAAAGGTGTTGAGGGAACCAGAGACGTGGATTGCCAAGCTGGGACTTGCAGGGAGAGGCACCTTTGTCTGACGGCTTGGCACCTGAGCTCACTCAGGTAGCAATACTCCTGGGGAAGGTACAGGGCAAGGGGAGAGGGGCTGCCTGTGGCCCTGGGGTTCAGGACGAGAAGGGCACCCGGGTCTTTAAAACAAAGAACAGCCGTTGTCCAGACTGCTGGAGGCTCAGGGCTGCACATGCTGAGAAGTGCTGCATTTCCAGAAACAGTTCCTGGGCTCTGACTTTCCAACACCATCCAGGAAAGTCACACCATCCAGGAAAGTCATTGCACAGGCTCAAGTTTCCCAGTGGGTAATTTTAACTTTAGCACTGTTTGCTGTCTCTAAATGAGGCGTGAAACAGGACTAGGCACAGAGGAAGGCCATGCAGGCAGAGCAGGAGCCCCGGGGTGCTAGGAACCCCCCACAAGGCTCTTCCAGGCTTCGTTTTAAATGGAAGAGCATATAGAATGATTGTGGAGATTTTACCAGTGGCGGGACAGTATTAAGAACTGGGAAACAGGCCAGGCGCGATGGCTCACGCTTGCAATCCCAGCACTTTGGGAGGCTGAGGCGGGCGGATCACCTGAGGTCAGGAGCTCGAAACCAGCCTGGCCAACATGGTGAAACCTCATCTCTACTGAAAATACAAAATTAGATAGGCGCGGTGGCACATGCCTGTAATCCCAGATACTTGGGAGGCTGAGGCAGGAGAATTGCTTGAACCTGGGAGGCAGAGGTTGTGGTGAGCCGAGATTGTGCCATTGCAGTCCAGCCTGGGTGACAAGAGCGAAACTCTGTCTAAAAAAAAAAAAAAGTGGAAACAAACCAAACCAAATACCCTGCTTCAGTTGCTCCCCACACCAAAGCATTTGTTTCAAGTTAGATGAGAAAGCCACTAGAGAGGACGGTGAAAACACCACTCGGCTGTGGTGGAGAGAATGGTGTGGGTTTGCGGGGTGGCTGCTGTTTTTATTACTTCCATTTCCCAGTGGGGAGACTCCCCGCCTGTGGAGGCTGGGAAGTTTCTGAAAGCCACAGAGGGCTCCAGGTCTCGGAGCCCACTGACCCAGGCATCCACACGTCCCAAGGCTGAGTGAGGATCAGTGTGGAGTCTGACGGTGCAGGCCGAGCCTTTGAGTTCTGGAAGGAGACCTCCTGCCGCGTTTGCCCTGCTCTGAGCCAGCTCATCTGAGGGAAAGGCTGGAAGCAGCCTCCTGTCCAGCTCTTACTAGGGATGGGGGCCACCTCCTCCCGGCCTGGCCTCTCCCCGCTCTGCAACCCCTGAAATGCTTTCCTGTACTTCTCTCCTGCCCTCAGGATGGTCTCAACCTTTAACCACCTCCTCTCCCCCAAATTTAAGAATCATAGGGCCCCACGTGGGTGAAGAAGTGGGGGAGAAAGAAAGGTCAGAGCATGGGTGTCTTGGGCCCTTGGGGCCTGGCAGAATTTGAGTTTTGTCTTAAGAGTGGTTTGGAGCTGGCTGGGTGCGGTGGCTCACACCTGTAATCCCAGCCCTTTGGGAGGCCGAGGCGGGCAGATCACAAGGTCAGGAGATCGAGACCATCCTGGCTAACACAGTGAAACCCCATCTCTACTAAAAATACAAAAATTAGCTGGGCGTGTTGGTGGCGCCTGTAGTCCCAGCTACTTGGGAGGCTGAAGCAGGAGAATGGCGTGAACCCGGGAGGCGGAGCTTGCAGTGAGCTGAGATGGCGCCACTGCACTCCATCCAGCCTGGGCGACAGAGCGAGACTCCGTCTCAAAAAAAAAAAAAAAAAAGAGTGGTTTGGAGGCACTAAAGGCAATTAAAAGCTGGTGTGTGTGTGATGTGATCAGATTTACATTTTAGAACTATCACCTCGGCTACGGTGTGGACGCTGGGCGTCCAAGCAACCCCACTCTAGTGCTTGAATTAGGGAGATGCAGCAGCAGGAGAGAGGCAAGGATGGAGCTGGAACCAGATTAGCCCATCGAACAGGGCACGGTCGACAAGCGAGAGCCAGCGAGAGTGGCCCTAGATCTCTGGCTGCAGTAACTTGGTTGATGTTGGTGATATTTAATGAGATAGGAAAGGTGGGCAGTGTGGTGGGGCTGGGGGACAGATTTGGGAAGAGCTTTTGAGGCCTCCTTCAGTCCCAGGAATCTCTCTTCAGCCACATGGCTTTGAATGGACTCCAAAATGTTTGTTCTTAAAAAGAACAATAATTGAATGTGGCTTTTGTTAATAGAAAAAAAAAATACAAACAAAACAAAAACAAAACAATCAGCTCTTCCTCTTCCCTCCCTTCTCTTTTTTTAAAAACATTTTATTGGTTCCTTTCCTTTCCCTTCCTTTGAAGTGTCCAGGGCCAGCAGACCTTGGACCTGGGGCCAGGGAGGTGGTCAGGTTGCAGGAGGCTGCAGAGCCAGTGGGGACGAGGGAGCAGCTGGGATAAGGACATGACGAGGGCCTTAGAAGTCTGCACAGCCAGAACCAAGGAGGTGGTGATGTCAGGGGAGCAGCAGAGCCAGAAGCAGGGTATACACAGGGGAATAAGCATGTAATCCAAGAAGGGGATTACCCTTCTTGGGGATAATACATGGGGAAGAAGCAGGAGCCAGGCTTCTCACTCTCAGAGAAAGGAGCTGCAAACACAGAAAGGAGAAAGGTCCCATGGCTGTGGGGCATTGGATTGGAATGGGAAGTGTCTGTGCCAACTCGGGCTTTTAAGATATACAGGTAAATACCGGTCAGGTGCAGTGGCTCACACCTGTATTCCCAGCACTTTGGGAAACCGAGGTGAGTGGATCACCTGAGGTCCCAAGTTCGAGACCAGCCTGGCCAACATGGTGAAACCCTGTCTCTACTAAAAATACAAAAATGAGCCAGGCCTGTAATTTCAGCTACTTGGGAGGCTGAAGCAGGAGAATTGCTGGAACCCAGGAGGCAGAGGTTGCAGTGAGCTGAGATCGTACCACTGCACTCCAGCCTAGGCAACAGAGTGAGATGCGGTATTTTTTAAAAAAAAGATATATAGATAAATACAGGTGCATGAATGAGTGTATGTGCACACACTATTTCCTCACTCTGTCTGCTGCGAGAGCCCACAACACTCCAACAGCAATGAGAACACCTGCTGCTCAGATCTTGGCTGCTAAATGTCATCCTCCATGAAAGATAGCCAGTGCTCCTTGAGAAATGGCTGATTCTAGCAGCCTTTGAATCGAGGCCAAGAAGATCTAACAAGTACCTGCAACACCTGTTGCCCCAGAAAGCAAGAAAATGCTAAAATAATGGCGATTTGTCAAACAGATACAGGAGCCAGGAGCCAACTGAAGGAACAGTTGAAAGGTGCATCCAGCACAATTCAAACATCAAAATGAATAATAAAAATAATTATAATCCATCGAATAAAATAGAAATTCATGAGTCTGTACTGACATAAATAAAGGAGAAGGGACGGCTCCTCCCCACAGTGGAATGCCAATTAATAACCGTCGAAGCGACAACAAAAACAGTCACCATTTGGCAATCATCATAGTAATGACTGATTCAGGCAAGAATCGTCAATACATGCTAAACAAAGTGGGTGAGAGTTTGAGGAAAAATGTTATTACATTGTTCTTTTTTTTTTTTTTTTTCAAGACAGAGTCTCACTCTGTTGTCCAGGCTGGAGCGCAGTGGCATGATCACAGCTCATGGCAGCCTCAACCTCACAGGCTCCAGCGATCCTCACACCTCAGCCCCCCCAAGTACCTGGGACTATAGGCATGCATCACCACGTTTGGCTAAATTTTTTGTATTTTTTGTAGAGGCGGAATTTTGCCATGTTGCCCAGGCTGGTCTAAAACTCCTGGACTCAGATGATTTGCCCGTCTCGGTCTCCCAAAGTGCTAGGATCACAGGCGTGAGCCACTGCGCCTGGCCTTAAATTGTTATTAAAAGCAAAAACTAGTAACTTTACAATCCTTATTGTAACCTGGCAGCCACCAGCTTAACCAAGTGTCCAGTGTTAAGTTCTGCAGTAACAGCAGAGCGCCATTGTACCCCCTGAGATGGGTGCACAGAGGACACAGCATTGCTGCTATGCACTCCTGCAGAAAACGCAGAATCCGGGCCATGTCATGTGGAGACACCTGAAAACCCAAAATTGAGGGACAGGGACAGTCTACAAAATTATTAGCCTATTCTATTGAAAAATGCCAAGGTCATGAAAGACAAGAAAAGGCAAGGAACTGTGCCCAATTAAAGGACACTGAAGGGATGTGACAATTACATGTAACACATCATCCTGGATTGAGCCTCAGCCCAGAAGGGGGAAATTATATGTGTGTGTGTGCGTGTGTGTGTGTGTATAAAAGTTATATATAACTTCCATAAATATGTAAATAATAGATGTATATATTGTTATTGAGACTACTAAAAACATTTGAACGAAGGATCTAAGAATTAGATGGTGGTGTTTCATCCATGTTAATTTCCTGATTTTGACGGTTGAATGTGGTTACAAAGGAGAGTCTTTATCACTTAGGAAAAACACACTGATATATTTAGGGACAGTGGGGCATTGTCAGCAACTTACTTGTCAATAATTCAGAAAAATGATAATAGTAATATGACTGAAATGATGATAAACAGTATGCTAAAACATTAATTGGGTAAAGCAGAGGGTATACAGGAATTCTTTGTACCGTTCTTGAAAATGTTCTATAAGTCAAATTATCTTTTTTTAAAATAACTGTCGAAGCAACAGTTTTTTTTTTTTGTTGTTTTTTTTTTAAGAGACGGAGTCTCGCTGTGTCGCCCAGGCTGGAGTGCAGTGGTGTGATCTTGGCTCACTGCAACCTCCGCCTCCCGAGTTCAAGCAATTCTCCTACCTCAGCTTCCCAAGTAGCCGGGACTACAGGCATGTGCCACCACACCCAGCTAATTTTTGTATTTTTTAGTAGAGATGCAGTTTCACTACATGTTGGCCAGGCTGGTCTCGAACTCCTGACCTCAGGTGATCCACCTGCCTCAGCTTCCCAAAGTGATGGGATTACAGGCGTCAGCCACTGCACCCGGCCTAAATAACCACTTTTTGAGCTAAACACTGTAATAGTTTGTTGAAAATCAGCCTATGTAACCTAGCTCATGTAATTGGTACGAGTGTGCACACGTGCATGCACACACACACAAAGCAGGGGGAGGTTAGAGAGCATCTTGTTGCTGGGCGCGGTGGCTCATGCCTACAATCTCAGCCCTTTGGGACACTGAGGTGGGAAGATCGCTCGAGCCCAGGAGTTAGAGACCAGCCTGGGCAACATAATGAGAACTCGTCTCTATTAAAAAAAAATAAAAATAAAAAATTAGGCCAGGCACAGTGGCTCACACCCGTAATCCCAGCACTTTGGGAGGCCGAGGCCAGTGAATCATTTGAGGCCAGGAGTTCAAGACCAGCCTGGTCAACATGCTGAAAACCTGTCTCTACTACAAATACAAAAAAAATTAGTCAGGCATGGTGGTGTGTACCTGTAATCCCAGCTACTCAGGAGGCTGAGGCATGAGAATCGCTTGAACCTGGGAGGCAGAGGCTGCAGTGAGCAGAGATCATGCCACTGCACTCCAGTCTGGGTGACAGAGTGAGACTCTATCTCAAAAAAAAAAAAAAAAAATTAGCTGAGCATGGTGGCACATGCCTATAGTCTCAGCTACTTGGGAGGCTGAAATGGGAGAATCCCTTGAGCCTGAGAAATGCAGACTGCAGTGAACCAAGATTGTGCTCCTACACTCCAGCCTGGGCAACAGAATGAGACCCTGTCTCAAAAAAAAGATAAAGACTGGTGGGCGCTGTGGCTTCTGCCTGTAATCCCAGCACTTAGGGAGGCTGAGGCGGGTGGTTCATGAGGTCAGGAGTTCGAGACCAGCCTGGCCAACATGGTGAAACCCCATCTCTACTAAAGATACAAAAAAAAAAAAAAATAGCTGGGCGTGGTGGCAGGCGCCTGTAATCCCAGCTACTCGGGAGGCTGAGGCAGGAGAATTGCTTGAACCTGGGAGGCAGAGGTTGCAGTGAGCCGAGATCGCGCCATTGTACTCCAGCCTGGGTAACAGGGCGAGATTCCATCTCAACAACAACAAAAAAATAAAAAAGAAAGAAAAAAACCATCTTGCCTAAAAGTGTCTATTTTTATCATACAAAAACATTCCCAGTCTATATACTTCTGAAGGTTTCTGTACAAAAGCTACAAATACCATGGAAACACCTACGATGCCCAAATAGTTGCAACAATGCCCACGCCAATAATAAAAAGGTCAATTACAGAGAACCAGAGTCACACAGCAACGCGCATAGACGAGGGTGAGGTGACTGCAGCAGCCCAGGACAAGCACTGTGGTGAGTGCAGGCAGTCCCCTTGCTCTTCTTGGCTGTCTCAGCTGAAGCGTGTGCTGTGGGACTGGCCAGAGGGGAGGGGCTGCATTCTCTTCAGCAGCACAAGTGTCTCAGCTGGGGCTGCAGGATGGAGGTGGATGGGCACTGTGCATTGGCATGGCAAAGCTAGGCTCCTGCAAGTTTCCATCCACAGAAGAGCAAGGCAGGTCTCATTTTGTGACCAGGAGAGGGAGGTACTCTGGCTGGGCAGAGGAATGGGAGTAGATAGGACATAGCTTCTGTTTTCTGCCACAACCCATGGCTTGATTTAGCTTCTGGAATGACTGAGCATCAGACAGAGACTGATGGTGTGCACTCTTTTGTGGGTCTCTGGGTACAAACCAAAGCCTAGCACTGGGCAGGGGGTTGTCCCCTCTCTGCCATGCAGAAGCTGCAAGACTGTGGATGGGTAGCTTTAGTGCCTGGCACAGAGCCCTAGGCTGGGACAGTGACCCTGGTGTTCTTGCGGTACCGGGGTAAGTGCCTGTCAGACACCTGCACATTAGGACCTGGCAAAGGAGGAAGGAACGGTGCCCCGTGCTGCCCTGGGAGGGAGCAGGGAGGGGCTCTTTGAGGGCATCTCAGAAATACTTGTGGGAACTTTCAAGGGGGCAAATTTCTGGTAGTCAGGCTGCAGGGAATTTGAGCTGGCACATCTCACAAAGATGGCCTGATTTTGTGGGTTCCTGGGGCTTGGAAGGCTCTGACCTGCACTTGGGGGGAGAGAAAGGAGGCAACATCGCAAGACCTCATCTCGTTTAAATAAAAAAGAAAGAATGGATGTTGACTGATCATCAGATGTGGAAGAAAGTGGGCCAGATGCGCCCACATATGTGATGCAATTTATATTTTATCTAATAGTGCAGGTGGGTTTGATATCTTCAGCTTACAGATGGGGAAACTGAGTCTTAGAGAGGTTGAGCAGCTTGCCTGAGCGGTCAGAGATGCTGTCAGAAGAGCAGCATCCCAGGGGACATTTCCAGATGAGAGAGATGAGAAAGGGGTTGGAGGTGGTGGGTGGGGGATCCCCGGACTCTCTAGCTGGATGATAGTGAGATCCCGGAGGAGGACAGGCACAGAGCCAGGGGGCTGCCAGCCCAGGGCAGAGAAGGCAGTCAGAGACGCTGTGGCAGACGCAAGCCACTCGGGCTCAGTGGGTGGGTAGGGTGGTGTGAAACCTGGCATTTGGGGCGTCTACCTCCTGGAGGACAGGAGGTCCGCCCCCTGGGGCTATGGTGGACTGAGAGGTGGGAGGGGGGAAACTGGCACTGGCTATCTCTGGGCAAGGTCCAGCCGCCACTGGCCTCTCCCAGGCATGGTCCCAAACCACATGTCTGGAGACTTGAAAAGGGTAAAAGCCAATGCCAGTCTCGGTCAGAATCTCAGTGTGCAGAAGGGAGTGCCGTGGCAGCGCTGGGGAAGAGGCCCAAGCTTAAGGGAAGGAAAGCGAAGACTGAGCCCAAGCACCCACCCTGTCTCCAACCACCCGCCAGCTGGGGCCAGCAGGGACATCATGACTCCCACCCCAGACACCCGGTTCTTCCCAGCTCCCCGGCAAGCACCAGGTTGTAACCCCTCCCCCAGGCCCTTGCTGTCCAGGGCTGGGGGGCCCTGGCACTAGTGGAGCTGGGTTCTATCTTCTCCCAACTACTTCATTCCAACCAGCCCCAACTTCCTGAAGCTAGGTTCTTCGACATTCCTCTCGCCTTGTTTTGGGCAGACTTCCCAGAATCACCTGGCATGGGCTTTGCCCCACTCCCCAGCAGTCTCTGCACTCCCTTCTAAATCACCCCTTTCTCTGAGTTCATAGCCAACACCCTCTTTGCTGTGAAAGACCTGAGCCTGTTGCCTCAGACAACTGCCTTTGAGCACTGGAGCCACCTTGCCCATGGGGAGATCTAGGAGAAACCTGGGAGGTCTACATTCCCTGTGCCCACCCAAGATAGCCAATGGGGGCCTGGAGTACACATGTAAAAGCCCAGTTTCTTGCCTCCCTGCAGGACAAACTTGGAGGTGTAATTTACACTCCACAGCTCCTTGTGGAATCAGGCCATCCTCCCCAGGCTGGGTCCCTGCCTACCCCCTGCCTACCCACCAGCAGCCCTGCCTACCGCACCCTCTGCTGGGGAAACCCTCATGCCAGGTCAACTCTCAGACATGGGCATCCACTTAGGCCTTATCCCCCATGAGCTGGGATTCCCACTGGGATGTTGAGATCATCAGGTCCCCAAATCTCTGCCATTCACTCCCTAGTATCTGTGCCATGGGAGTCAGGCCCATGCTTTCCTTGAAGATTCAAGCAGCTTAGAAAGTGCTTTGAACCCCTCACATCAAAGGAGCTCAGGATGGAGGGCTGGAAAATTGACAGCTTTGGCTGATACTGAAATGACAGCTCTGAAGTCTCTGTTAATGTCACCAGGATCAGAGCAAGGGGACAAGGATGACAATGCTCTCCATCAGCAGGTGCTCTGGGTATTTGGATGGTGGAACCCTCATCTGGGAAACTCAGGTCCACAATTAAGAATCCAGGACAGGATGCGTCCTTGATCACTAGAGTCACAGCTGACAGCTAGAAACTGTGCCTCATACCTGGCATCACAGTGAGCTTTTCAGTTCACTATGGGAAAGGTTTCTGCACTTTCTCCAAGAGCTTAGGTGCACTGGAGAAGCCCAGAGGAGGAGGAGGGGTGCTGTGGCAGAAGGGCCCTTCCCTGCTGCAGGGCTTTGCAGCCACGTCCTTGTAGCACCTTGCACTAGAGCGTGATGAATCTGTGTCTCTGCCCCACTGATGTTGGGCTTGGCCACATGACTCTGGCCAAGCCAGTGCAATGTGGGCAAAAGCACCAGTTCTGAGCTGAGGGCTTTAAGGGCACATTGAGTTTCTACTCGCCCTCCTGGGCCCCTGCAATCTGCCATAAGAAAGGATGGCCAGGAAAACTCCAGCCCTTCAGCCTGGCCCAGGAATGAGGATGTTAGGCACAGACCTGGACATGATTAGAAACCTGGAGTCCAGCCTGGTTCAGCTGAGTCCAAGACAGCCCAACTAGATTAGCCAACCACAGCAGACCTGCAGACCCAGGAGTGGAAAGTCAATGTTTGCTGTCATTAAGTATTGAGATTTGAGGCTGTTTGTTATGCAGCAAACACTGACAGATACAAGTGTGGTGGGAAAAATAAACTTTCCCCCGGGGTCTTCCTCTTATTGAAACTTCATGACATACTTATCTTCATTAACCCATGGGGAAGCTGAGGCTGCGAGAGATAAGGCAACTTGTCCAATGTCACACAACTTGTTTTATCATCAGTATCTGCCAATAGGGACAAATCGTCAAGTTCCACATGCTCATTCCCATAGCGACTGCTCTCTGACCTCCCAGTGGCCACTGTCCCTTCATCTCATCCCCTGTGCAGGCCTTCGGGCCTCTTTGGACCCCACCATCTCTCCAACAAGCCAGAACCCCACTGTGGCCCCCCAGAGCCACTCTCTCCCTGGCACCCTCCACTTGCTGGCAGCCTGTCCTCCTGTGGCCCCTGTCCTCGAAGCTACTCGTCAAGATCCGCCCCACGATCACCTGCTGCCCTGGGCAGGGCTGAAGGAAAGCAGAGCTGGTGGTGCAGCAGCCAGCAGGCGGCCCGCTTGCGGTCACTACCCTCTTACCCTTCCCTTCCCCTCTGGCTCTCTTCCCCCCGGCTCAGCCCCCGGCATCAGGGACCAACACAGACCCAGGCCCTGCCCACAGTCCAGCAAAGGAGCAAGACACAGAACCATAAACAACTAAGAAAATATGACCAGGTGCAGAGGCTTGTGAAGAGAGGACAGTAGCTTGGGAGGGTGCTCCGGGAGACTCAGCCTGGTGGATCAGGGAAGGATTCACCAAAGAAGCTACTCTGCAGCTGAGATGCTCCTACTTCAGGTGAATAGGAGGTGGTGGGGCAAAGAGACAGGGAGCACCCTGGCGGGCGAAGGGAGCGGCACTGGCAAAGCACAGGTGTAGATAGAAATGACGGTTTCCAACCATAGCCAGGTTCTTACAGAGAGCGCAGCTGCTGTCCTACCCAGTTCCCTGGGACCCACTGACCGCCCCCCTGCTCCCATCCCCACTTCTGGGGGCTCTGTTGCTTTGCTGCCAAAGACCTAAGCCTGGTGCCTCAGACGACTGCCCTTGGGCACTGGAACCACCTCACCTATGGGGAAATCCAGGAGAAACCCGGGAGGTCCACATTCCCTATCCCTACCCAAGACAGCCAATGGGGGCCTGGAGTACATGTGCAAAAGCCCAGTTTCTTGCCTCCCTGTGGGACAAATTTGGAGGTGCAATTTATACTCCACAGCTCCTGTGAGATCAGGCCAGAGGTGAGACTTCACCTGAAACCACACCTGGTTTCCCCCTCTTCCCTGTCCTTTGTCCCCCACTCCCTTACTGGTTTCTCCTGGGAGCCCTTCTTTCATGAATTACTGGTACCAAGGCCTAGGATCTGCTTCTGGAAGAACCTGACCTATGGCGGTCAGCTCTCAAAATCAATCCTTGCACTTGTCCATCTCAAGCCTGTCCTCAACAGCTGACCAAACGATTCACCGTCAAGTCCTCAACTCAAGCCTCTCAGCACTGGGAAAGAATTTGGACCCCCCAACTTTATAGAAGAGCTGATCAGACATGAAAACCTTAGCTTCCTCTTCCTCTTCCTCCCCAACCATGGCCCATGAGGACCACGACCATCCCTCCCTGAGCCTACCCCCCATGGCTTCAGCACACTTCCGACCTCACCTTCTGTTTGCCCTGATCAGTCCCAAATCCTGCTCTTTAGCAGGGCCTCTGTCCCGTGAGTCCCTGAACCAGCTAGAGGGGATACCAGGGTGCCCTAAGTGTGACCGAGCATGCAAAGAAGCCTCAGCATTGAAGATGAAATGCATTGTGCATTTACCTCAGTGTTGGAAATGAATGAAGAAAAGGATGAATATTTTTTGAGTACTCAAACAGCTTCACTTAAGTTTCTGTTAGTCTTCCTATTTTACAGATAAAGAAATGGGGCAAGGCAGGCAGATCACTTGAGGTTAAGAGTTCAAGACCAGCCTGGCCAACATGGTGAAATCCCATCTCTACTAAAAATACAAAAATTAGCCAGGTGTGGTGGTGCGCACCTGTAATCCCAGCTACTTGAGAGGCTGAGGCAGGAGAATCACTTGAACCTGGGAGGCAGAGGTTGCAGTGAGCCAAGATTACACCACTACACTCCAGCCTGGGCGACAGAGCAAGACTATGTCTCAAAAAAAAAAAAAAAAAAAAAAGGCAGGGCACAGTGGCTCACACCAGTAATCCCAGCACTTTGGGAGGCGGAGGCAGGTGGATCATTTGAGGTCAGGAGTTCGAGACCAGCCTGGCCAACATGGTGAAACCCCATCTCTACTAAAAACACAAAAATAAGCCAGGCATGGTGGTACATGCCTGTAATCCCAGCTACTCGGGAGGCTGAGGCAGGAGAATTGCTTGAACCTGGGAGGTAGAGGTTGCAGTGAGCCGAGATCATGCCACCACACTCCAGCCTGGGCAACACAGCAAGTCTCTGTCTCCAAAAAAAAAAAAAAAAAAAAAGAACTACTTTTCTGAGAGAACACCCTAGCACTGGGCAGATCACCCCCTCGGCAGGCAGCCAGGATACAGAAGGGCCAAGTGACTTGCCCTGGAAGTGGCAGAGGCAGGACTTGAACCCAGATCTCAGGTTCCTTCCTCTAAGTTCTACGCTCCTGGACTCTGAAAGATTGCCGTTCTCCAATCTCTCTGCCTGTGTGTTCTGGTGCCTTTGACATGAGGCAAGCCTGCCTTGAGCTCCATTCCAAGGGCCTAGTTACTGGTGCAAAGCCCTCCCGTCTCTCTCAACATCTGTGCTGGATAGAGAAACCCAGGAACATAGACCAGGACAGCCATTGTGGAGAATAATCAGGTACAATTTAGGCAAATTAAATATGAGCATATGCTATGACCCAGCAACTTCACTCCTGGGCATATACCCCAGGGCTCACTTTGACAACCCACCTATATGGGTTGTCATTCTTTGTGCAGCAGAGATTTGCAGGGAACCTGGATGCCCATCACTGGGACAGTGGACAAGTAGTGTGGTCAAGGCATACATGGGGTGTTTTGCAGCAGCCAGAAGCAAGAGCTTGCTGTGCACGCAGCAGCATGGAAGATCCTTTGGTGAAAAGGGGGAACACAGAATGAAAGCTATGATATGACTTCAGTCAATTTAAAATGCATGCACCCAAGACAACAATAGTGTTTTGTAAGAACATATTCAAATAAAAAGACACCCATTCAAATGGTTTCCTAGGAAGGGGAGTGTTATACAAAGTGCAATATGGGGACAGAAGGGATTAAAACAGTTTGTAAAGTCATGGCTTTGTAGTGAGAAGGCGCTGTGGTTTTTTGGTTGTTTTTTTTTTTTTTTGAGACGGAGTCTTGCTCTGTCGCCCAGGCTGGAGTGCAGTGGCGTGATCTGGGCTCACTGCAAGCTCCGCTTCCCGGGTTCATGCCATTCTCCTGCCTCAGCCTCCCGAGTAGCTGGGACTACAGGCGCCCGCCACCACGTCCAGCTAATTTTTTTTGCATTTTTAGTAGAGACGGGGTTTCACTGTGTTAGCCAGGATGGTCTCGATCTCCTGACCTTGTGATCTGCCCGCCTCGGCCTCTCAAAGTGCTGGGATTACAGGCGTGAGCCACCGAGGCGCTGTGGTTTTGATCACATAGCCTGACTATGAAAGACCGGTTCTTAGCTCTGCTGTGGCTTCTCTGATTTGAGCTGAATTAATTGCCAAAACATTCTGTGCCTCAGTTTCTTCCTCTCATTCTGGCCCATGGGGAAAATCACGAAATGTGAAACTTGGTGTGAGTGAAGCAGGCGAGGTGTGGGACACTAGGGAGAGGCGGGGACTGGGGCCCATGGGGGAAACACCCCTTCAAAGGCAGCAGCTTCCAGTTAGCTCCAGTTACAGCATCATGGGGTAACACAGGCCTTGGGTGCTAGAATTTTAAATTTTTCAGAAGGTAAAAGTCCAGATTCCTAGATGAAATCTCCGATTTTTTAATGTTTGTGACTAAGTTTTAAAACACCATGTCAGCTACGAATGTCAATCTTAGCTCCACGACCAACTGGTTGTGCGATCTAGAGTACAGTATCTAACTCTCTGAGACCAAACCAGTTTCCTTGGCCGTGAATGAAGATTTCAAGACCTACTTGCCCAAGTGGTTTAACGAACTAACAGAGCCCGGGGCGTGGCTCCCAGTCAGTGAGAGCCACGGTCATCATGCAGCACCTGCTCTGCTAACTGTGCTAATGGACCAGCAACTCCCATTTCTCAGATAAATAAACTGAAGCTCAGAAGAATGGGCAGTTTGACCCTGATCACACAGTCAAGGAAGCAGACCAGGCAGGTAGAAAAAACATCCTTCCCAAACCTGATCACAAGGAAGAGGTAAAACTGATTAACTTATAAATAAGTTAATATAATATAATGTAATTATAAATATAATATAAATAAATATAATTTATAATAAATAAATATATTTATATTATATATAATATATATTATTTATATAATATGCAATTACTACTTATATAATATGTAATATATAATATCTATTATATGTTATATATTTAATAATAATATAATATATAATTATATATTATAATTATTTAATAATTAATTGATTTTAATAATGTTATATGACATATATGTCATTATTAATTATAATATAATATATGATATATCATTATTAATTTATAAAATAACTTATAAATAAGAGTTTGGGGATTAAAAGAGCTCTAAATAAAAAGAAGTGATTATTAATCTGTCTGACTCCTAACAGGTGTGACAGGAGTCTCTAATAAAGACGTCTACAGTCCTAGAGGCAGGCAGACCTCGCCAGGACTTGGCAGATGTGAGCTGATAACACACATGCCCATGGGGTGCTGGCACTGGCTCCTACAGGCTCAAATCCCAGTTTTCCAGGAACCCCAAGAGCTGGTTGTGAATGCAGCCACTCTGGTGGGAGCTGTGGTTAGAGTGTCTCCACGGTAGAAATAGGCAAACACTACAAATCACGGGCTTGTTTTCTTCCCTGGAGAACTGGTTGTCCAAGGTTTACCATGGCATGTGGTCCAGTGACATTGACCCTTTTGGCAAAATCATCCCTTCAGTCCCCAGAGACCAGACCTCCTGATACACCCGCCTTCCCTTCTGCATGGCCCCCATCTCCAGAAAGCAAGTTTGGATCAGGAAGAAATGCAGTTAGCACAAGATGGTGAATGACTCGTTGGGGGCACACGGAGGGGATTACCGTTCAGTGAGGAACACTGAAAGATGGCAAAGGGCCAGACCACGACAGGAAGCTTCCGCCTTCTTTGAGGGGTAGGTGAGATTGTCTGAAACCAAGAAATGCCAGAAAGGGACAGTAACAGTGTTCTGGGTGGCAAGTGCAGTGACAAAAGTGAGCCCTCCAGCTCCCCAGTGGGGCCCACCCTGCCCTCTGGGGAAAGGAGGCTCTAACAGGAGCAGACAGGTCACACCTGCAAAGGAACTGAAAGTCACTGCTCTGAGGAACTGGGACCAAACCCCAAGGCAGAAAACAGGCTGTGACGACCCCAGCTTCCGTAGAACCAAGCCTCATCCCAGGGAAGAGAGAGAGCTCTGGGTGAGCGAGCTCAACCGGGGGTGCCCATGAGTCCATGGGGGATGCTGAGAGGAGAGAGCCAGGACACCTGAGGGCAGGCCAGGGGGAATTCTGATTGTCACCGGGAGTAACGTGGGCTGTTTTGGAGTTTACAGTGTAGTGAGCTTGACGTCCACCCCAGGCAAGAGGCTAGATGAGATTACTAACAGCATGATCTGTGAGGAGAGGCAAAGCAGGTGCTGGGCCTGGGAACCAGCAGGAGGTCACTGGGAACACACCAAGTCAACTAAACCTGTTTACCAGTGTGTGGTTGCTGGCCTCACAAGTTGGGTAATTAGTTGCGTCTGATGAATATCATAGCTCAGTGGCCTACAGCAGTCAGGCGGGTGATGTAAATGAGTGGAACAGGCTGCGAGTGAGGCGACAGGGCGAGGTGGGGATGGTGACACATCAAAGAGAACTGCCCCATTGAAAGGGAATGCTTCCACTCTGATATGGTTTGACTGTGTCCCCACCCAAATCTCATCTTGAATTGTAACTCCCACAATTCCCACGTGTCGTGGGAGGAACCCGGTGGGAGGTGATTGAATTATGGCGGCTCTGTTCTCGTGATAGTGAATGGGTCTCATGAGATCTGATGGCTTTAGAAATGGGAGTTTGACTGCACAAGCTCATTCTTCTCTTGTCTGCCACATGAGATGTGCCCTTCACCTTCCGCCATGATTGTAAGGCCTCCCCAGCCACGTGGAACTGTGAGTCCATTAAACCTCTTTCTTTTGTAAGTTGCCCAGTCTTAGGTATGTCTTTATCAGCTGCGTGAAAACAGACTAATACACGCCCCACCCCAGCTACATCACTGTGGAATAATCAAGGGTATCAGATCTTCAGATTTTTCAAGGAAAGCTGAAAATCCAGATTATTATGTAGAAATCTCTGAATTTTTAAAAATGCTTGTAACTGGTTCATAATTTTTAAAAATATGGGTTGGGTGAACAGAACACTAAATCCAACATAGGGGCCACCAGATTGTGATCTTTAATCTGATATCTATAGGTTTCCATAAAGCATTTTATGGGGTTCATTTGTGATTTTGTTGTTGTTGAAGAGCACAGGGAGAGAGATGGGCCTGGCTGAGGCCACACCAGTGTCAGTCCAGACATAGGCGTCTGTGCTGTTGGTTCCTCCTTTCATTCACATCAGCAATTCAGATAAGGATCCAGGAGGCAGGCCTTCCAATGTGGGGCTGCCATCCAGCTAGGAGGATGGCACACATGCCAGGTGCTAGAGCCAGGATGAAGCTGACCTCAATGGTCTGGAGTAACGGGCTGGTGTAGCCATGGGAAGTTTAGGACAAAACAATCTAAAGTTCCAAGTCTCGGCTGGGCACGGTGGCTCACACGTGTGATCCCAGCACTTTGGGAGGCCAAGGTGGGTGAATCACCTGAGGTCAGGAGTTCGAGACCAGCCTGGCCAACATAGCAAAACCTCGCCTCTACTATAAATACAAAAATTAGCCAGACATGGTGACGCACACTTATAATCCCAACTACTCCGGAGGCTGAGGCAGAAGAATTGCTTGAACAAGGAGGCGGACGTTGCAGTGAGCCAAGATCGCACCACTGCCCTCCAGCCTGGACGACAGAGTGAGACTCTGTCTCAAAAATAAATAAATAAATAAATAAATAAATAAAAATAAAGTTCCAAATCTAGCTTAGCAGGAGCACATGTGAAAAAGACGATGGCATTTTAGTCGATGGCAAATACATTGTGAAGCTGGATCGCTGAATGGGCGCCCCCTGGTGCCACTGTCTGTGAGACTGCACTCGTGGAGGGGCGCCCGGTGGGAGGGTCAGTCCACTCTGCAGGCCTTGGGTTCTGAGACCCCCATTAGGAAGGACAGGCACCAGGTTGAGTGTGTCATGGGAGGTGGATCTGGGATGGCCTGGGGTTAAGAGGGGCGTGCGGAATGGCTGAAGTAACCCAGAGGGTTTGGCCTGAAGAAACCTCAAGAGAGACCTGCCTGGTTTTTCAAACAGTTGAGGCTTCCATGTATCTCCTGAGGGGAGAACCGGGATCCAGGAGTGGATTTTATAGGAGGCCGATTTCTGCTCTATTCAAGGAACACGTTAAAGAAGACCAGAACTATCTAGAGATATACAGGTTGTGGCCTGAGAGTTTCCTGGTGTCTGGCCCTGACCACGCCTCCAGCACCACGTCTCACCAAAGAGGAGCCTCGCAGTGGGTTGAGCTGGCTCAGAAGACCCTGTGGCTCACCACTGGCTAAGTTTTCCAGCTCCTATCCACGGTGCTGGTCCCATTTGGGCACCATTCGGTGAGTGCCCATCTCCCAGCACTCCTGTTGCACTCCTTGTCTTTGACTTGCATCCTCCTCCTGGAGCAGAAACATCCTTGGAAATCGGAAGTGAGACAACCAAGGCCGGGTGCAGTGGCTCATCCCTGTGATCCCAGCACTTTGGGAGGCTGAGGCAGGTGGATCACTTAAGGTCACGAGTTCGAAATCAGCCTGGCCAACATGGTGAAACCCTGTATTTTAAATCTACTTAAAATACAAAATTTAGCCAGGCATGGTGGCGCATGCCTGTCATCCCAGCTACTCAGGAGGCTGAGGTGGGAGAATTGCTCGAACCTGGGAGGTGCAGGTTGCAGTGACCGAGATCGCGCCACTGCACTCCAGCCTAGGCGACAGAGTGAGACTCTGTCTCAAAAAAAAAAAAAGAAATGAGACAACCAAAAGCACCATGCCACTGATCTGCAGCATTGCACGGCGGGTCCCAGCCAGCACAAAACAGATCAGAACAACTCCCCTGTCCCTAAATGAGTTGCATTGGAAGGAACAGACTGTCTGCCATTATTTGCACAAAACAAGATCATTTACCTAGGGAAGCCAAAAGAATAAATTCAGAAACTATTAAAATGAATAAGAGAATTCAGACAGATATTTAAGAGTACCCTACCGAAACTATCACTTTCCTAGATACCCACAAAACCTAACCAGAAAATGTCATGATGGAAAAGGAAGATTCTGTTTGCAAAGGTAATTAAAGCTACATCACACTCAGTAACAGAGCAGGTTTAAGAACTATATGGAGAAAGCAGAAAAAAGATATAAAAGAAAAGCTGAATAAATGGAGAGAGAAACCATGATCTCAAATTGAAGGACTTGATGTTATAAGAACATAAGTTATTTATAAATTAACCTATTAATTACATGTAATTGCACAAAATTCTAACTGGGATTTTTTCAGAGAACTTGACAAGCTGATTTTAAAAATCACCTGGAAAAGAAAATGCATGGCAAGCAAGGACTAATGAGAATAATAAATGGGAACTTAGTCTGCCAGATAAGGAAACACACAAGAAAGCCACCTCGATTAAACCTATGCAGCTGGGTCAAGAGTAGATTAATCTATCAATGGAACAGGAGGAGGCGTTTCAAATCAGATTAGGACTATGGGGGAAATTAGCACATGATATAATGGCATTGTGAATCAATGGGAAAAGGATGGGCTATTTAATACGGTGTTGGCTATCCATTTGGACGGTGAAGTTATAGTCCCTATTTTATACCAAACATAAAAATAAATAAAGAGCTAAACATAAAAACACATTAAAAATTGTTAGAAGAAAATAGCATTTTCCCTAAATAAATAATATTGGGATGGGTGATTCACAAAACTCAGAATCCGTAAATGAAAACATTTGACTACCTAATGGTTTTAAACTTCCACATGACAAAACGCACCATAAACAATGTTTAAAAACATTGCAGGCTGGAGAAAATATTTTCATATAACTTACCCCCAAAATTAATATACAAAACATATAAAGGGTTTTTAAAATCGGAAATATTTTTAAAAAGGAAAAAATGGAAAAAGAATATAAATAGGCAATTGACAGGAAAAGAAACACAAATGGTGAATGCATATATGAAAATAGGCTCAGTGTCATTTCTTTTGAGATGGGATCTCGCTCTGTCACCCAGGCTGGAGTGCAGTGGTGTGATCTCGGCTCGCTGCAACCTCCGCCTCCCAGGTTCAAGTGATTCTCCTGCCTCAGCCTCCTGAGTAGCTGGGGTTACAGGCATGCGCCACCACGCCTGGCTAATTTTTGTATTTTTAGTAGAGTTGGCATTTCACCATGTTGGCCAGGCTGGTCTCGAACTTCTGACCTCTGGTGATCCGCCCAGCTCTGCCTTCCAAAGTGCTGGGATTATAGGCATGAACCACCACGCCTGGGTCATTAGTGTCATTTCTAATGAGAGAAATGCAAAATAAAATATTGCGATCACATATTTCACTCATTGTCTGCTGAAAATTACAGGCACTGGTAATGTCCAGAATTGAGATGTGTGAGCATCATGAGGACCAAGAGACACTGGGTGAGAAGGTCACTCGGAAGAGCCCCGGGCAAAGCAGTTTGGCAGTATTTTACAATCATATACGCATTCCTTCAACCCAGTAATAGTTTTTCTTGGAGAAAGCTTGTATGCACAGTCACAAGCAAGCCTTGCTTATTGTAGCATCTGTCTTTTGTAGTGAGAACAACAAAAAAGAAAATCATCTATGTATCCATCCATTATCGTTCAACTGTTAAAAAGCACAAAAGATGCATGAATGAACTTGGATCCATCTCACGGACAGATTGCTAAGGGAAGAAAGCAAATCGCAGAACAGTGTATACGGTATTATCCTATTTACAAAAACAAATATAAATATATAAAACATTTGAAAACAGTATCTGAGAAACTGTCAACAGTGGGACTAGGGTGGGGGATTTGCAGGACATTAGGGTTACCAATAGGAGAAGGGGATCTCTATTTCCTATGTATTTCCTTTGGTACTGTTTTAATTTTTTTTTGACCAAGCTGAGATATAACTTTTAAATGTAAAAAAAAAATTATTTTAAAAGTTCTATCTCCATTTTGGGAAGCCAAGGTGGGAGGATTGCTTGAGCCCAGGAGTTGTTTTTTTTTTTTTTTTTTTTTTTTTTTTGAGACAGTTTCAATCTTGTTGCCTAGGCTGGAGTCCAGTGGCTCGGTTCACTGCGACCTCTGCCTCCCAGGTTCAGGCGATTCTCCTGCCTCAGCCTCCCAAGTAGCTGGGATTACAGGTGCCCACCACCACCCCCTCCAGCTAATTTTTGTATTTTTAGTAGAGATGGGGTTTTACCACGTTGGCCAGGCTGGTCTCGAACTCCTGAGCTCAGGTGATCCACCCGCCTCGGTCTCCCAAAGTGCTGGGATTACAGGCGTGGGCCACTGCGCCTGGCCAAGCCCAGAAGTTTAAGAACAGCCTGGGCAACACAGTGAGATCCTATCTCTAAAATACAAGTTCTATCTCAACACTCTTATGTATGTGCAATCTTGTGTATATAATCTATCCCTTAAACAAAAACCAAAAACTATCCTACAACAATATCACCCTGCAACTTTTTTATTAATGTTTGAAATCTTTCCAACTCATTACACACAGCTCTACTTTAATTTTTTAAGCAGCTGCATAGTCTTCCATTGGCTGGACCACAGTGTATTTAAGCAGTTCCCTCTTCATCATGGTTAGGTTGAATGCTAACCTAGGCAACATGAGGTTGTTTGTTAGGATTCTTCTTTGACCCCTATTTGAAATAATGCTGCAGTGGGTGTCCTCGTATATATATCTTTGTCCATGTGACTTGTTGGACAAATTAGGGGTGGGAGAACATTCCTCACTGCACCCAGACATTACGGATGTTGATAGACATTGGCAATTTGCCCTCCAGAGCATTTGTCGGCATTTGCACTCCCTCCCGTGGTGAGTGAGACTGACTGCCATTCCCCCAACCCACACATGGTCTTCAAACCCTAATGTGCATCAGGATCACCTGGGGATCTTGTTCAAACGCTGATTCTGAATTCCCGGGTCTGGGACCTGATTGTCCACATTTCTAACAAGCTTCCAGGTGATGCTGATCTGCTGGCCTGTGGACCAGACTCTGAGCAGCAAGGTTCTAGAGCAATGATGCCCAGTGAAAATGTAATGTGAGCCTTATATACAATTTTAAATTTTCCAGCAGCCAGATTTTAGAATTTTTTTTTTTTTTTTTTTTTTTTTTTTTTGGGATGGAGTCTTGCTCTATTGCCCAAGCTGGAGTGCAGTGGGGCAATCTCAGCTCACTGCAACCTCTACCTGCCGGGATCAAGCATTTCTCCTGCCTCACCCTCCGGAGTAGCTGGGACTACAGGCATGCACCACTAAGCCCGGCTAATTTTTGTAATTTTAGTAGAGACGGGGTTTCACCATGTTGGTCAGTCTGGTCTCGAACTCCTGACCTCAAGTGATCTGCCTGCCTTGGCCTCCCAAAGTGCTGGGATTACAAGCATGAGCCACCATACCCAGCCTGGGAGTTTTTAAACATCGGGATAAAATCAATTTGATGAATGTATTTTATTTAACCCAATATATCCAAAATATTAAGATTTCAATGTGCAATAAAATTATCATGAGATATAGGACATTCTCTTTTTTGGGGGGGGAGGGGGTGTATTCTAAGTGCTCTGTGACCCCATGTGGCCTGTGGCTGCAGCACTGGCCAGCACAGCTGTAGAGAATCTCTTGGGCTCTACCAGGCAGGGGACCACGGCAACATCTGTTTCTCAGACTCCAGGGAGAAGCACAGGGAAAACGGGCCAGGAGGCAGAAGAAGGGTGCTCAGGAGGCATGCATAGCGTGTTCTTCTGCCAAGGGAGTGTGGCCTGAAGCCACCACTGGGCAGGTGGCAGGAGAGAGCCAGTGGTGGGACCAGCTCTGGACGTCATCACATTATTATTGACAAATTTTTGCAAATCTTTTCACCCCAAAATTGAAGACTGTCCATCTCTACCATCTCTAACAAATGCCTCATTGAACACTTGATGAGCTTAACATAAAGTCTTTTTTTTTTTTTTTTGGAGACAGTGTCTCACTCTGTCGCCCAGACTGGAGTGTGCAGTGACGTGATCTCAGCTCACTGCAACCTCAGCCTCCCAAGTTCAAGCGATTCTCATGCCTTAGCCTCCTGAGTAGCTGGGATTATAGGCAACTCGCCACCATGCCTGGCTAATTTTTGAATTAGACAGAGACAGAGTTTCACCATGTTGGCCAGGCTGGTCTTGAACTCCTGACCTCAAATGATCTGCCTGCCTCAGCCTCCCAAAGTGCTGAAATTACAGGCATGAGCCACTGCACCTGGCCTTACCATAAAGTCTTGAAGACCATTTTTAAGATGTCAAATATATTCCAGACTCTAAAGTTACATTTTAGAGAAACATATCTACACTGATAGTTTCCCAAGAAGGAAGGCTTATTTCCATGTCAGGGGATTTTACTTCTGTTTTGTATTTTCAATTTGAACTTCCTCACCCTCACTACTGCCCTAAGAGAAAAAGCAGAAATTATCAATATTAATCTGCCGTAATCCTTCTCTGTCCAAAAAAAGAAAAGAAAGATTAGACAAGAGAGGAATGCAGTGGCCCATCAGACCACGTGAAGGAGACCCTGACTTCACAAAGCCCTCAGGTTGAAGTCTGCTTATTGTTCCATTTCTCTCAAGACACATTCTTTAATTTCTCTTTCTGTTTCTTCCTGGGTAACCATTTTTATCTTAGAGTCAAGATTCTTTCACCCATGCCTTTTTCATCCAGCGGAAATCTACTAAGCCCTGTCAGGGGCAACGTGTCAGGTGGGGCTGAGGAATGAAGATGGCTGTAGGGGTGCTGGGGGCTGGGGTGGGAGCACCCCTGGCTACGTGGGAGCCACTGACAGTGATGGGCCTGGGGCTCCTTGGCCTGTCTCAAGATGGAAGAAGGGACGGGAGATTGAGGGATAAAGGGATGCTGTTGGGAGCATCCAAGGCCTCCTCCACCTCCCACGTTCAATGTTTGCCTTTGAAATTGCCGTTTCCTTCTGCCACATGCAATTAAGGAAGCTCATCCCCTTGCTATTTCCATTTCCCCTTTCCTTCTCACCCCAAGCAAAGGTCCTGTATTTACATGCAGCTCCATTTAAACTCCTCCCCTTCGAGAATTTAACCACACATCTTTTGGTACCTCACACCCGTATAGATGGCATTCATCATTGCACAGGCTCATCAATGCTAAAAACCTGCCCTAATCATTATGTTTCAAAAGCCCTCATGGTTCCACTGGGCCCAGGAAGGCAAGCAATCTCCATTTTCCCCATTGCCCAGAGCCTATGAGGGATATTTTTATCCTTAATTACATATCCCTGAGACGCTCTTCTTTCCAGCTTGCTTCTTTTCTTTTCGTAAAACTCTTGAGGTACTCTGGGGAAGACAGAAGTGACAGCTGGCAGACCAGCCCAGAGTCCCCAGCCCTGGGAGCAGCCTGGAGAGAAGCTGCCTGAGGGGGCAGAGCCTGGGACGGCTCCCTGATAAGCCTGGCAGCTCGGGCCCCCAGTCACTCCGGCCGCCCGCCTGCCTCATCCCAGACCCAGCGCCAACCTCGCAGAGCTGATTATGAAACATTGGCCCTGAACGCCTACATCTTGGGAGGCTTTGCTAATCTTGTAGAATGAATCAGATAATTTCGGAACAGGAAAGCTTTGGGGGTCTCCACTCTCCTTCCCTCCTTGGCCTTTCCCACTTTGTTTGTATTGCAAATTTACTCCTTCATTCAATCATGCAGCAAATGTTTACTGAGCACCTACTCTGTGCCAGGCATCCTTCTGGTGCTACAGAGACAGTGGAGAGCAAGATGGACAAGGTCTTGGCTCTCGTGAGTCTTACATCCTCGTGGTGGAGACAGATAATAAATGAGTGAGTCAATACAGAATCAAGATAGTTGCTGCGGTAGAAAAAATAACGGCCTCCGCCTCCCAAGCCCTCCTTATCCCTGGAACCTGTGGCTGTTATGTACCATGGCCTGAGGGAGATAAGGTTGCTCATGTGCTGGCCTCGAGGTTGGGAGAGGATCCTGAATTATTCAGCTGTTCCCAATCTACGTTCAAGAGTCCTCATAAGGGGAAGAGGGAGGCAGAGAGTCAGAGCCCTAGAAACGGCATTATGAGAAAGACTTGATGGGCCATTACTGGTTCTGAAGACAGAGGAATGGGCCATGAGCCAAGGAATGCAGGTGACCCCTAGAAACCAGAAAAGGCAAGAACAGGGATTTTCCCCTGAAGCCTCTGGAAGGAGCTCAGCTCTGCCAACACCTTGACCTGAGCCCAGTGAGAGCTTCTGGACTTCTGGCCTGCACAACTGCAAGATAATAAATTGTGTTGTTTTAAACCCCTCTGTTTGCTGAAATTTGTTATAGTGGCAATGGAGACAAATCCCCTTGCAGACAGCGATAAGGGCTATGAAGAAAAAACAGGAGTGCTATAAGGAGCGGCTATGGGACAGGGCATGATATTAGATGGGAAGACCTGGGAAAAGGCCTTGGAGGAATCCTGTTGGCCAGTCAGCCACATAGTGACCTGAGGGACGGAGTCCCAAGCACAAGGCAGGGCAGGTGCCAAGACCCTGGGGCAGGAAGGAGTTTAGTGTCATAAGAGTAAGTATCTCCCCAGCACCTTCGTCAGGGGAGAAAGCAGTTCTATTGTCTGGTTTCCCAAGCAGCCAGTGGTATCTTTCTTGTAGACTTCCAAGTTACTTCTTTTTTTTTTTTTTTTCTTTGAGACGGAATTTTGCTCTTGTCACCCAGGCCAGAGTGTTGTGGCGCGATCTCAGCTCACTACAGCCTCTGCCTCCCAGGTTACAGCAATTCTTCTTCCCTCAGCCTCCTGGGTAGCTGGGATTACAGGTGTGCACCATCACACCCGGCTATTTTTGTATTTTTAGTAGAGATGGGGTTTTGCCATGTTGGCCAGGCTGGTCTCGAACTCCTGACCTCAGGTGATCCACCTGCCTTGGCCTCCCAAAGTGCTGGGATTACAGGCATGAGCCACCGTGCCCGACCCCAAGTGACTTTGAATCTGCTTGTTGGAATGTCCGTTTTCTCTCTTTAAAGGCTGGGACTATGTTCTCATGTTCTGTCCTTGTGTCTGTGTGAGGGCGCTGAGAACTCTTTTTAGGGTCTTCATAGCATATATTTGTGAGATGTTTGGATTTTGGAAAACACATTTCTCCATTTCAAGATTTCAGATCCTTTTTCCTGCCAGTCATGAAGGGCATAAATATGGGGGGGAGATGGGTTGGGCATCCTGATGGCCACCAGCCTGGCAGGGTCTCTTGACTCAGACAAGCCAGGAAGAGCAGAAATGAAAGAAGTACTCTTCCATGGCGAATCTCTTTATAAAAATCACTAACTGCTCATGTATGGATTAATTCAATATTTGAGAGAGAAATTTGGATTTTCCTCTCCTGGGGTTGCTCAAAATGAAATACAGTCTGCTAAGAACAGGGCAGACTAAAGTTAACCTCAAAGGTTTTGTGGGCACTGAGTGGTCAATAGAAGCCTCTTCTCAAGCCAGGTCCAGCTGGGCCTTTCATTCAGGGGATGGCGACGCATCCTCTGTCCTGTGCCCAAGGGCAGACACTCGGGCGACTGAGACCCTTGTTCTCAAGGCCTCCACAGCTCACTGGGGGAGACAGACACCGGGTCGCCTACCACCCCACAATGCGAGGATGTGGACGCTGGGCGGGGGGATTGTTTGGAAGCACAGAAGAGGGACTGGGCGCCTCTCAGAGGGTTCTTTGGAAGGCATGGCTGGGCCATTCATTTCCTCCCACTTGAGGGGAGCTCCTTGCACTGTAGAAGTTTCCTGAGACGCTTCTCCCTCAAGATGTAAAAATCTGGGGTTCAGAGTCTAATCTTGAAAATTGCTTGTCATTGGTCTCTAGACCGAACATCCTATGAAGGAGGGACTTTGAGGGTGGCTGTTGTTCAGTTCCCAATTAATATTCACTGAATAAATGAATGAGCTGCCGGGAATCTCTAAGCTGTCATTCTGACCCTCAAGGAATATAGTCAGGACATACGGCTATAACGCTCACTGGACTTGGCTTAAAAGTAGAGTCATCTTGGGTCTCATTCAGGAAGGATCATGACTCAAATACTGCAAAGCCCTTAGCTGGTTCCATACATAGCTGGGGAACCTCCAGTGGTTGGAGAAACAAAGGCCAGTAGCCTTTGTGTGAAGCTCACCCTCCAGCCCAGCGCCCCAGGCTGCAGGGCACAGAGCCACAGCATGGCTCCAATGACATCCCTCTTCTGTCACAAGTTTTATGAAACAGGCAAACAGTGTTATCTCATCTGAGCCTTTGTTTCCTTGAATTTAAAAATGGGAATAGTGATCATAGCAACAATAGTAGTAAACCCTTCCCCAGGATTAAAGAACACGGATGAAGTGCCTAGCTCCTGACAGGGGCTCAACAAAAGGCAACCAGGCCAGAAAGGGATGACAAGATAGGCCCCAGGTGGGAGTTGTGGGGCCTCCCGCTGGTCCCTCCCGTGTCCTCAAGGCTCTCTCTTGTCACCTGGTTGGGACCCCAGGCATCCACCCTCGCCCTCACCCCGCCTCTGTCTTCCTCAGTTATCCAAAGCAGCAGTGACGTATGCCCAGTGAGCAGGCACAGGACAACCCCTGACCCTTAAGGAATATAGTCGGGACATACGGCTGTAATGCTGTTACAGTTCTCAGTTCTCAGAGGATCCCAAGGCAGACAGGGTCTAGGGTCCCTACTTGGTGCCTCTGTCCTCCATGACCCTCGCGCCTGGGCCCCGATCGGGCAGTCAGGATTTCCAGGCACTTGTCCTCCTCTCCAAGGCCCCTTTGGATGGCCTTGCTGTCAATCCCAGGACACCTGAGTTTTTTGTGTCCCAAAGTCTCAGCCCTTTCTCCTTCCCCTGTGCCTGGTGTCCCCAGCTCTTGGCCAGTCATGGGCCGGGGCCTCTGCCCGGTGACCCCATGTTGGTGTCAGCGAGCTGACTGGCCTCTGTGCGTCCTCGCCATTTTAAAACAGTCATCCATGGAGTCACGTGTCAGACATGAGCTGCATGTTTACATAAACCATCTCTTTTAGTCCTCAAAATCTCCACAGGAGAGAAGTACTGCTGGCCTCCCACTGTTTCTGAGGAGGAAACAGAAGCTTGAGAGAAGAAACTGCTTCCCCGAGGGAACTAGGACATTACACCACCCTGAAGACCCGAGGAAGAGCCTTCTCTGGAAATGTGGCTGCTGGAACTTGTCTCGGGACATCTCGGGAAGCATCGGCAGCCTCACGTGGACGTCAAAAGGCAAGGCCTTTATGACCCAGGAGTGAAAATCCCAGGAAGAGGAGAAAGATGAACAGACAACAGGGCCAGTGAAACATGAAGATCAGCCAGGCAAGGCAGGCTTGCAACAAAATGAGAACCTTGGCGGGGCTGGTGGCTCATGCCTGTAATCCCAGCACTTTGGGAGGCTGAGGCGGGCAGATCACAAGGTCAGAAGTTTGAGACCAGCCTGGCCAACATGATGAAACTCCGTCTCTACTAAAAATACAAAAAATTAGTCGGGGGTGGTGGTGCATGGCTGTAATCCCAGCTACTTGGAAGGCTGAGGCAGGAGAATCGCTTGAATCCAGGAGGCAGAGTTTGCAGTGAGCCGAGATCTTGCCATTGCACTCCAGCATGGGGGCTAGAGCGAGACACTGTCTCAAGAAAAAAAAAATGAGGAGCTCAATTCAATGCTGAAATGAGGATCCACTTTGGAGGGAGCTACAGCAGAACTGAGTCCAGAAAAGAGAACCCGTCTCGAATGCAGAGGAAGTTGACCAAGGCATGAAAAGCAAGTCAATAGATAACGGCGGATCCTGTGGAGGACAAATTTAAGATTGATGACTACAGCAAGGGTGAGATAAATCATAATTTTAAGTGAAACCTGTAGCACTTTCTATCTTCTTAATGGTGGCAGAAGAGTTAATTCATTCAATAAGTATTTATCAAGCACTCACTACATGCTAGGAATAGTTCTAGTATAGATGATAAATAAGTCAATATAAAAATGTATATTTTCAAATACCTCAGGGCTGGGCATGGTGGCTCACACCTGTAATCCCAGCACTTTGGGAGGCTGAGGCGGGCAGATCACAAGGTCAAGAGGTCGAGACCATCCTGGGCAACATGGTGAAACCCTGTCTCTACTAAAAACACAAAAATTAGCTGGGTGTGGTGGCATGTGCCTGTAGTCCCAGCTACTCGGGAGGCTGAGGCAGGAGAATCACTTCAACCCGGGAGGCAGGGGTTGCAGTGAGCTGAGCCGAGATTGTGCCACTGCACTCCAGCCTGGTGACAGAGTGAGACTCCGTCTCAAAAAAATAAATAAATAAATAAATATAATATAAAATCAGGTAGTCACAAGTGCCACAAAGAAAAGAAAGGAGGGTAAGGGGTTAAAGAGCAACAGGTGAAGGGTGGGGTGACTATTTTTCTGGGGTGATCAAGTGAGGCCTCTCAGAAAGACTTTCTTCTATTTGGCAAACCCGAAGTGGCCTCTTGCAAATCTGACAGACACAATTAGACCCGGAAGCTGATCTCGAAGGGCAAAGTCAAGATGAGAAGCGAAACCATCCTGCAATAAGCAAGAAATCATGCCTCCCCAGTGCACAGACATTGTTAAAATACTGATTGATTTTTGTGCTTTTTCTGGTCAGGGTTAGAGAAAGAGATGTTGAGCCCAAGGATGTCTGACAGGAACATAAGTCATTAGGAATGTCTGGGACAGGGCTGGAGCAGGTCCCAGAAACACGACACAGGCTAAGGAGAAGGAAGACCCAGAGACTGTGTTGTCAGACCGTGGCTCATGGGCATTTGGTGCAGTGAAACTCGATATTCAATTTGAAATTTTCACTTTTCTGCTTTGAAATTCCCCTGGGATAGTTTAAACCTTTGTAAGTTAGGACACTTTTAGCTGTTAGAAAACCCTAACTCAACTAACTTGAGCAAAAAGAAATTAATTAACTCACAAAACAGAAAATCTAGAGGAGGGCAGATCCCAGGTTGCTTCATTCTGTTCAGCAAATTCAAGGGCATCATCCAGGACCCAGGTTCACTTCTCCTTTCCGTGTGTTGGCCTCACTCGCCAGCTACCTCTCCTCATGGTTACAAGGCAGCAGCAGAGACCCAGCTATCACATCCTATGGCAGCTTCCAAAGGTAGGAAAGAGGCTATCTTGGCTGGGTGCGGTGGCTCACACCTGTAATCCCAGCACTTTGGGAGGCCAAGGCGAGCAGATTACCTGAGGTCAGGAGTTCGAGACCAGCCTGACCAACATAGTGAAGTCCCATCTCTTCTAAAAATACAAAAATTAGCCCGGCATGGTGGCAGGTGCCTGTAATCCCAGCTACTTGGGAGGCTGAGGCAGGAGAATCACTTGAACCCAGGAGGCGGAGGTTGTGGTGAGCCGAGATCATGCCATTGCCCTCCACCCTGGGCAACAAGAGCGAAACTCTGTCTCAAAAAGGAAAGAAAGAAAGAAAGAAAGAAAGAAAGAAAGAAAGAAAGAAAGAAAGAAAGAAAGAAAGAAAGAAAGAGGCTATCTTATCCCTATGTCTGTTTTTAAGACAAACAGACCTTTACTAGAAGCCCACAAAGCCCTTCTCTTCACATCTCATTGGTTACACTTGCATCCCATTCCCCAGTCTAAACTTATCGGCTACATGGTGCATGTTGATGTTAGTTCTAGACCGCTTTGGGTAACAAAGACAGGAAACAGGCCCATGATCTGGGGCAAGGTGAACCAGAAGGCTCTGGAACATGGAGAAACAAGGACAAAATGGCTAGTGGGGATGGGGAGAAAATAAAGACAGTCATTTGGAGGTAGAGATGACAAATGGCATGGATACTCTTTCCAGAATTCTCTGACAGACTGGGGAAGGGATTAGGGATCTTGCAGCCACACAAGAGGGAGGGGCTGCTCAGTCACAAAGGCATGTGTACCCCAGGGGGCTAGAAAACGGGGGGAGGCTTGGCTTTCTCAGGGGATTAGAAGAAAGATGCCAGAAGAGCTGGAATAAAAACTTACTCAAAGACCTAACAGAAGAAAGGTCTTTTGTGTCAAAGAACAGAGTTTGCAAAGTGAACAAGCCGAACACATTGCAGGTACTATCAATGAAAGGAAAATGACAACACTGGAAAAGAATTCCCACCGGCTTCAAAGTAGAAAAAAAGAAAAAAATGGGTCGCCTCTATAGGAACCAGCACAAGTTTGGCCTTGGATTTTGTACTCGGAACTATTCATAACGCTACATTCTTTTTTTTTTTTTTCTTTGAGACAGTCTTGCTCTGTCACCCAGCTGGAGTGCAGTGGTGAGACCTCAGCTCGCTGCAGCCTCTGCCTCTCAGGTTCAAGCGATCCTCCCACCTCAGCCTCCGGAGTAGCTGTGACTACGGGCATGCACCACCACACCCGACTAAGTTTTGCATTTTTAGTAGAGACGGGGTTTCACCATGTTGCCCAGGCTAGTCCCAAACTCCTGACCTCAGGTGATCCACCTGCCTCAGCCTCCCAAAGTGCTGGGATTACAGGAGTGAGCCACTGCACCCAGCCTGTAACACTACATTCTTGAAGGTAGTGCTGTACCTTTTACAGGATTTTGAGCGAACAGTTGGTTCCAAGAATTTTATATCTATCAAATTACTCTTGAATGTGTAGACAACTAAAGATGTTTTGAGATATTCAGAGGCTTGGAAAATAGATCTGTCCATATTCTGCAGTAGACAGAAAAACCAATTCAAAATGCAGGCTTCTAGAAGGTGAGTGTCAGAGCATAAAGGAACCCCTCCACCAGCACGGACCCCCTTGGGGCCCATTGTCCTTGGCATGGCTGTGGAGCCCACACAGGGCAGCCCTGGCCGTGCTAGGCTTCTATGCCCTGAACCTTTTCTGTGCCCCTTGTTGTGCAACTTCAGGAAGTGTGTTAGAGCCACATCCTTTGCCCGGCGGCTCAGACGGAATCTTTACTTCACTCAGTGACCACTCAGAACAATAACAGCTGCCACTCGCTTCCTGAGCTTAATAACAATGGCTCAACCGTTCACCTCCCGGATGCTTGTGACGGAACAGCTTTTAGAAAGTTGTTTTGTTTTCCCTCTCCAAAAGCCATGTCGCCCGGAGATACGTGACAGCCACCGTCAGGGACCAGGGACTTGAGTCACAAGTGTCTCTTCTTTAGAACTCACCGGAATGGCTCAGACCACTGGATTTTTTCTTCCAAATCGGGAAAGAATAATGAAAGGGTCTATGAGATAGATATTTTCTAACTCTTCATCTAAACTTGCATGAAAACCTGGGAGTGTGGCTGGGCATGGTGGCTCACGCCTGTAATCCCAACACTTTGGGAGGCTGAGGCGGGTGGATCACTTGAGCCCAGGCGTTTGAGACCAGCCTGGGCAACATAGTGAAACCCTATCTCTACAGAAAAATACAAAATTTAGCTGGGCATAGTGGTGCACACCTGTAATCTCAGCTACTCAGGAGACTGAGGTGGGAGAATTGCTTGAGCCTGGGAGCAGAGGTTGCAGTGAGCCGAGGTCGCGCCACTGCACTCCAGCCTGGTCTACAGAACAAGACCCTGTCTCAAAAACAAAACAAAACAAAACAGAAAAACACCTGGGGGTGCTCCCATCTTGACTGAAACAATCAATATCCTAGATACAATCTCAACCTCAAGAAAAGACAGGAAGTTCACAGAGAACATTGATGTGATAGGGGATTATGGGTAGTTCTAATTTTCTGCTTTATTCCTCTCGGTGGGAAGGATGTTAGAAAGGACGCAAGGGCCAAAAGGTTGTAGGGTGGAGCCGAAGGGCCTCTTTTGCTTCAACTGTGGCCCTAGGTTTGAGACAGCCATTTATGCGACACGTCTGAGGCCACTCCAGGCCTCCCTGGCCACCCTGGAGCTGGCCCATGAGGGCGGCTTGCAGGACCTCAGACTCTTCCTTACTTTCCCAAAGAGGGGCCATTTCAAAGGCAGCAGCAGCCTCCCAGCTCAGTCTGCAGCGAGCAGCTCAAGATAGGCACCGCTTCTCTTAGGGGAGAGTCACTTCCCTTTCCAAGTCAAGAAAGGAGTTTTGGCTTTACAAGAAACCCACTCTCTTGGTGTGGGACAGTCAGGCCTGCGGGGCTGAGCCGTTCTGCCTTCGTCTGGCCTCACACAGGGCTCAGAGCACTGCCCCAACCCTCCCCCAACCAGGAAAAGCAGTGCAAGCTGAGTCCAGAAGGTTCTCAGGGTTTGAGTGGCACAGCAGCTGTTGAACAACTGCTTAACAGTTCCAGAGCGTACTCAGGTCCCTGAAGACATGAAGCCCATAGCCCAAAGAGCAGAGCTGAGGGAGATGGAGTTCCAAAATTTACCCCTCCTTCCCCACCACTCCCAGCACTGCCTAGAATGCTCTAAAGCACCTCCAGCTCCCTGCTGTCTCCACCCTCCTCCCCAGCAGCTTCCTTGTGCTGGGAGGTATGTGTGTGATCTCTACTTTCCAGCAGTTTCTTGGCAGTCCTTGCCCAAGGCCACATCGCTGACCAAATTGGACTTGAACCCAGATCCCAGCCGGGAATGGAGTCTGCTTTCATTCTAGGGGCACCTCACTGATTTACCACAAGGGACAGATGCCACCTGGGATCAAATATTATCTATAACCATGTGAAGGGCAAGAGGCCAAGCTCTCTGAGAGGCCACATTGCCCTGTCTCCCTGTCCCTCTGGGCAGAGTCCTGGGCTCATCCTTCCCCAGGGGACTCCAGACAGGCTTGGAAACACCTTCTGGATTGGAAGGAAGAAAGCTTAGCCGGGGAGGCCGGGAGGCCTGGCTGTGAGTTCCAACTTCCGCAGTTCTCAGCAACACTCATATTTAGAACGAGGGGGTTGGATGAAGTTACAGTTTGCATCCTGCCCTCCCATCTCGGATTTTTTTTAAGTCTGTGAAAGATGGAGTGAGAGAAAAGAGTCCCCCAGGTGAGGCAGCTCCTCTCCCTGATTGATACAGGGCTGTCATGGGCTATGACACGTGGGCCAACTCCATGAAGTTGGTCTGCAAAGAACAAAGATGAGATCTTTGGTGTTGACAAGAGAACAGAAGTCCCCAGGAAAAGAGCTAAAGTTACTAAACTAAGAAACAATGAAAGCCTTTCGGTGCTTCACTTGGCAAAATTTCAGGCCAGATTCTTATTTTGGGGAGCCTCGTATTCTGGTGGCACTGAACAGGCTCAGGTGTCAGGAATGAGTTATTTAGAAACTGTGGCTAAGCTCAGAAAAGACTGTGAGGTTTTGCCTCAACATGAAAAGAGGAACTTGAGTTAAAATAGGCAGAGATCAATAACTGCTAAAGCTTCCCCGAAGGGCTCTGAGTCTGCTTAATTGGGCATGAGTGTGCACTTGGTCCTCAGTGGACGTCTGCTGTCATTTACTCTTGGAGGTAGATTTTCGAAGGTGAGTCCACCTGGGAGAATCCTATGAGAATTCCCCTTTAATTCACCTTGAAGGAAAACCTCTTCAGACCACCTAGGTCCACAGCTCCCTGTACCATGTCAGCTACTGCGGAGGTCACAGATCTAGTGCCGGGGTCAGGAGCAGAGAAGTCCAGCAGAGCCGCCCATCTTCTCTGAAAGCTGCCCGCCCACTGTCCTGGCTAAGCGGAGACCTTAAGGAGGCACGCTGCCCCCACGACTCTGTCCCCATCTCTGAGAGGCAGAGGGGGGTACCTGCTCCAAGACAGCCGATTCATACACAGACTGGCAGCCCCTGAGTGGCTCATGCGGAGAAAGCCGTGGAGGCTGAGCCATCAGACTCCTTCTTAGGACTGGGGACTGAGAAGGGAGGCTGCTGGCTGGGAAGAGCGGCCCCACAGAGAAGAGCTGATCCATGGGAGAAGCTGCGTGCAGACCCCATGCTCTTCTGGTTCCAAGGCCCTAGGGCGGCCTTCTCCTTCCTGGCTCTGCACATCTCCACAAAGGCTGCCCACCCCTTACCCCTTACAGAGTCAGCCAAGGCGAGTTTCTGTTCCCTGCACCACCACCACCCCCTGCCCAGTAGCCTGATGAGGCCCCGGATTTCATCAGCAGTTCCCAGGGTCACAAGATGTCACAGTAGCAAGAGTATGATGGTGACAGAGAGGGGCAAACCGGAGACGCAGTCTACACATTTACAGGCGGCGGGTGCCGACTCTACTAGAAGCCACAGAGTCATGTCTTTTCCAGTCATACTTAAAGTTTTCTTCACTTTGAAGGAAGAGAAGAAACCACAAAGGGAAAAAAGATCAAAAGCATCGACCAACTTTTAACTTAAGAGAGTTTGCCGACTCCTCTCAGCAAACCACCTATCACAGATGCCAACTCTGCCAGAAAAGCTCATGCCCTCCTAGACTTGAAAAAAATGGTAGAGGTCATTGAGGCCAACTGCCTGCCCCAGACAGGGCTCCCCTCCGCTGCTCACATCCCACACATGGTGAAGAGCCCCTGTCAGAGACAGACATTCCCATGGCAAATAGCTGCCAAGCGCTGGAAAGGACCTTCTCGTACTAGGTGTGCCAACATCTGCTCCTGGTGACTGCTAAGAACCAGGCCAAACCTGCGGGCGCCCTAGGCCAGTGGAAAGCCTTCAGCAGATGTGCCTTAGAGGCTGCAGTGGACTCAGGGGCAGGAGGATGAGGCAGCCGGCAGCAATGCCAGCCTAACTACGCAGGGAGTGGTTCTGCTTGAGCCTAAACTCGCATCTCCTAAGGAGGCCTCGCAGCAAATGCCCCTGGACCGGGCTGCATCACACATGCCCCTTGGGCCTCTCTCAATCACATCGCTCCTCGAAGCAATTCCTTCCATCCTCATAAGCTGTCTTCCTGAGGGGCGTTCTGCTCACCACGCTCTCCCTCTTGACAACTTCTGGAGGATTTTTGCCTCCAGGGACTTGCCTGTGGTCTCCCCACACCTTGAGTCCAGCTCCCTGTCTACTACTGCATCCTAGTTAGCACAAAATGAATCATTCCCTTCAAGCTTTGAAACTGAAGAGTGTACCCTGCCTCTCCCCTCCCACTTCCACTTTCTTTTCAAACAAACTCCTCCAACGCCGTCATTGCTCTTCCATGACATGATATCCAAACCTTTGTCGACCCCGGCTACTCTGCTTGGGACGTGGATGCACTGCTGTGCCTCTTACTCTAGTCCCTGAGAACTGAGCATCTCTCTCTCTCTCTCTCTGTCACGTGCACACACACACACACACACACACACCCGGGATGTGGAAACTTTGTCTCCTTCCTTCTTGCCACCTCCATGTGCTCTTCATGTAGCCAGATAACAATAGCTTTCCTGGCTTCCACACACTCAGTTGTCACATTTTGTGGCGAAACAAAGGCTTTAGTAAACCGTGCTTAGGGTGGCCTTCCCGGGCTTGGACGGGTGCAGCTGATTTTTGTTTTTAAATTTAACTGCAGCCTGGCGGGGTGGCTCATGCCTATAATCCCAGAACTTTGGGAGGCCGAGGTGGGCAGATCATTCGCTGTCAGGAGTTTAAGACCAGCCTGGCCAACATGGAGAAACCCCATCTGTACCAAAAATACAAAAATCAGCCGGGCATGGTGGCGGGCACCTATAATCCCAGCTACTAGGGAGACTGAGGCAGGGGAATCACTTGAACCTGGGAGGTGGAGGTTGCAGGGAGCCGACATGGCGCCACTGCACTCCAGCCTGGGTGACAAGAGTGAAACTCTGTCTCAAAAATAAAAAATATTAAAAAATGAACTGCAAGTTTTGCACATTTTGACTTTGCTTGGTGAAATCAGATGCAGTGAGCACCAGCCTCGGACAGAACAGAGTTCTACAAATGGAAAGGCACTGTTTTGTGCTAGTCTCGCAGCCCCTCAGAAAACACGGTCTGTTCTCCTGTAAGTTCACCTCCCTTCTCTCCCTCCTGAGCCACTTCCTCTCTCTCCTTTGAGAGACTGAAGACAACAGTCGGCCAAGCCACAGCCCCTCCTTTCCCTTCATCTCTGGACAGTCTGCTTCACCTTCGTTTCCTCTTCACACCTATGGACCACAAATAGCCTGTGGCATGCAACTCCGTCATGTCACAGAGCAGGGTCACTTGGAGGGCCCCAGTTTACCAGCTAAGCCACCCCATGGACACCTGGGAGGAAGCCAGGCTCAGCCAGGCCTTCACGTCCGGCTACCTGCGCGTGCACTTCCTTCCTCATCGTTTACACCCTTTCTCTGCCAGTATCGGCTGAAGTCAGGTTCAGATTTCTAGGTTTATAAAGGACTCACCTGAACAGTGAATTTATCATCTTCATTGGGCAGAATTCTGTAAGTGTAAACGCAATTCCGATACCTGAAATAGATCAAAGACTTTATTAGAACCCATGCAGGAAGACCCGGTTTCCTCTTAACTGAAAAGACAAGACTTCCTGACACAGCTTGAGGAATCTGGACACAAAGTCTCCGAATTTCGGAGCTGACCGTTCTCTTAAGATGGAGGTGAGTCCTGACGTCCAGCAATCGTGGGCTGAGGCACTCTTATTCCCCCACTGCTTCTGCACTCAGGGAGCACCAGGAAAAGGTTGGGGGGGGTCATTTAGGTGGGGACCCGGCAGCTAAAGGATCTGATCTAAAGGAGTCTGCCACATGGAGGGGCTTTCTTAACCTCTCGGCTGCCAAGAAGATAGAGCAAGAGTGGGTGCTTGCAGGCCAGGCACGGTGGCTCACGCCTGTAATCCCAGCACTTTGGGAGGCTGAGATGGGTGGATCACAAGGTCAAGAGATTGAGACCATCCTGGCCAACATGGTGAAATCCCATCTCTACTAAAAATACAAAAATTAGCTGGGCGTGGTGGCGCACACCTGTAGTCCCAGCTACTTGGGAGGCTGAGGCAAAAGAATCACTTGAACCCAGGAGGCGGAGGTTGCAGTGAGCCGAGAATGTGCCACTTCACTCCAGCCTGGCGACAGAGTGAGACTCCGTCTCAAAACAAAACAAAACAAAACAAAAAAACAACAAAAAAGAGGGGGTGTTTGAAGAAGAAACACGACTCCAGTGGGCCCAAGCAGAGCGGCCCATGGTGAATGGAAAGCCAGGCCCAGCCACAGAGGGGCCACCTGTCAGGGGCAGGGATCACTCAGCACCTCGTTCCCGCTGAGCTCCCTGCCACCCCCAAATGGCTTCATCCTCTTGGACACTATGCCCCGTGGATTATCTCCCAGGGGTTGGCCACCAGCCTTGCCGAGACCTGGATTTGCCCCAGCAGCTGGAGAGCAAGTCTTGGGGTTGTTTCTAACAAGAAGGTCCTAGGAATCCCAGATTCTCTTCTCTTTCTAGAAGCTCTACCTTCCTTTGGCACAGTCATCTCTAATGTGAGGAGGAGAAGGTACTTTTCACTTTCCTAAAACCTGTGAGAGGAAAAGGGGGCTGTCAAGTGCTAGCACCTTGGGAGAGGGGCACACTGCGGTGGCCCTCAGCCTGCTGAAACCCTGGCAGCAGCTAACACCCATGGAATCCATCGGCTGCTGAGGCCAGAAGGCTGTCAGGAGATCGAGGGAAAGCTATTTGGATCTTAGGCTCTTACTTAAAGCTGCTGGTCTGTTCTCACCCACCATAATCTTGCCCCATTTTGCTACTTAAGATTCTCCTGAGCCCGGAAGGCTCACCTGGCCCGTAGAGCCCTGTAGACAGGACCAGCCTCTGTAATGAAGCCAGTGCCTCAGTGTAGAAGCTCCACACACTCACCCCCTCAGGTACAGGCACTCCACTGAGCATTTACATATGTTATTGGTATGTTTTGTTTAACTAGATTTTTTTTTTTTTTTTTTGAGACGGAGTCTCACTCTGTCACTCAGGCTGGAGTGCAGTGGCACGATCTCGGCTCACTGCAACCTCTGCCTCCCAGGTTCAAGCAATTCTCCTGCCTCAGCCTCTCAAGTAACTGGGATTACAAGCTCCTGCCATCACACTTGGCTAATTTTTGTATTTTTAGTAGAGAGAGTTTTTTTTTTTTTTTTTTTTTTTTTGAGACAGAGTTTTGCTCTTGTTGCCCAGGCTGGAGTGCAATGGCACGCAATCTTGGCTCACCGCAAACTCTGCCTCCCAGGTTCAAGCAATTATCCTGCCTCAGCCTCTCAAGTAGCTGGGATTACAGGCATGTGCCACCACACCCAGCTAATTTTGTATTTTTAGTAGAGATGGGGTTTCTCCATATTGGTCAGGCTGGTCTCGACTCCTGACCTCAGGTGATCCACCCACCTCGGCCTCCCAAAGTGCTGGGATTACAGGCATGAGCCACTGCACTTGACCCTGTTTAACTAGATTTTTTAAAATATATACTAACTTTAAAAAATGAAATCCATACAGAAAGATATAAAATAAAAAATAAACATCTCCTTCCCCACTCCCATGAGCCCCTCTTCTTAGATTTCCTATTCCTGTTTGTAAGTAAGTTCAGAAATTTTAAACATACCCACAAGATTATATATGCATATCTTTTTAGATGCCAATAATATCATACTATGTATACCGTTTTCTGAAATTTGTTTTTTTCACCAAAAAAGATCATAGAGGTCTTCTCAAGCCAAGTGAGAGATGGTTTATTACTATTTTCATCATGTTTCACCATGTGCTGTACACGTGTTGACGTTTATTAGTGATTGTAGGTAAATCACTAGAAGGTGACAGCTGGCTAAATGACCTGGAGATTTGCTATTTTGATAGAGACTACCAACTGTACCAACTGTCTTCCAATGAAGTTGTGGCCTTTTTTTTCTCCTACTAACCGGATATGAATGTGTCTATTTCCCCACACCCTGCCAACTGGCTGTTATCAGACCTTTTAATCTTTGCAAATCTGAGAGGTGAGAATGATAACTTGCTTTAATTTGCCTTTCTTTATGAGAAAAGTCCTTCAGCATGTTCCCATGTTTAGTTATCTGTATTTCTTTTTCTGTGAATTCCCTTTTGTGTCTTTGACTCGCTTATTTTGGTATCATTTTTTGCTTAGTTATGAATAAGACTCTGATATATGCTACAATATATTTTGGAGTTATTTTTAACAGGTTGTTTTTAAAGCTGTGTAGATGTTTTACAATTTTATGTGGCTAATTTTACAATATTTTATTTTATGGCTTTTGCATCATGGGTACTTAAAAAGAATTTTGAGTAATTTCACTTCCACATGTCTCTTCACTTCACATAGAAAAGGTGATTTTTCTGTCTTTCTTCCATGGCTTTAGTCCCCATCCTTCTGCTCCCTGTCCTACCTCCAGAGCCTGAATTGATACAATCGTCTTGCATCAGAGATAGCAAGGATGAATCTCTAGTCCAGTGACACTACATCTCCCAGGGACACCTCTGGGACACAGAGAACCACTGGCCTCAATCCCCTTTGCAGAGCCTGCCAGACAAATGTGGAGATAGCTCAACTCTGCTGTGCTCTTATTTTTCAATGCTCTCTTCCCTTGGCACTTCCTCCTGTAGGTATGCAAATGAGGTGAGGGGTGAGAACAGCCTCTTATTTGGCTGAGGGCAGCTGACTTGTGGAAGAGCTCCAGCCAGCCCAAACATCAGCCTGTAGACAGAGAGAAAGAACATAATCACGAAGGGAGAGTCAGAGGCAGGCGCACAGAACAGGAAAGGCTTTTTGGTTCAATCAAGTGTGGCAGACAAACCTTTATGGCTTTTTCAAAGATGTTCTAGAAACACTGAAACAAAGAAACAGCTCCATGTTACCAAAACAGATCAGAATTCAAAAGCTAGTATAACAGGAAGAAGATACTTCCCCCTTAGACAGTAACATCTCAGCAGATGTTAATGACCCTGCATAGCCAATGCACAGGGCTGGACATTCTGACCCCCAGGGCTGAATCAGTTTCAACCTTCAAGGGAAAACATACAGCACCACCCCACACACACCCCATCAGCCCCGCCACACACAAGTCGTTGGGTGAGCAGTAGTACCAAACTGTATTCCACGGGTGTGGAGGCTCTGCCAAGCGGTGGAGGAAGGTGCTCACTTGGCCTGCCACCCCACCAGCAGTTTGTACTTCACTCTGGTCCTATATACACACACACACACACACATATACATGTGCACACACAACATATGCATACATGTGTATACATGTAACATGCATGCATGCATGTGTGTATGTACACATGCACACACACACACACAATATCTTGCATGCAAAATGTTTAAAGCAAAGATTCTACAACTAAATAGTGTTTGGCAATTGCTGCCCTGGAACATAACCTGGAAAACATGCTCACTGCTCTTTAGGGGCAGTGGGTCCCGCCCAGCCCTTCCCCAGCTCTTTGTGGTGATTTGGTAACACCTTGTTACGCTAACACTGGCTCTCAGCTGAGACTCCTCCCAGTGACTGGATGACCTTTCAGAGTAATCAGATCAGGATTATTCCCATTGGAGATCTGGGTTAGGATAGCACTGGGCCCAACAGTACTTCCTTCTGCTAACAAATGAGATTTGTTCCATTCCCAAATGAAGGGGGGCTTACAGCAAATTTCCCATGTGACTCCCACAGGTGCTGGGTGATGACAGGTGCCCACCCTGTGCTGAGTGTGGAGGCAAAGAAGAGGCAGGAAGGTGCTTCTCAGTAGAAGAGCATTTCTGGACCAGGTCAACCCTGATGTAGTACGAGAAGTTCTACTCTAATATGGGAGGACAAGCCCGTGGAAGTAGGAAGAAACATCATCGTGTTTGATTCTTTCAGATAAATCTTAGCATTTCTGTGTGGCCATTCCTAGCCAAATGAACACTGACAGCCAGACCCAGGAACATCTTCACCATGGACAGACCCACAGAGAGACAGAGAATCCAACTATAAAATTCAAGAACCTCTTTGTGTTCCTATCTTGCTTTGCTGATCTGCTCCTGTAATTGCTTTTAAATCCTTTTGTGACTCTTGTTACGTATCATTTCTAATTTCTAATGTTTTTGTCTGTGTTTTTGCATTTTCTTAAGACTTGTGTTTCTGCAGATTTCTGGACAAGATGGGGTAGGAGAACGGGGGCTGGAAACCCTGCGTTCAAAAAAAAAACACAAAAAAAACTATTTGCACCAATGTAGAAGGACAAGAAAATGTGTGGCAACCTTGGGAAACAAACTGTTCACCATTCGCCACTCCAAACCTTGAAGAATCACAGCCAGAGAGAAAGCTAAAGTTGATGAATGAAAAGAGGCCATTTCTTGCTAACATGGACCCCTCCAGAAGGGAGAAAGCATTAACAGGTGGCTCAGCTGGCCAGGAGGTGAGAGATGGAGGTGAGGCTGGCCGAGTATTATTGGGAGCTGGCTGAGCACCCCCACAACAGCTTGAGGGTCCAGCGGGCTATTCCTCGTCTGACAGCTACTCAAAGACAAGACCCAGGTATGAGGCGCCCCCTCTCAACCCTTGGAGGGAGCCCATCCTCTGTGTGTCTCACCACACCCTCATCTCTGGCCCCACCACCGGCTGGATCTTGAATTGTCATCTCCCATCCAGTGCCAGTCGTTTTAACCCACTCCCATCTCTGAACAAATCTGATCCAATTGTTCTCGACAGTTCTTTGTCAGAAAAGAAAAATCACCTGACCTATGAAAACATGTCACCATCCAGAAAAGGGCATTTTCCTAAGGACTCCAGGGAGTTACTTCCATCTTAAATAGAATCACTGATAAAAATAAATTCTGGACAAGTCTGATTTGTGAACTCAGGAAGATTCGAGAGACCACTGCATATCAGAAATTGGAGGGATTGATTGTGAAAAATGAGCAAACTGAGATAAAGGAAACTGACCATTAGGGACAGCCGGGACGTTTAGAGTCAGAATTTAACACACGACAGAGGCAGGAAATAGCAGCTATGGATTGGAGAAAGTGAACGAGGAAAAAGACACACTCAAGAAAGTGGTACTAGAGGAAAAGACAAAGATTTAAAAAAGAGAGGGAAGAAGAGAAATACAGAAGCTGATCTCAGTCCTACAGATGCAACAGGGCTTCCTGAAAAGACAGAGATTTTTTTTTTTTTTTTTTTTTTTTTTGAGATTGAGTTTCGCTCTTGTCGCCCAGGCTGGAGTGCAATGGCTCGATCTCGGCTCACTGCAACCTCTGCCTCCCAGGTTCAAGCTGTTCTCCTGTCTCAGCCTCCGGAGTAGCTGGGATTACAGGCACCCGCCACCATGTTCGGCTAATGTTTGTACTTTTAGTAGAGATGGGGTTTCACCATGTTGGCCAGGCTGGTCTTGAACTCCTGACCTCAGGTGATCCGCCTGCTTCAGCCTCCCAAAGTGCTGGGATTACAGGCGTGAGCCACTGTGTCCGGTCCAGAGATCATTTTTTAGAATATAAAAACAAAAAGCAGAAGAGATTAACCAACCTAAGAGCCTGTCACTTGAAAAGTAGGAGATTAAATGGACAAACCTGTGACAAACAGAATCAAGGAAAGAAACAAATGCGAGTGAGCTGGACAGCCTCTCCCTGCCTCCCCTCCCCCAGCGAGACCCACTCTCTACCCTTTTCCACCTGCCCTGTGCAGCCAGCAAATCTCCGGGGGCTGCTTTACCCAGGTTTGGCTGAAGCGAGGCACCAGCAGGGTGAGTGAAGGGGGGATGGGCTGATTTGTTCCACTGACCCCACCCTGCCTGCTGCAGATTTGCAGGGACAGAACTCCACCTCTGGAGTCTCCTAGCTGCAGCCCTGCCAGGTTCTGGTGACACAGCTCTGGCCACTGCCTCTTCAGTTCAGGGGTGGGAATGGATCCTGAGGGTGCCAGCCACTGGCTGCCTTGCCATTCCTGTCTTTATCACTCCTGTTGAACATGCCATCTATTTCCTGCCAGGACCCTGGGCACCACAAACAGTTAGAAATGAGAAAATGAAGACAGCCACAATAAAAGAGAAAACTTACAGTTATACAAAACTATGCATGATTGTTTGCCAGAAATTTTGAAAATCTCAACAAATAGATTGTTCTCTGAAAATTACGTATAACTTAACAGAAGTGACATGGGAGGAAATAGAAAACAAGACCAATTCAACACTAAAGAATAAATTGAAGTAAATATTAAAGAATTATCTGTATAAATGGCATTGAGAAGAAGTGGCTTTACCAACTTTTTTTAAGTATTTCAAAAATCAGATAATAATTATGCTACATAAATGCCTCCAGAATATTTTGTAAAATATACATGACTTAAAACCATAACATAACCAAAATCAGGTAAATCAACCTCAACTATGAATACATATATAAAAACCCTAAATAAGTTTCAGAGTACAATAAAAAAGTATTGTATCAAGAATAGTTCATTGTAATCATGCAAAATGGTTTCACATATATAAACCAAATATAAATATATAAAATTATTTTACCAGTAAATGAAATAAGGGGTATAATATAATCATCACAATAGATATTAAAAAGGCATTTGATAAAAATTAAATACTCAGTCCTTCAGAACTCTTTCTAAAACTAGAAGAAGACTGCTTCTTCTTGGACATGACAAACAGCAACAATTACCTTTTATCAAGTGGTAACTAGGTGACAGAGGCTATCCCATGCCCTTCCCAGGTGGTCCATAGCGATTCTCACAGTATGTCTCCTTGAGGTGGATGTTTTCTTTTTCCAATATTCCCCACTGTAGTGTTTTAGAAATACTGGCCCATGCAATAAGTTATGAAATCTGAATAAGTGTCATAAGTATTTGGAAAGTACACCACAAAACAATGGTAATTTGTAGATGACACGAGAGTCAAACATGAGAGTCAAACAAGAAAATCCCAGAGAAGCAACCAAAAAACAATTTGAAATAATGAGGAGTGAGTAAAGTGACAGAATAAAAGATGGATTTATAAAATCTAAAACTTCCCTGTATGTTATCAGTTATAATGAAATGTAGGGGAAAATGTATTCACAATAGTAATAAGAGTATAAGATAATCAGAAGAAATTATAACAATAAATATGCAGGATCTATATGAAGAAAATTACAAAATTTAAAATAACAGGGACAACCATATTTGTTAAGACTGAATATTACCAAAATGTCAATTTATACCAGCTATATTATGGATTTTGTACAATTCCAATCAAAGTCCCAATAGTAGTTTTCTCCAACTTGGCAATATTATTAGCTGGTTCACCTGGAAGAATAGATATGAAAATCACCTAAAATAAAATATTTTATAAAATTAGGTGGTATAATTGTTATGATATTGGGGAAAGAAAAGCAGATATACATGGAACAGAGTACAAACACAAAGAAAGATATATGACTTAAAATATGATAAAAGAGGAACCCCAAAGGGTAAAGGAATGTTATTCAGTAAGAGGTTTTGGGAAAGATGATTAGCTGAGAAAAATACACATAAATCTTTTTTTTTTTCCTTTTTTTGAGGCAGAGACTCACTCTGTGGCCCAAGCTGGAGTGTAGAGAGGCACAATCTTGGCTCACTGCAACCTCTGCCTCCTGGGTTCTAACAATTCTCCCACCTCAGCCTCCCAGGTAGCTGGAACTATAGGCACACACCACCACGGCAAGCTAATTTTTATTTTTATTTTTTTTGTATCTTTAGTAGAGACAGGATTTCACTATGTTAGCCAGGATGGTCTTGATCTCCTGACCTCTGGTGATCCGGCCGCCTCGGCCTCCCAAAGTGCTGCAATTACAGGTGTGAGCCACTGTGCCCAGCCTAAATCTGTATCCTGCATCATTTGTTAAATTAATTCCAGAGAGATTAAATGGTTCAATGTAAAACAAACAAACAAAAACAAAAGTAAAAAACCCATAACTGCTTCATTTGTTTTTACCAAGTACTGTGCTAAAAACATGATACATATTTTCCATCCAATCTGCCCCACAACATTACCACATAGGTATTCTTAGCACTGGTTTTCGAAAGGGGAACCAGGGCCCAGTGGAATTAAATAAACTGCTGGATCCTGGCCGGGCGCGGTGGCTCACGCCTGTAATCCCAGCACTTTGGGAGGCCGAGGCGAGCGGACCACAAGGTCAGGAGTTTGAAAGCAGCCTGGCCAATATGGTGAGACCCCGTCTCTACTAAAAAATACAAAAATTAGCTGGGCATGGTGGCGGGAGCCTGTAATCCCAGCTACTCGGGAGACTGAGGCAGAAGAATCACTTGAACTGGGGAGGCAGAAGTTTGCAGTGAGCCAAGATCACACCATTGCACTCCAGCCTGGGTGACAGACAGAGACACCATCTCGAAAAAAAAAAAAAAACCTGCTGAATCCTTAGCCCAAGTCTATTAGCTCCAAAGTCTCTGTCATAACCCACCTGCCTTGTACAAGAAGAAACAAGTGAATTTCTGTGTGCAGAGGGATTCTCTGCATTGAAAAGCGAAGGGAGAAAAAAGGAAAAGACTGAGAGACTTCACTATATAAAAATTTACAGTCCCTGAATGTCAAAAAAAAATCATAAAACTTAAAGGAAAATCACAATGAAAATATTTGCAACAAGTGTGATATAAACTTGTGCAAGTAGATAACAGAAAAACTATAGCTTCGATAGAAAAATGGCAAAGAGAATTGAACAGACCATTCACGAAAGAGGGATTATGAGGGTCAATAACTCTATCAAATAAGCTCAACGTGACCACAATCAAATGCAAATCAAAATGAACATTCACCACCTTCACCTTGCAATGTATTGTGTTTTGAAATGAAAATATTCAGAATAGGAAGGTTAGAATGAGGCGGGCACTCTCTTGTACAGCTTACTGGTGCATATATGGAAAAAAATTTCTGGAAAGCAATGTATCATTCTGTATCAAGAGCCTTAAAAACATTCCTGTCCCTCGATCTAGTAATTCCACTCCTCGGAATCTATAACCAGACATGTTTATAACATTTCTGCAAAAGACCTTCATCAGTCATATTTATAACAACAAAATGCTGTTGATAACTTAAATATCTGATAATAGAAGAATCATTTCATGAAGTGTCGCACATCATGTAATAGAATCCTGTACATCCATTAAATATGATCATTAGGAAGAAAACCTAACTAAATGGGAAAATGCTAATGCTGCTAGAAATCTCAGACTAAAATTAAAATATGATATTTAGGAAGAAATTCTAACTAAATGGGAAAATGCTAATGCTGCTAGAAATCTCAGACTAAAATTATACATATACATGTAATACATGTATATACAAAATGGAAATTACATACATACAGGGAGGTAGAGAGAAGAAGAAGATACACCAGTGAATTAACAATGGTTATTCTAGTGTCTCAGTGATGGGGTGGTTACTTTTCTGCTTTTTGCTTTGTACTTTCTGTGCTTTGTATAAATACCATTTTTTAAAGTGACTCTAAAGAACAGGACATTGCTGTTTATCAGATCTATTTGTTTCTCCATTGCCACTGACAGCTGTGTGGTCCAGCAAGCCTCTCTGCTCCGGGGAGGTCCCAAATGATCTCTCGGGGACAGCCCTCCGTGGGGTTGTTTACAGTAAGTATTGAACCCAAACTGTTAGGGGCCTGCACTTGTTAATATCGTGTTTTCCTAATGAAAGGGGACAACAGGAGCCTGAAGTGAGCAGGGGAGAGAATCTGGTCCCCACGTGCTGCCGCACCTGTCAAGCCTGAGTACCCCCGTCATGGAACATGCTGTGCTCCTTCCATCGTCCTCAGCCCCAGGACTTCAGTACCCTCTGCACCCACCCCCTCAATTGGAGCCCAGTGGTCTTCAGATGCCTGCCTTTCTTCCTGATGTCATGTTCATTGCCCCTGGTTTCACTCTGTGTGCCTCTGTGCCCCCATCCCTTCCTCCTGCTGGCTTCCAGGCTCCCAGCCCTGTCCCCAGCAGCCTCCGTCACAGGGGCATCACTCAGTCCTCTTCCTGCTTCCATCTCTCTGAGTGCTTCCTCCAAGGAGGCCTCAAGTGACAACTCAGCATCCCCCAGAGGCCTCCAGGAAGTTTCCTAAGCAATCCTCTGCCCCCATTCTCTTCTCTCCTCTGTATGGAATGTTCTTCACAGATGGGTCCTGTACTCCTCTGCTTCTGAGATGTCACTAGTCACTTTTAGCTCATAAAGACTAATTGCCAGCACGATTTTTTTTTTTAGACGGATTCTAGCTCTGTCGCCCAGGCTGGAGTGCAATGGCACGATCTCGGCTCACTGCAACCTCCACCTCCTGGGTTCAAGCAATTCTCCTGCCTCAGCCTCCCAAGTAGCTGGGATTACAGGCACCCGCCACCATGCCCAGCTAAATTTTTCGTATTTTTAGTAGAGACAGGGTTTCACTGTGTTGGCCAGGCTGGTCTCAAACTCCTGACCTCATGATCCTCTTGCCTCAGCCTCCCAAAGTACTGGGATTACAGGTGTGAGCCACCACACCTGATCACCAGCATGATTTTTTTTTTTTTTTTTGAGACAGAGTTTCACTCTTGTTGCCCAGGCTGGAGTGCAAGGGTGCCATCTCGGCTCACCACAACCTCTGCCTCCCAAGTTCAAGCAATTCTGCTGCCTCAGCCTCTCGAGTAGCTGGGATTACAGGCATATGCCACCATCGCAGGCTAATTTTGTATTTTTAGTAAAGATGGGGTTTCTCCATGTTGGTCATGCTGGTCTTGAACTCCCGACCTCAGGTGATCCACCCACCTCGGCCTCCCAAAGTGCTGGGATTACAGGCATGAGCCACCTTGCCCAGCACCAGCATGATTTTTATGTGTGCAAAGCATTCGGTGGGTGCTTACCACATGCCTGGACTTGGGCTGTAAATGTCACTCACATCTTTCCATTTTGTCCTCTTGATAACCCAAGGAAACAAGGAAAAGACAAACAACCCTGTTTTCTAAATGTACAAAGGATCTGAATTGACTTTTCTCCAAATACAAATGGCCATTAACCATGAGAAAAGACGTTTGGCATCATTAGCCATTAGAGAAATGCAAATTAAAACCACAATAAGACATCACTTCACACCCACTAGGATGGCTATAATAAAAAAGATAATAACAAGTGCTGGTAGGGAAGTGGAGACATTGGAACCCTCAGATGTTGCTAGTAGGAATGCAAAATGGTGGATCCACCAAGGAAAACAGTTTAGCTGTTCCTCAAAGTGTTAGACTTAAATGACCCAGCAATTCTGCTCCTAGATATAGACCCAAGAATATTGAAAATATATGTTTGCACAAAACCTTGTATATGAATGTTCATCACAGCATTATTCATTATAGCCCAAAAGTGGAAACAACCCAAATGCCTGTCAACTGATGAATGGATAAACAAAATGTGGTTCTTTCAATACAGTGGCTCATTAGTCAGCCCTGGAGAGGAGTGATTCATGCCACAACACAGATGAAGCTTGACAGCATTGTGCTCAGTGAAAGAAGCTGGCCCCAAAGTCCACATGTTGTATGTTTCCAGTTATGAAACATCCGGAAAAGATAAATCCATAGACAAAAAGTCATTTAGTTGCTGCCAGGGTTTGGGTGGAGAGGGAATAGGGAGTGACTGCTGTGGGTACAGGGTTTCTTTTCTTTTCGAGGTATTGAGAATGTCCTGGAATCAGACAGTGGTGTTGGTTTCACAACATTGTGAATGCACTAAAAGCACGATAAAGAATTGTATACCAGGGCCAGGTGCAGTGGCTCACGCCTGTAATCCCAGCACTTTGGGAGGCCTAGGCGGGCAGATCACCTGAGGTCAGGAGTTCGGGACCAGCCTAGCCAACATGGTGAAACCTCGTCTCTACTAAAAATACAAAAATTAGCTGGGTGTGATGGGAGGCACCTGTAATCCCAGCTATTTGGGAAGCTGAGGCAGAGGATTGCTTGAATTCAGGAAGCGGAGGTTACAGTGAGCCAAGAACACACCATTGCATTCCAGCCTGGGCAACAGGGGTGAGATGAGACTCTGTCTCAAAAAGAAAAAAAAAAATTAGCCGGGCATGGTGGCATGCGCCTGTAATCCCAGCTACTCAGGAGCCTGAGGCAGGAGAATCACTTCAACCCGGGAGACAGAGGTTGCAGTGCGCCGAGATCATGCCACTGCACTCCAGCCTGGGCAACAGAGCAAGACTGTCTTGGAAAAAAAGAAAATTAAGAATTGTACACCATAGAAAGGGTGACTGTATGGAATATGAATTATACCTCAATTTGAAAAAATAACCCAACGAGTGGGCTTTGGCCTTGTCATCCTCATTCCACCTGTGAAGATGCTGGGTTGACACAGGAAGGTTAGCATTTTGCAAATGCAGCCCAGCAGAGCCAGCAGACCACAGAGCCTTGCTCCTCAGGAGTGCACAGCATGGCACGAATTATTGAGGGAAGAGCAGAGCTCCTCTCACTCTATGTCTGGGGTGGGGAGAAATGCCTGGCTGTGAGGACCACATGTCATCATGACGCAAGGGTTCATGTGCAGGGAGATGGCACCAATTGATTGAGAGGTGCTGATGTGAGGCTGCGTGCAGCGGCTCACACTTGTAATGCCAGCACTTCGGGAGGCCAAGGTGGGAGAACCACCTGACTCCAGGAGTTGGGGGCCAGCCTGGGCAACATAGCAAAACCCTGTCTCTACATAAAAAAGATTAGCCAGGCTTGGTGACTTGCACCTGGAATACCAGCTACTCGGGAAACTGAGGCAGGAGGATCGCTTGATCAAGCAAGGCTGCAGTGAGCTGTGATTGTGCCACTGCACTCCAACCTGGGCAACAGCGAAAGACCGTGTCTCAAAAATAAAAAATAAAATAATAATAATTTTAAAAAAAGGCCAGGTGCGGTGGCTCACACCTGTAATCCCAGCACTTTGGGAGGCCGAGGCAGGTGGATCACGAGGTCAGGAGTTTGAGACCAGCCTAGCCAACATGGTGAAACCCCATCGCTACTAAAAATACAAAAATTAGCCAGGTATGGTGGTGGGTACCTGTAATCCCAGCTACTCAGGAGGCTGAGGCAGAAGAATTGCTTGAATCCTGGAGGTGGAGGTTGCAGTGAGCCAAGATCATGCTATGGCACTTTAGCCTGGGCGACAGAGCGAGACTCTGTCTCAAAAAAAAAAAAAGAAAGAAAGAAAGAAAGAAAGAAAGAAAGAAAGAAAGAAAGAAAGAAAGAAAGAAAGAAAGAAAGAAAGAAGGAAAGAAAGAAAGAAAAAGGCTGGGTGCAGTGGTTCATGCCTGTAATCTCAGCACTTTGGGAGGCTAAAGAGGCCAGATCACCTGAGGATAACACAAAAAAAAAATTAGCCCGGTGTGGTGGCAGGCACCTGTAATCCCAGCTGCTTGGAGGGCTGAAGTAGGAGAATTGCTTAATCCTGGGAGGCGGAGGTTGCAGTGAACCAAGATTGCACCACTGCACTCCAGCCTTGGCGACAGAGCAAGACTCTGTCAAAAAAAAAAAAAAAAAAAACCCAAGAAGTGCTGATTGTGTTCATGAATTTATGAATTTAACCTACCAGGTAGACAAACATGCAAAGCATCAAAGCTGGAGCCTAATCTCTGGACCCGAAAGGACTTTTCACGGGGGCTGAGCGTAGGCACAGAAAACCTGGAGACTCCATTTTAACATGCTTGCTCTGCGTCACTTCACATGGAAGATACAGTTAGTGAGTGAAATACATAGGCCTTCCAGGGCACATACCCCTTCCTGGTCTTGCATGCAGAGAGAAAACCCGGCACAGTCAGCCTTGGATAAAGCCCCTTGGCCGGCTTTCTGGTGTGAGCCAGATGTCAGTAGCTCTGGCTACGACCTGGGCCAGCATTTTTTCCCACTGACTGTCAATATCAGATATGAAAAATAGTGCCTTATTGCATTTGCACAAAAACAATTAACAGTGTCTATTTTACTGAAGCTTCGAAAGGGAGACTTAGCCACCCGCTCACACCACAGCTTTCCAACTCTGTTGGACTCTCTGAGATTAGGAGTTTCGCCCTCCCAAGTCCCTTCTCTGCGGCTCCATCACGAGAAGTTCCCTCTCCAGGCTCTGCCCCGCCCCACACAGGCCACCTTATGGTCTCTGTTTCTCGCTTCCAGGAAGATCATGCATGCAATCCTGGCCCTTTTATTTGTTAGTCCTGTAAACTAGGCCTGTTCCATAAACCGCTCTGCACCTCGGTTTCCCCATCTGTAAAGTGGAGATAATAAGACCTCCTTTGAAGGTCTTCGTGGACATCAAATGAGTCAATATAAGCCTAGAATGGTGCCTGGCACAGAGCTCTTTGGAAGTTGCCTGCTGTTATTAGGCGGAGCAGGTTGGTAACAACCTTCTGCTGGTGAAGCCAGGTCTGTCCGGTGCACTGTCTACACTGCCCCTGGGAAGGGGTAAGCAAGACCCTGCCATGGTGCCTGGGTGGCCTGTGGAAGGCCACATGTGGAGGGAAACCAAAACCACACTGTCAGCTGTGGCCAGACCAGGCACTGGGTTCTGAGCCAAAGGCAGCCACGTGCCTTCGCCTCCCCCATGAGGGAAGCCCCCTCTCTCTGGAGTGGTTGGCTGGGAACGCCGCCCTCCTGCGCAACTCCAGGCTGGATGGCAGACAGCTGAGCCGGCCACTCTAGGCCTGATCCCGGGCCCCAGCTGCTCCTGCAGAGAGGGCAGCCTATATACTGACATTGGGCCTTTGATCAGCTTTGCCTGTGCAGATTGCACAAGGGGATGCCGGCTCGGCCAACCCATGGACCCTTGCATTGACTGACCCCATTCCCAAGGCATCTCTTCTTTGCAGCATAAGGCCCTGCCAGGTGTGCTGGCCCCTGCGTGGCAGGAGAGGGCATGAGCCTGACAGCTCTTAATGTCTCCCACCCACGATGTACCCAACGTCCCCTGGAGGCACCCACAGACTCCCCCCGGAGCAGGGCCAACTCTGCCGGGGGATTTGAGTGGGGACCAGGTGGGGACAACATAGGCTCTACTTAGAAGAGCCCCTGGCTGAAAGACGGCAGAGTTGGACCCAAACCAGGCAGCCACCTGCTGGAGTCTTCCCACTGCAACTGTCTGTGCCCCGAGATGGAGCCCAGGCTCCCTGTCAAGCAGGGCTTTCCAAGCTGCTGAGGTGAGATCAAAGCTTTCCTGCCCAGTGGTAGGTGACGGGGCTGACCTCTCTCGAGGAAATGCAGGGTTTGCTGGGTGTGCGCAGAATGTGCACTCCTAAGTCACATGGGTGGCACTGAACTGTAGCCCTGTCTTTTGATGTCCAACCCCCGCTCAAGTCCATTTACATAGTCAAATCCTGTTCTCTTTCCTGAGCACAAAGGCCCCTCCCTGGTGAGGCTGCTCTCAGTTCCTGAGACTCCAGGCACACTTGCCCAAACCATCAGGTGGAGACTCCGGCCGTTGTCCCCTTGCCCACCAGAGGGGGCCTGGGAGGGAGTGCTGCTGGGGCCCAGGCAGGATGAGGTCAGGGCACCTGGGTGATCTGAGGGGCCATGGGGCAGGTATACTTTTCCCATGGACTTTGCTAGGGCAGGAGGGTGAGTGTGTGGCTTCCTTCTGCAGTCACTTCTAGAGCAGGGTGGCTCCAGGCTTCCAGGGCTAGGGGGGCAAAGCCTGCTACTTCTGCAGCCGCAGAAAACCCGGCTGCCCTGCACACCCCTCAGCCTGGGACTGTCTGCCTCTGCCGTCTCCGTCAGGCCACGGCGACTCTGCAGGGAACACAGAAAACTAAGGGTGGTAGGGTTTGTTTTTCAAGAAGTTCAATCTCTTTGCTTTAAATGACTGGCTTTTTTTTTTTTAATGCCCTTCCTGCCTCTTTTGGTGTCAAAGGCTGCTTTCTTTCAAGAAATGAGGTGTTGGAAGATGACAGTTTGTTATCATTCATTTAATTAGTTTTTAGTTTTAAAATCTCCGTAATTGGCAAAATCCAGGGTGGCAGCCATATGAAGCCTGCAGATGTATGGAAAGTCTGCAGGTCCATAGCAACCCACGGCCTACAGTGGAGCCTGACCCTGCAGGAAGGGAAGCTTCCCACCCTGAGCAGAGGAGAAAGGGAAACACTGAGCCCAGGGTTTGTCTGGCCAAGGGGTGGGACTCCTGGTGTTTGCAGCCCAGCAGCCTCAGGATAGGAGGCTGACGAGGCTTCGGCTGAGAGGATAGTGGACATCTGTAGGCACCACAGGTCCCTCTCTAAGGAGCAGACACTGCACACCCATCATGACTCTGAGAGAACTCAGTGCAGACAAGGGTTCAGAGAGAAGAGGTAGAGGAAGGAATACGAGAACTGGCCTGGATCCCAGCAGTTTTGACCCCAGCCAGCATGGTGGACAAAGGCCTCAGGCTCTCTGCCCTCTGTCTACCTCCTGAAAAGCCAGGGCTGTTGCACCAGAGCTTCTCCAAGGCCTCTCCAGCTCTGACTCTGGCTCAGGCTAATCCTAGACGTTAAGATGCTCACGGCTCGGAGTCAGAGAGACCCACGCCCCATGTCTGTAACCTGAGCAACCACAAAGCAAGCCCTGGTCAAAGGGCTGTGTTGAAGGTTAATGAGATGGGGCCCTGGAAGCCCTCGGCTCAGCCAACACCAAACAGCCAGGACAAGATCCCACTGGGCCAGGAGAGAAATCCAAGTAACCCACATGGGCCAGGTGGAGTCAGACTGGGCTTGTGAGAGGCCTAAGAGAATCTTCCTGCTCCTTCTAAGGCCCCGGCAGCAGCAGGTCCCCACTGGGGAAGTCCAGGCAGCCTGGGCCTGCGTTCCTTCCCCTGAGGCATGAGAGAGGGGACACAGGAAACCAGTCTTTGGAGGTGGGGCTGCAGACTGTCAGCACAGGCCAGCGACCAGCTGCGAGCCTGGCTTGGTTTCCAGTGCCCCAGCTGACCCTGTAAACACTGTGGCTCCCCTTGCTTCTTTCTCCAGCCCTGCAAGGCTACATGCCTGCCCCGCTGGACTGGGAGCAGGAGAGGTTGGGCCACAGGCTGCTGGTCTCAGCTGCAGCCTCTGGGGGCAGATGGCCGTGGCTTTGACTGTTGTCACTCACTTAACCTGCCAGGGCCTCAGATTTCTCATCTGCAAAGTGGGGCTTTTAACAGGACCTTCACTTTAGGTTGTGGTGAGGATGAAATGGGCTAACAAATGCTTAGCACGACAGGTCCCAGCTGTGAGTCAGTATTCAAAACAGGTCTGGGTTCATCACCCAATTCCCCTCCTGCCTGGAGAAGCACAAGGCCCTGGCTGCTCGGGGGAACATTTCTGCCAGCCCAGGGATGCTACTTGAGATGTTCAGGTGGACACACATTTCCCTGACTACACTCCGGCACTGCCTGAGGCCCCGGCAAAATGATTAGACCAAGAGCTGCAGGGCAAGGCCCCCCTATGATTAGACCGAGAGCTGCAGGGCAAGGGCCTCCTTCAGACGCTGGACAGGAAGGGGGTTTTAGAAAGGAACCTTCAGCAAGTGGCTGGTTCCTCCATTGTTAGCACAGCTGGTACATTCAGTAACATCCCCAACCGGGCAGTGGGAGGAGTTGATGGTGACAGAGACCCAAATTGAGGGGGTGGGGGGTGGGCAGCGGTCACAGCCAAGTGCTCAGGAGAGAGAAGAGGCTGCTCGCTGGTGGTAATGGTGACTTCCTCTGCTCTCAGGCCCCTGAAAGCAGCTTCTGACTGAATGGAAAGTCCTTTCTTGATTAAACTCACCCCATATTCTTGGCTCGCCAAACAACAGCTTCCTCCAGGGGCCCGAAGCCTGGGTGCTCCAGGAAGGGTCCCCCTTGCCACCTTTGCTCTTCTCAGGGTTTCTGAGCTGGGCATCTTTGAGCTGATCTCTAACACACCCACCTCCACAGAGCCCTGAGCTTCCTCCTGGCTCCAAAAGCCCAAACTCCCTTCTCTCGGTCCCCAGACTCCAAGGAAGCCACAAGGTCCATACAGCTCATGGGAAGCTGGGGTGTAACATCAGGCCTCAGAGTGGTTCTGACAGCTCCAAGGCTGCAAAACCTGCCATGAGACCAGCTCTCTGAACTCCAAGGACAAGGTCCATGACAGGGTGGCGGGGAAGTGTGCATGTCAGATCACTCTGTCCTGTGACATAAGAACAACCCATCTCAAAGCTGGGCCCCCTCTAAGCCCCTCTGTCATATCTGTGCCCGGGGAGGGAGCAGGTTGTACTCACAGCACGCAGAGCGCGTATGCCCGGGAGATGGACTCGCTGGCACGCACGAGGAAGCTCCCGTCCTTGCCTGTCCTGGAAAGCAGCTCCTCCGCCTTGGAGCGGGTGATGTTGCCATGGTTCCAGCAGGGGACCATGGTGGGCGTGGGCCTCCTCGGCCGGGCCGGCAGGCACCCCCAGGACCCACACACCACCGAGGGGAGCGGAGGCCCCTCCACTGCAACCTGCCGCCCGTTGCCTCTTGGTGGCCTCGGCTGCTGCCACCAGCTTAACTGACTGACTTCCTGTTTCAGGCGCTCAGTGAGGGAAAGGAAACTGAGCTGCGGAGAACTTCCTCATTACAGAAACCAAGCAAGAGAGAGAGAGAGAAAGAGAGAGAGGGGGGGGCCCTGGCCGTCCACCGTCCCCTACACCCTGCCACGGCTGCCGCGGCTCTCTTGCCAGCCCTCTCCTTCCTGGCAACTGGTCGCAGCGTACAATTGAAGTGTCCAGTGGCAGCTGAAGTCCCCCTGGGTGGAATGACCGGCTCTGGAGACGTCAGGAGAGTTGTGGCCACTTCTGAAGAAGCATGGCCTAGCAGGCATGGGTGGGCCAGAGAAGTGGTTCTTCTGCGGCCGTGCTGACACCCACGTGGGATGCCATGCCCTAGACAGGCCCCCGAGCCTTCTGCTCTCCCTCAGGGCTTTTCAGCACCCACCCTGAACCTCCAAAACACCCAAGGGGGCACAGCTTCTCAACTGGGACTACGGCCTGCCCAGGACAGAGCAAACTTGAGGGGGAGGGGACAGTCGAGCCCCACCCCTCCCCTTTAGAGACTCCCAGCGGCCTGGGTGCTGGGAGACCTTGGCTGCCACCAGCCGAGGGCGCCAAGGTCCAAGTGATGGCTCTGTGACCCCATTACCCTCATTCCCAGGGGCGGGTGGGTGCTGCACGGGCAGCACAGCTCTGATCCCTGCAGTCCAGCTTGGAGACACACAAAGGGAGCTTGGAGGGGATGTGGGCCGTTTACAGCGGGAACATAGGCTGGGTTTTTCCCTGGGCTTCTCCAGGATGCTGGGGAAACAAGCTCGGAGAGGAGAACCCCAAAGCCCCACAGGGCAGGCTGGCCGCCTGGCCAAGGACAACACTGGGTGCTGAGTCCTGCGTCTCAGCAGTCGGGGTGGCCGGTCGGACTGCACCGCCTCCAAGACTGGGCATGGCCACATATGCCCACCACTCAAAGAGGAGCTGCCTCTCCAGGGACCGCCATCCAGGACCAGTCATTTCTGAGGGCTCTGCGGTGGACACCCATCCCTCAGCCCCCAGACCTGGGCACCTTCCGTCCTTGGGTCCGGCCCACCAAGGCCGAAGGGGCACGTGTTGACCCGCTGCACAAAGAGTGCCCCCACCATCCCACATCCAGGCCTTGGCCTCCAGGACATGACAACAGACTCCCTCCAGGAAGGGGCACCAGCCAGGCAGCGCCACCACATTCAAGCTGTGGGAACCTGGTCAAGTTTCTTCTCTCTCTCGGCCTTGGTTTCTTCTTGTCTAACTTGAAGGACGTAGCTCGTAAAAGAGCTCACATGTGCCCAGGGGCTCAACATGTGTCACACTGATGGTTGTCCCAGAACAGGGCCCCCAGCACCTCCCCGCTGAGCAACACACATGGCAGGCGAGTCTGTAGGGCAGACAAAGCACTCCCAGTCAAGGACCTCTGGCCAGGCTGGGAGCCAGGCGTGGGGATAGAGTGGTGATGGGAACTGGCCTCCATGCTCCGGCCCTTCCGCAGCACGCCACCTCTGCAGCAGCCCAGTGTGGAGGCCTCTCATTCCCCACCCACGCCTCCACTCAGCACCTGTCCACCCCCTCCTTATGGGGTCATCTCCTATGCTCCCATTGTGTACCTTCACACCCTTCTCACTTCCCTGCTGGCCTCCACCAACATCCATGAAGTCCTGGACCACGCCACCAGGAGGATCCATTTGCAATACTGGTCCCTTTACACCTCCACCCACTCATCTCTAGAGACCCCTACCATGCCAAGACTGCCCTACTTAGAGAGCTTCCCCCAAACCCCCAGCCCCCCACCTCTCACACCTCTATTCCCACGGTCCTTGCCATTCCACAGAGTGAGATCCCCTGGCACACACGCCACACGGGCACTCTTCCCTCATTTTTAAGGCCCATCCCAACTTTGCTTCCTTTTCCACCCAATTGCCTGATCTATCCAGCATGGTCAGCTGGCTTGTCCCCCACCCTTCTGCCCTCCACATTCAGGAAATCCCAGTATCTAGATCAGAGCTGCCCTTTTGGTGGGTGGATTTTTTTTTTTTGTAGGTCTCCAGTCAATATAAATAATTTTAACGTATTACAAAATTCACAAACTCATGTGAGGGATAGTGATTTATCAATGAAGACTTCAAATAATGGCTAGAGAGTGGCCAGGCACAGTGGCTAACACCTGTAATCCCAGCACTTTGGGAGGCTGAGGGGAGTGGATCACCTGAGGTCAGGAGTTTGAGACCAGCCTGGCCAACATGGTGAAACCCTGTCTCTACTAAAAAAAAAAAAAAAAAAAATCAGGTGGGTGTGGTACGTGCCTATAATCGCAGCTACAGCTACTTTGGAGGCTGAGCAGGATAATCACTTGAACCCAGGAGGCGAAGATTGCAGTGAGTCGAGATCGTGCCACTGCACTCCAGCCTGGGTGATAGAGCGACACAGTAAAAAAAAAAAAAAATTACTGTTCCAAATTTTATAGCATAAAGGTAGAACCACACATCTTCCAGCCATATTCTCTTGAATGTGTTAGGCCATAATCACTGCATTCCTACCTTGAGATCCCATTTGATGATGATTGCACCCTGGCCCTCCACATACAAGAGCAGTCTCACTCTCCAGGGATGTCTGCCTGCATCTGGCTTGGCAGGATCAATGTGGAGAGCTCAGCATCACCACATGGATGGGAGGTGGGAGATGATGCTGATGGGAAGAGCCCGTGGGTGTATCGGTGCTGTGGAGCAATGTCCTCGAAAGACGTTGGAGGAGGCAGCTGCCTGATAGTGGACAGGAGCCTCCAGAAGGGATAAGGGACTGCCAGCTGCTGCTGGCAGGGGTGATGAGGGCCTAGACCACCTGCCACTATCCTTGCTGTCCTCAATGCTCGGGGCCACTCAAAGGAGAAACCTGCTCCCCAGGCTGTGCCCAGGAGTCACACCCAGCCATAGGGCCCCAGAGCGATTGCATAGTGTGAGTCTATGCATTCCTTGGAGCATCTGGTCAACCTCACCCATGGGGCAGAGGCTTGGAAAGCAGCTGAGGGGAAGAAGTGGGGTCAGACTCACTCATGTGATCCTGGGTCCAGACTGGGGCACCTGCCCAAAGGCACTGCCAGCCCTGGCAAGCCCCAGGCCCCATCAGGGGACTTGAACAATTTCTGGGAAAGCTGGGCAGTGAGAAGCATCAGGGTGGTCTGGCAGGCACCTGGTCATGGGCACTCAGCCAACTCTAGAAGCTCCGGGAAGAACAGACAGGCCTCAGTGTTGAAGAGGAGGGCTGACATGGCAGGGCCAAGGCATTGGAGCAATTCTGCTTTGGCAACCTTAAGTGAGGGCGGGTCACAGGAAGGTTTGAGTCTCAGGACAGGGTCAGGGCAGGCTGGGAGAGAGGGACAATGGAGACACCAAGCTTCTTGTCCAGGGGTCCTTCCACCGTGGACAAGAAACAGAAAGAATTTCAGGGTCTGAGAAGGGACTGAGCCAGGAGAGGGGAGGCAGAGGTCAATATATACTGTATATATATATGTGTGTGTGTGTGTGTATATATATATATATATATACACACATACACACACACATTACATCATATATATAGTGTGTATATATATACACACACATTATATATATATAATATATATTTACTATACAATGTTAACAGATATACAATATATCTAAGCATTTGTCTCTGTACTTCCCTTCCCCTCCTGTGTTCATCGAAGCCCTTTACTATGCCCCAGGGCTCCCACTCCCCCCAGCCTGGGTGGATAGATAGATATCACTCATGGCTTGGGGTGCAGGGGCTGAAAGTGTTCACTCACTGAGTGCTAAAAGCAAAGGGAGCAGTGATGGTTAATTTTATGTCAACTTGGCTGGGCCTCAGGACCCAGATATTTGGTCAACATTATTCTGGATGTCTCTCTGAAAGTATTTTTTAGATGACATGAACATTTAAATCAGTAGACTTTGAGTAAAGCAATTCCTGTGTGTAGGCCTCATCCAATAAGCTGAAGGTCTTAATAGAAAAAGACTGACTTCCTCCAAAGAGTAAATTTGCCAGTAGATTGCCTATGGACTCGAGCCGCAGCATCAACTCTTCCCGGGGTCTCCAGCCTGCCAGCCCACTCTACAGACTTTGCACTTGCCAGCCTTGACCATCCTATGAGCCAATTCCATATCTATCTATCTATCTATCTATCTATCTATCTATCTATCTATCTATCTATCCATACATCTGTGTATCTCTCTAGCCATCCACCTATCTATCCACCTATCTAGCCATCTATCTATCTATCCATCTATTTATCTATCTAGCCATCTATCTAGCCATCCATCTATCTATCCATCTAGCCACTATCTATCTAGTCATCTATGTATCTAGCCATCCATCTATCTATCCAGCCATTTATCTAGCTATCTAGCTAACCATCCATCCATCTATCTATCTAGCCATCTACCTATCCATCTATCTAGTCACTATCTATCTAGCCATCTATCTATCTATCTGGCCATCCATCTGTCTAGCCATCTGTCTAACTATTACCTATCTATCTATTGATCTATAAATCTATCGATCTGCCTATCTATTTAGTCATCTATCTATCTAGTCATCTATTTATCCATATATCTATCTAGCCATCTGTCTATGTATCTAGCCATCTGTCTGTCTATCTATCTAGCCATCTATCTATTTAGCCATCTATCTATCTATCTATCTATCCATCCATCTATGTAGCTATCCATCCATCTATCTAGCCATCTATCTATCCATCCATGTAGCCATCCATCTATCTATTTAGCCATCTATCTATCTATCTAGCCATCTATCTCCCTATCTATCTAGCCATCTATCTCCCTATCTATCTAATCTATCTACTTATCTATCTGCTTCTCTGAAGAACCCTGATTAATAGAAGGGCAAATACTTGACCGTGAAGTTAGAAAGTTGCTCACTGGCTGGCGTAATCAATAGTGAACTTCCCTCATCTTCAGACCTGATAATAAGACATCCTTTGCTGGAGAAGGGAGCAGCCACTCACAGGGAGCCTCCTGGGATCAAGCACCACTGTTCCCCTCCCAAGGAGCCCAGGGCAGGTGGGTCAGCCCCCAGGCTCCTGCTTCCTGCCACTGAGGAAGACCAGCCGGGAAAACCAGTCAAAAGCAGGAGCCAGCACCTTATTCACAGTTTGTTAAGAAGGATGGATGCTCTCCTGTGTCCTGAGAATCTACCCTGCCCACATCGGCCCCTCTCAAATCAAAGGCCAAGGTCGCTTACTGAGATGGTGGAAGAGGAAGTCAAGTCCCAGCCCCTGACTAGGATGAAGGGAGACCGTCCCACTGGAGACGTCTGGCAGAGCTGGAGCACTCCCAAACTAGCAGATTATGATCCCTTATTGTCTGCCAGAAAAGAATTTCTTCCCTCCCAGCTCTCTCTCTCCCCACCCAGCCTTCTCTCTCTCTCTCTCTCTCTCTCTCTCTCTCTCTCTCTCTCTCTCTCTCTTCTCTCTCTCTCTCTGTCCATCCCTCTCTCTCCACAGTTGTTTTTGGAGCTCTGTCAAGATACCAGGCTCCACCAGCCTGCCTTTCCTTTTCCAGTTCCATTTCTGCTACCGGCATCTTGACGTTTCCAGATCCACCCAGGCCCCTGCAGGCACAAATTTCATTCAGATTTGCAGAGCTAGTGGCCACAGTCCTCT